>NC_000016.10:46683712-46986742 GCF_000001405.40 Homo sapiens
CCTCAAACCCATTTACCAAATTTTTTTTTTGAGACGGAGTCTAGCTCTGTCGCCCAGGCTGGAGTGCAGTGGTGCCATCTCGGCTCATGGCAAGCTCCGCCTCCCGGGTTCAAGCCATTCTCCTGCCTCAGCCTCCTAAGTAGCTGGGACTACAAGCGCCCATCACCACACCCGGCTAATTTTTTTTCTATTTTTAGTAGAGACGGGGTTTCACCATGTTAGCCAGGATAGTCTCCATCTCCTGACCTCGTGATTCGCCTGCCTCGACCTCCCAAAGTGCTTGGATTATAGGCATGAGCCACCGCACCCAGCCCATTTACCAATTATTAACAGCTGCTGCACACAGAGTCATGCCTTATCGCTGAAGTTAACAGAATAAGACTGACAAAGGAGAATAGTATGTGTACAAAGAATTGCCTCTCTCTCAGAAAGTAGGCTGGCCTCAAAGAAACTTGCAGTGGTAGTTCATGGCTGTGTTCTGCTAACACACTCTGAATCCAACCCAGACATAGCCATCTGACCAATCGAAATCTTGTGATAGGTATAGCCGAAACCAATCTCTAAAGCCTCTCTTTTCCTCTAGACTACTTATCATCTGCATTTCAGTCTATTCTTAAGACAGACTAAGGAACTAGTTTACGAGAACAGTGACCAGCCCCTCCTTGGCAATATTTAACAAAAGACTAAACAGTCTAGAAATAAAACAGCCAAAATTGTTAGTGACTTACAGTAGAAAACAATAAAGAGCACTGTCCTCAAATAGCTTACACCATTTCAGATATACTGATCTACAGCTACAGTGGACAAAATATATCTAGACACTCTTCTCTTTGCCATCAGCAAAAATCTGCTTGCAAAATGAATTCAATCTCCATGCCAAAAAGAATTAACCACTTCTTCAAGTCATATAAACACTGTTTACATCTCCACCACAGCATGTATCACATTATTATTATAAATGACGGTCATTTTTACATCCTTGGGATCCAACACACTGCTTGATACATAATATGCTCCACAAATGTTCACTGCATAAATGAATACACTGGTTTTAGAATGTTTAGATATTTAACAAAAAAAGACTGAATAATTAATGGATGAATAAACAAGTTGTGGTATATACATACAATTACAGAATATTATTCAACCATGAAAAGGAATGAAGTATTGCTACATAAACAAACCTAGAAAACATCATGCTAAATGAAAGAAGCTAGACATAAAAAGCCACATATTGTATGATTCCTCTAATATGAAATATTCTGTATAGGAACAGAAAGTAGACTGATGATTACCAGGAGAGAGGCTGAGGGGAATAATCACTTAATGGGCACTGGCTTTCTTTTAGGGGTAGGGAAAATGTTTTGAAACCAAAGGTGGTGATTGTACAGTATTGTGAGCATACTAAATGCCACTTTATAAATTGTTCACTTTAAAATGGTTAATTTTTTGTTATGTCATTTCACTTTTATTTTTTAAAACAATGACTAAAGACAAAATGCCTCTCACACAATGAGTTGAAGAGGTGGAAGGCAAGGACTTACACATCAACCTGCAAGTAAAATCTGGTCTGTTTCATTATCTAAGAAAAGCAAAACAACATTTCATTTTGAGATTAACAAAGAAACTTGATAACATAAAACCCACTTCTGAACTAGCATAGCTTATAAAAATTGAAAACTTTCTCTTGTTCTAACTTTGGAAAGAGAAAAATATTAACTGAATAATGAACAACACCATGCATCTCCCTTTTTTTCCCTATGAAAAACTCTAGTAAACTGAGCTCTGCTGCAAGCACTCTTCCTCAGAAGCACAAACAAATTTCAAAGAAGAAGTTAGGTATCTTTTAAACTTCACTTAAAGGGAACATGAATTTAACCCAGTGGAACTATTACCATAAAATGCTGGTTTCAGAGGCAAGGATGACACCAGCATTTAAAGACTCTGACTTAATGAAATTTACTATTCATCATGGGCTAGTCTTCTCTGAACTTTAGTGAAACCAGGCCATCATTTGGAATTTTTTGGCTCCTTACCTCTGGACGCAATAGATTTAATAATAATTTGAATCAATGGATTTCATTAAGTTCAATTGATCCATTTAGAGATAAACAGTGATACATCTGAATTTTTTTTATTTTTCTTTATGATACATCTGGATATTTTTAATTAAAAATGACTTCTTGTTGTGGTAAAATGTACCTAAAATTTACCATTTTAACATTTAAATGTACAGTTCAGTGGCATTAGGTACATTCACATTAATACAATTACCACCATCTATCTCTAAAACTTTTTATCTTTACAAATGCAAATAGAAACTGTAGCCATTAAACTCCCATTCCGAACCCCCAGGCAATTCTACCTTCTTTTCTCTGAGTTTGACTACTCTATATACTTCATTTAAGTGAAATCATACAATATTTTTACTTTTATGTCTCGCTTATTTCACTGACCATAATATCTTCAATGTTCATCCATGTTGCAGTATGTGCCAGAATTTCCCTCCTTTTAAAAACGAAGTATTTCATTATATATCTATATATATACACACACACTACATTTTGTTTATCCATGGACATATGGGTTGTTTCCACCTTTTGGCTGTTGTGTATGATAATTTTTATTATATAGCAAATGAAACTGTGGCTACAAAGAGGATACAATCAGTTCCAAAAACATTTGTATAGAATGACTAGAAAGATTTAGAGATGTGTAAACAAAAGAATGCAATTTTAGGAAAATTCTTCTATTTTGTCTCAACTCAGCTTAAAATAGAAATGTAAATACAAAATGTTGAAGATTACAGAATATGACTTATTACAAAGTAAGCTACAAGTGAAGACATAAAGCTATAGTAAAGCAATCTATTTTTATATATTACTCATAAAACAGTGTAGTTATGCTAGCAACAGCTATTATAAGGGCTATTCTTGATGCCTTACTATGAAGTGTCACATAGAGCCTTAACAGTTATAATATGAGCACGCTATCATTAAACACAAGCCAATTAACCAATGTTTCCTCAATCATGAAAGTGGTTTTCCATTTGTAAATGACCGTACTTCACAGCTACATGAATCAGAAGAAAATGGAAACCCTACAGAATGGGAATCAAATTAACATTTGTGATTAGTCCCATTTTAGCTTGAGACCCACAAACAGCCCTCTCAAGTCTACAGTTCTAATGTGCAGAGCAAAGCAAAGATCATGAACTGATCACTTGGAAAACTACTCTCCACTGAAACAATGTGCTTTTCTTTCCTCTTCTATGAAACAGAGATGAGAGTACACCACTGTTATGAAGAACAAATGAAACCAAAGCTCAAAACGTGCCTACTACTTAGCAATAAGCACTTAATAAGTGCTATAATTATTATTCAGTTTAGATACAAATAATTATCTCCACTTATGTTAGAAACCTATTGTGGTTCAACCTCCCTGCTTATATGCTGTAGATGTAATCTGACAGTACAATGTAAACCAAATGTAACGCTCATTTCTTCAAACAAAGGTACAGAATATCACGTTAATGAAAGAACTATTTTAAAAATGATGACATGGCATACATTGACAACTGAAGTAGAGAGAAATAAGGATGATGAGGGCATGACAACTTCAAAATATAATTTGAACACCAAACGGCTCTAACTTCATTTCCAATACATATCCCCAAGAATCCTCTGATGGAGCACACTGAACGTTTTGGCTTCATCTATTAGCAATACCTTTTCTTTCCACCTGGAGAATTTCTTTCCACCCTCTTTATAGTCTCAGTTCACGTTACTTCCTGTAGTCCTTCCCAAAATCCCCAGGCAAAACTATCCCTCCATGACCCCAAAGCACTGAGTTGACAATGTTAGTAAAGCAATCCACACACTGTATTACAGTTAAGTTCTACAAGCGTGTCTCCCCCAGTAGCCTCTTAAGTTCGACATTGGTACCCAGGGCCACAGTCCGTGACACTGAAGGCACACAAGATGTTTGATGAATTGAAGTGGATTCTGGAATTTTAGGGCTGGGAAGGGCCAAAGGGGCCGCCAACACTTGCTTTCGGATGCAAAAGTGCGACACCAAGAAGACTAAGCGAGCTGCCTAAATTATAGACAGTGACTGTGAAAGAACGAATACTCAAGTTTCCTTTCCCAATAAAATTCATGAGGACAAGACTGTGTGTCTGGCTGATTGCTCCCAACTGGTTCACCCAACAAAGAATCGGAGTGTGTAATACATCCTCAATTAAGTGTTTTCCATTACAAAACAATATAAATGTCAATCCATAAACGCTGGAAACACACAAATCCTAAAGTTAAATTTTGCGCCGGTCTTGTATCAATTCCCAATTATAAAAATCCTGAGAAACAGGCAAAATCACCTTGTACGGCAACACGTTATATGAAAATAGTATTTGTAAAACACTTAATCCTTTCTGGCATTAAGACATTTAAAGTGAAATCTGTTTCCAGGCTTACAGATTTACAGAAGCCTATCTACACAGAGTGAGTAAGGTAATTAAAGCGGACATACAGTATATACTCAAAAAATTTATTTACACAGTGCAGGCTATGTTAAACGCTAATAAAATGCAAGTGACAACTTGCCTTTGTGGGAACCAGACACAAAGATTCACATTTTGAGGAAGTTCAAGTTTACCGGCCAACAGCCACACCACGATTTGCTGCCGTCATAGACGGGCCCTAAGGAGAAGTACTGCTTCCAGCAAGTCAAATACTTGGATTTTATCAATGGCGAGACAAAAGAGGCAAGGTGCGCCCAATGCACAAATGCTAAAGTAAACAATCAGTCTCCTTTGCGACCGTCAGGATTAGAAGACAGCCTGAGTCCTTCCAGGAAATTCATGTAAGCAGGTCCCCAGAACTCGCTGACAAACACTGCAGCCGAAGGCGGGTATGAGGCCAAGAAAGGCCAAGGAATCACTGCGACCCCTCCAGGAGGGCGTGGGGACGGCCGAGCACAACTAGGCACAAAGGTAGAAACGCAACATCTGGGCGGGTCCCGGCGCCACCTCCGAGTCTCAGGGCCTCCACGCGCCCCGGGGGCCAGACGCTCAGACCTAGGACTACCGGTCCCCTCGTGGTAGGCAGGTGACCGATTCCACTTAAAGGAGGCCGCAGGCCTTCATGGACCCCAAAGCCTACATGCCAAGTCAACCCCACAGAGAGGCCGCCCCGTCTCTCAGCAACGGCCGCAGCCAAGAGCCGCCGCCCACCCCGGCCCGGATCAGCCTGCCCGCGGCCTTCCTCCTGCTGTCCCCTATCCCGCAGGCCAAATCGGGCTGGTCTTAATCCCGAACGGTCTGTGGGGCCCCTTCTCCACTCGCTGGAGTGCGGGGCGGTGGGAGAGAGCAGGGGCTACAAGGAGGGTCGACCCAGGTGCCACTGCCCCCTCAGCACTCACCATGGCGACTCCCCAGAGCCTGCAGCAAGCAGCACCCGCCCCGCGCGTAGCCTCCCGCGGTCATGTGACGCTGCGGCCCCTCCAAGCCCCGCCCTCTCTAGCCCCGCCCCCGGGCCCTACAGGCGGCTCATTGATTGGCCTACTTCTAGGAACCCGAGTCTCGCGTGCTTATTGGCCCTGTCACTTAACGCTAGATGGACGGACCTGAGCGCCAGCCAATCTCACCACAGCGTGCGAGAGTGGGCGGAGCAGTGCAGGGCAGTGGGGATCGCCCGGCGGCAGGCAGGAGACAACAGGAGGGAAAGGCAGTGTGTGATGAGTTTGTCAAGAAGGAATGGAAGGAGGGGGAGCCGACAAGTCCACGTTCACCGCATCTGCGTTGGCGATTGCGCTATTGATGCGCATGCGCAAAAGGAAGACCCTGATTGGTTTGTGGGACGGTCTCAACGTCCTGTCCTAACCAATCCAGATGCGCCGGGGGTGGGGCCTGGCTCTCACTGGCCGGTGCAGCCTTTGCGCGCGGGTTTCGTTGACCCGCGGCGTTCACGGGAATTGTTCGCTTTAGTGCCGGCGCCATGGGGTCGGAGCTGATCGGGCGCCTAGCCCCGCGCCTGGGCCTCGCCGAGCCCGACATGCTGAGGTGAGTTCGGCCGCGCAAGACCAGGGCTGGGCTTCCGCCTCGCGGCCCTGGGCCCTCAGGTGAGGCCCGCGCCCTTCCCAGGCGACGGGCGGCGGGGGAGTGACGGGGAGCGCTGGGGCCGGGCGGGGTTTAGGGCCTACTTCAAGAAAAACTTCTCGGCCGTGAGCTTGAATGAGATGGCAAGAAGGGCGATAGCAAACGGCGATGGCACACGTCCCTGGGAACAGCCAGCCCTGTCCGTGGGTAGAAAAATGAGCCAGGGAGAACTTTCCGTTCATTCCGCCAACGCCTACTGCAGTCGGGTTTATAGCGGGGAACCCGACAACGAGGCGCAGACCCCGCTGTCTGTAAGGGCGAGGACTGTGTAGACCTTAACCGGGCAATGCTCCTGAGCCACTGGGCTTGGGGTGGAGCGCGGCCTAGCGGCTGCCTTTAACACAAAGAAACAAACAAAACTCGGAAAAGCAGGCGCCGTTCCCGCTGAGGCCGGATTGATGGCAGATGCTAGGCGAGGAAAGATATGGCAAGAGCAGCCCAGGCAGGGGCGACAGCTCCTGTAAAAGCGTTGAGATGGGAAGCGGGATCCGGGGTTCGAAATAAAGCCATTGTAGCTAAAACGTGGAGCAGTCAGGCGAGGGAAGGCAAGGAAAACAGCACTTAAAAGATTTGAAGACAAACCTGCAGGACTCGGTAGTCATTTAGAACAGTGGTTCTCAAAATGTGGTTCCTGGACCAGCAACAGCCATATCATCTTGTCACTTGTTAGAAATACAAATTCTTGGGTCCCACCTCAAGCCTGCTGATCAGTAACTCGGCCTGGGACCCAGTAATTTGCAAGTCCCCAAGGTGATTTTCGCCTACCATCAAGTTTAAGAACTACTGATTTAAAGGAAATAGGAGGAAAGGAGGAACCCTGGTCTAACCTGCCTGTCTCTGATAGTTCGTGCTTGTTCCAGTAATGGAAGGAGGAAAGAAGGGTAATTTTTTTGTCAAAATTTAACTTCCTTTTGCCTGAAAGCATTTGAGCACAGTGATGTTTGGAGTCAGTGCTGGTTCTGTCTTCCTCTCACCAGAGGATATGACCTTCATTCCCAGCCCCAGATAAACGAGCCACAGGAGTTAGGCTTAGTGTGAAGCTAACCAGGCTGTATTCATTGTTTACCAACGTGTTGAGCAAACTTCTGAATAAGTTGTAGCGAACACACTGCCCTTTTAACCAGGAAAGCAGAGGAGTACTTGCGCCTGTCCCGGGTGAAGTGTGTCGGCCTCTCCGCACGCACCACGGAGACCAGCAGTGCAGTCATGTGCCTGGACCTTGCAGCTTCCTGGATGAAGTGCCCCTTGGACAGGGTAAGTAGGTCCCACCGAATGTCTGAATAATCCAGTGCAACATTGAAGCTCTTTTAACTTTTGGTTGAACTAAACCCTAGTAAAAACTCTTGTTTTAGAATTGTCCTGGGTATTCTTGTGTGTTATTCTGGAAATACTGTAGAATCATTTTGCATTGGAAAATATTTTTTTGCCATGTTTTCTTTACTCTTCACTGTTTTCCCTGACCACCTCTTTCTCGGCTAGAGGCCATCTTCCACATTGCTGCTAGCATTACCCTCCTTTTAAAGCACGTATTTCCAAACCCCTATGCTTTTCTTCCAATGTCACAGTGTTTGAGAGAACAAGCTTTGGGGTCAGTCAGGAGGAGTTTCATGTTGAGATCAAATCTCCACACTAGCTACCTCTGTTAGCCTCCAGTGTCCTCATCCATAAAGTGAAGATAAAATATCCAATTTCGCTGGATTATTATGAGGATTAAATGTACATAACACCATTAACACAGCACCTGTGTCATAACGATACACTCATTAAATGGTAATACTAAAAACAAAGCTTTGTTGATGACCATCAAACTCTCCAGCCTCTCTTGAATCCTGGCCTCAAGCTGCAGTATTCTCTTAACAGACTCTGCACGTCAATGATTTGTGGCTTTGAAAATGCAATACCTTGTTTTTTTCCTGCAATGCTCTTCTGGCAAACTCCTATTTGTCTTACATGACCTTGCCTTATTGTTACATTGAAACTTTCCTTAAGTCTCCCAGACAGAGCTGGTTTCCCACAGTGGATCCTCCTGTTTCTTTTCCTAGTTTCCTTTTCCTCTTTCTCTCCTGCACACACACACACACACACACACACACTCTCTCTCTCTCTCTCTCTCTCACCACCCCGCCCCCTACTCCACTCCCGCTACTTCTCTCCTTCCTTTTCCCAATAAATTACACGTTAGCACCTTTGTATAAACACAAGTAACCATCTGTGTGTTTCCTGTGGTTTTTTACTGCCTATTTTGACTATATTAATATTGTGTTATAATTTTAAATCATCTGTGCATATGCATGACTGCCTGCCTTTGCATAGTTTGAACTCTTTGAAAGCAGTACTTCCTCAGCCTGACATGATTACCAGTTTTTTGACTAAATGAAGCTAAACCTTTAGGTAGAGTGACTTGCCACAAAATTAATTTTGAAAAGTTATACTGCTTATTAAACAAGTGTTTAAGGGTACTAATATATAGAACTTAAGGTTTTTATGATTTGTGTATGTGTTTTTCCTTTCACAGGCTTATTTAATTAAACTTTCTGGTTTGAACAAGGAGACATATCAGAGCTGTCTTAAATCTTTTGAGTGTTTACTGGGCCTGAATTCAAATATTGGAATAAGAGACCTAGCTGTACAGTTTAGCTGTATAGAAGCAGTGAACATGGCTTCAAAGATACTAAAAAGGTATGGGGCATAGAGAACCTTAATTGAAAATGTATACCAATAGGCCGGGCGTGGTGGCTCACGCCTGTAATCCCAGCACTTTGGGAGGCCAAGTTGGGTGGATCATGTGGTCAGGAGTTCAAGACCAGCCTGGCCAACATGGTGAAACCCCATTTCTACTAAAAATACAAAAATTAGCTGGGCGAGGCGTCATGCACCTGTAATCCCAGCTACTCGGGAGGCTGTGGCAGGAGAATTGCTTGAACCCAGGAGGTGGAGGTTGCAGTAAGCCGAGATTGCACCACTGCACTCCAGCCTGGATGACAGAGCAAGACTCCGTCTTGGGGCGGGGCGGCGGTGGCGGTGGGGGGGACCAGAAAATTTATACTGATAGATACAAATTATCCATTGTCCTGTTCTGGTTAATTTTCAGTCTTAAAAAAAATGACTCGTGTTAAGTGACAGCACACATATCCATTTTAAAAGCTTGTAAGTTCTGGTTGATACTTTCAGTCTCTTTTCAAATAATATTTTCTAACAGATAATTCTGCAATAACTTCTCCTTTAGCTATGAGTCCAGTCTTCCCCAGACACAGCAAGTGGATCTTGACTTATCCAGGCCACTTTTCACTTCTGCTGCACTGCTTTCAGCATGCAAGTAGGTATTTCATTAAACATTCAGAAAAGTTACCAATTTACAAGTGGGTTTTTCATCCCCAAGGAATACTTCTAACTTAGTTGATATCAATTCAGAGCATATTTTCCCCTAGAAATAATATTAGGAATATTGGCCAAGTGACTATATTCCCAGTTTATCCCATAATGTAGCTAACAACTTGGAACTAGTGTTGCCAGAATTCCACTAGCAAATAGCAGCTGTATATATATGCTGGGAATTCTGATTTCAGTCTGCCTTTTGTAAGAGATGATATCTGTCATTAAAACAGTCTTCACATGTGATTTTTCTGCTCATATTTTTTAAAAAGTACTGGTTGGGCCAGGCGTGGTGGCTCCCGCCTGTAATCCCAACACTGGGAGGCAGAGGCAGGAGGACTGCTTGAGGCAAGGAGTTCAAGACTAGCCTAGACAGCATAATAAGACCCCAATCTCTTAAGAAAAAAAAAAAAAATTAGCTGGGTGTCAGCACATGCCTCCAGTCCTGGCTTCTCAGCTACTCGGGAGGCTGAAGCTGAAGGCTCACTGGAGCCTAGGAGTTCTTGGTTATAGTGAGCTATGGTCACGCTACTACACTGCAGCCTAGGCAACACAGCAACACTGTCTCTTTTTTTTTTTTTTTTTTTTTTACATTTTTTTTATTTTTATTTTTATTTTTTTTTTTTTAATTTATTTTTTTTTTGATAATTCTTGGGTGTTTCTCACAGAGGGGGATTTGGCAGGGTCATGGGACAATAGTGGAGGGAAGGTCAGCAGATAAACAAGTGAACAAAGGTCTCTGGTTTTCCTAGGCAGAGGACCCTGCGGCCTTCCGCAGTGTTTGTGTCCCTGATTACTTGAGATTAGGGATTGGTGATGACTCTTAACGAGCATGCTGCCTTCAAGCATCTGTTTAACAAAGCACATCTTGCACCGCCCTTAATCCATTTAACCCTGAGTGGACACAGCACATGTTTCAGAGAGCACAGGGTTGGGGGTAAGGTCACAGATCAACAGGATCCCAAGGCAGAAGAATTTTTCTTAGTGCAGAACAAAATGAAAAGTCTCCCATGTCTACTTCTTTCTACACAGACACGGCAACCATCCGATTTCTCAATCTTTTCCCCACCTTTCCCGCCTTTCTATTCCACAAAGCTGCCATTGTCATCCTGGCCCGTTCTCAATGAGCTGTCGGGCATACCTCCCAGACGGGGTGGTGGCCGGGCAGAGGGGCTCCTCACTTCCCAGTAGGGGCGGCCGGGCAGAGGCGCCCCTCACCTCCCGGACGGGGCGGCTGGCCGGGCGGGGGGGCTGACCCCCCCCACCTCCTTCCTGGACGGGGCGGCTGGCCGGGCGGGGGGCTGACCCCCCCACCTCCCTCCCGGACGGGGCAGCTGGCCGGGCAGAGGGGCTCCTCACTTCCCAGTAGGGGCGGCCGGGGCGGCTGGCCGGGCGGGGGGCTGACCCCCCCACAACACTGTCTCTTAAAAAAAAAACAAAACACTGGCTACAACTGTTCTTCAAGGAATTTATAACATTTTAGTGATAAATTATCACATCTGAATCTTACAATTGTGGGTTATCTATGTGTATGCTGAAATGTTACCTTGGAAATATTAGTAATTGTTGATAATCTTTGTCTAAAGTTATCTTATTTTTATCTTGCCAGAAAACTCCTTAGAAAACAAAATGTAGTTGGCCCTTAAAGAATGGATTTCTCACTACCTACCCACTAATTTTGGTATGCTTGGCTCTATTAGGTACATACCTAGGAGTATTAATTGGCATTTATGGAAAACATCTCTTCAATTCAACAAAAGTATGTGCATATACGGAGGGAGTGCAGCTGATATTGTAGAAAACAGTGAGAATAGTCAACTCTACTTTTGAAACCATATTACGCTGAGTAAGAAAAGGTCTTGACAGGTCTATTCTGAAGAAAAAGTTTATTTTGTGTTTGTAATTAGTGGTTGCTGTGGAGTCTTATTAGGAAAGTTTATTTTCAGGGTGGGGTGGGGTTGTTACATTCCTGTAATATAAATATCCTGTGAGTTAAAATGAGTGGAACAAAAAAGTCCTATGATTGTCATTCATTAAATTAATCTGAGATTTACTAAAGAGTTCTAAAAGTCATGAAGCACTACAGCAAATGTCTTTTATGTGCCCCTTTTGTTATAAAATAGATCCCATGTGCATTTTAACTCTCAGTCCAATAAACAACTAAACAACTTAGCATAGATAATAACATGTTTGGAATGAAGGAAAAAAACTAGACAGAGGCTCTGGAAGCATGGTCAAAAAGAAAATAAGTTGATTATCTGGTTGCCCAGAGAAGAAAACTGTACAGGTCTTGAGAAAAGCAACTTATGAAATTGTTTTGTAGGATTCTAAAGCTGAAAGTGGATAAAAACAAAATGGTAGCCACATCCGGTGTAAAAAAAGCTATATTTGATCGACTGTGTAAACAACTAGAGAAGATTGGACAGCAGGTCGACAGTAAGTATTCTGTAGTTCAAGAATGCGTCATTTGAAAATGTAGTCCTTTTGCTTGTAAAAGTCAAATATTTTCAAATATGTAAACTGGCTGCTTCCTAAATTCCGTATTACATGTGGACCAGGTATGTTTTTATTGATGTTTCTAACCTATGATTCCATGAATCTATGCCTGGAAAATGATTCTCAAGTCTGACAAGAGGCCCAAAAGAGAGGTCTAAGATCATTTCTCTTCTCCTCATATTTGATCAGTTAAGATGTCTAATTTTATTTGTGATCCAAAACATGCCCAAATACTGAAATTGAGAACAGGAGAAAAATTAACCTTGATAACACTTCTTAAAGGAGAACCTGGAGATGTAGCTACTCCACCACGGAAGAGAAAGAAGATAGTGGTTGAAGCCCCAGCAAAGGGTAAGTTTTACTAACACGGTACTGACGTTGACATTTTATGCAGTGAACAGCCCAGTGCTGCTCTAGCAGCTTGCCTGACAGGAGTCCAGTTTTAAGTACATTCTGACTGTGAATCATTTGATAAGACCAGTTTTCCAAGCAATCAGTAATGGAAGTAACATCGTTATTGGGTAATTAAGAATATGGCTGGTCTGGCACAGTGGCTTATTCCTGTAATCCCAGCACTTTGGGAGGCTGAGGCGGGAGGATTGCTTGAGCCCATGAGTGCGAGACCAGCCTGGGCAGCTACAGCTAGGTATTTGTCTTAAACCTGGGCATGGTCTGATGGGAAGTCCCTAGTTGTATAACAAGTCAGCTGGTTGGCTGTTTGTGATTGGCTGGGGATTATTTTTGTCTTTCGGAGGTTCTTTTCCCCCGACAAAAGAAATGTTTCCAAGTTAGGTTCCAGTTTGCTTATAAGAGCTTTAGCTACAAAGACAATCTCAGGCAAATGGCTGCATTATTGTTTTAATACCACCTACTGGCTATGTGATTTTTTGGTTTTTTTGTTTGTTTGTTTGATTTTGGTTTTTTGGTTTCTCTTTTTCTGAGACATGGCCTGGTTCTCTCACCCATGCTAGAGTGCAGTGGCACGGTCTCGGCTCACTGCAGCCTCCGCCTCCTGAGCTCAAACCATCCTCCCACCTCAGCCTCCCGAGTAGCTGGGACTACAGGCATGTGCTACCACACCTGGCTAATTTTTGTATTTTTGATAGAGATGGGACCTCACTATGTTACCCAGGCTGGTCTTGAACTCCTGGGCTCAAGTGACCCGCCCCCTTCACCTCCCAAAGTGCTGGGATTACAGGCATGAGCCACTATGCCCAACCACTGGCTATGGGATTCTAAGAAAGTATAATTTCTGTGAGCCTCAATTTCCTGACCTATAAAATGTGATTAATATTATCACCTATTACGGAGTGTAGTAGGGGTTAAATGAAATAATGCTATTTAAAGTACTTGGTTCAGTGCCTATCAAGCACCAGTTAAGTGCTTGATAGACGTTAGCTATTATTAGATGTCTTGGAATGCTTGGAGTGTAAGGGAGGGAAAAAAGTGATAGCTAAGCTAGGTGTGATAGTGTGAGCCTATAGTCCCAGCCACGGTCCCAGCTACTCAAGAGGTGGAGGTGGGAGGATCATTTGAACCTAGGAATTTGAGTGCAGCCTGAGCAACATTACAAGACCCCATCTCAAAAAAAAGTGATAACTGCTGTTTCTCCATGTCATTTCAGTATCTTTTCTATTTTAGACAATTTAAACAAGTTTACCTTTTTTTAAATTTCATTTCTAAGCTAAGAATTTTGAAATTGCTTTTGATAATTTTCTGTCAGAAATGGAGAAGGTAGAGGAGATGCCACATAAACCACAGAAAGATGAAGATCTGACACAGGATTATGAAGAATGGAAAAGAAAAATTTTGGAAAATGCTGCCAGTGCTCAAAAGGCTACAGCAGAGTGATTTCAGCTTCCAAACTGGTATACATTCCAAACTGATAGTACATTGCCATCTCCAGGAAGACTTGACGGCTTTGGGATTTTGTTTAAACTTTTATAATAAGGATCCTAAGACTGTTGCCTTTAAATAGCAAAGCAGCCTACCTGGAGGCTAAGTCTGGGCAGTGGGCTGGCCCCTGGTGTGAGCATTAGACCAGCCACAGTGCCTGATTGGTATAGCCTTATGTGCTTTCCTACAAAATGGAATTGGAGGCCGGGCGCAGTGGCTCACGCCTGTAATCCCAGCACTTTGGGAGGCCAAGGTGGGTGGATCACCTGAGGTCAGGAGCTCGAGACCAGCCTGGCCAACATGGTGAAACCCCATCTCTACTAAAAATACAAAAATTAGCCAGGTGTGATGGTGCATGCCTGTAATCCCAGCTCCTCAGTAGGCTGAGACAGGAGCATCACTTGAACGTGGGAGGCAGAGGTTGCAGTGAGCCGAGATTGCACCACCGCACTCCAGCCTGGGTGACAGAGCGAGACTTATCTCATAAATAAATAGATAGATACTCCAGCCTGGGTGACAGAGCGAGACTTATAGATAGATAGATAGATAGATGGATAGATAGATAGATAGATAGATAGATAGATAAACGGAATTGGAGCCATTTTGCTTTAAGTGAATGGCAGTCCCTTGTCTTATTCAGAATATAAAATTCAGTCTGAATGGCATCTTACAGATTTTACTTCAATTTTTGTGTACGGTATTTTTTATTTGACTAAATCAATATATTGTACAGCCTAAGTTAATAAATGTTATTTATATATGCATTCAAGTTGTACTTGTCATCAGTTTGGGGGAATCCTTATGCTAAAAGCTATGTCTTCTCTACAGGAAAAAGCCCAGGTTCCTGTCCACTGAGCCACACTGCCCACCAGACCACAAACTCAAATCAGACTTTAAAACCCTGCTCAGCCACTTATCACCTGTGAAACCTTTAGCAAATTAATTAACTTTTTTATGCCTCATCTATAAAGTAGGAGTAGAAATGGTACCACCTCGTAGATAATATGGAGGAGTTTCTGAGCCAATACATATAAAGCATTTAGGACAGTACCTGCTATGAGTAAGTATTTAGAAAATATTAGAAGAGAGAAAGAATCTCACATATGGAGGTCTCATAATGAATTAAACATTACCACCTTTTTATAAAATCAAGCTTTTTTTTTAGTATCTACATATTGAAAAGTGTAAACTTAGTAAATACTACTTATTTTAAGACTATGGAAAAGGACCTTTTCTTGGATGGTAAGAAGTTGCTAAAGGCATCATGCCAGACATGATTTTAACTAAAATTAAGAATATATGATATAATTAAATATTTCCATGATAAAAGGATTGCATCCAAATGTTTAAAATCTACTTAGAATGACATCAGTAATAATAATGGTTGCCTTTTATCTGCTACAGGTAATGAATAATACCTGCTACATAGATCTAGAATGACTAAAGGTGATGTCTCTTTTTTCCCCCTACCTTTTTAGTTTTAGAACTTTAGCAGACTAAGGCTAAAGAAATACCACAATCAAATGGTCCCAACATAAGCATGTCTGGCAAGGCCTGTGGTATTGGGGAATGAACATGAGCTTTGGAGCCACACACACTTGGGTTTAAATTCTGGCTCTGCCACTTCTCCCCTAACAAAAGCCCAAAATCTTACTGAGCCTAAGTTTTCCTATTTATAAAATAGAAAAGATGGGCACAGTGGTGTGCACCTACAGTCACAGCTATTCAGGAGCCAAGGCAGGAGGATCACTTGAGCCAAAGAGTTTAAGTCTGTAGTATGCTATGATCACACCTGTGAATAGCCATTGTACTCCAGCCTGGGCAATACAGGGAGACCCCATCTCTTAAAAAAATAATAATAACAGTAGCTAAAATAGAAATACCTGCCTTGTGAGGTTTAAAGGTACTATTGTATTTGTGAAGTGCACGGCATTTAGAAGGCATTCATTAAATAGCTCTTGTTATGGCTTTGATCCAAAATTGATAAATCTTCCTCATTTATTAAGAAGGTATGTAATTTGAGACCCAGCACAATGGCTCAGGCCTGTAGTCCTAGCACTTTGGGAGGCTGAGGCAGGCAGATTGCCTGAGCTCAGGAGTTCGAGACCAGCCTGGGCAATATGGCAAAACCCTGTCTCTACTAAAAATACAAAAAATTAGCCAGGCATGATGGCAGGCGCCTGTAGTCCTAGCTACGCAGGAGGCTGAGGCACGAGAATTGCTGGAACCCAGAAGGTGGAGGTTGCCGTGAGCCGAGATCATGCCACAGCACTCCAGCCTGGGCGACAGACGAGACTATCTCAAAAAAATAGAAGCTATGTAATTTGTTATTTGGTGCCAAGATACAGATTTCTAGCTTTGAGTCAAAAGCAATGTACTTATCACCCTGTAAAGTTAAGCACATTCACCTACTTTAAAATTGTAGTAAAATATATGTAACAAAATACGCTATCTTAATCTTTTTAAAGTGTTTATGGTTAAGTATTATGTAGTCACTTTGTTTTGCAACCAATCTCCAGAATTTTTTCATCTTGCAAAACTGACTTAACCATTAAACAACTCCCCATTCCTCCCCACATCCCCTGACAACCACCATTGTACTCACTCTCTCTGAATTTGACTAAGGATTCATATAAGTGGAATCACAGTATTTGTGACTGGCTTTTTTCACTTAGTATAATGTTCTCAAGATTGTCCATGTTGTAACGTGTCAGAAGTTACTTTTTAAAGCTGAATATTCAGTTGTATATACCACATTTTGTTCATCCATCAGTGTGACACGGGTTGAGTAATGCTGCTATGAACATGTGTGTACAAATACCTCTTGAGGACCCTGCTTTCAATTCTTTTGGGTATACACCCAGAAATGGGATTGCTAGATCATATGGTAATTCTATTGATTGACTGATTGAGATGGAGTCTCACTCTGTCGCCCAGGCTGGAGTGCAGTGGCGTGATCTCAGCCCACTGCAAACTCTGCCTCCCAGGTTCAAGCAGTTCTCCTGCCTCAGCCTCCCAAGTAGATGGGATTACAGGTGCCCACCACCACGCCTGGCTAATTTTTGTAGTTTACTTAGTAGAGACAGGGTTTTGCCATGTTGGCCAGGCTGGTCTCAAACTCACCTCAGGTGATCCACCCTCCTCAGCCTTCCAAAGTGTTGGGATTACAGGCGTGAGCCACCACACCCAGCCTCTACTTTTAAATTTTTGAGGAACTGCCATAGAGGGTATACCATATTACATTCCACCCACAGTTCATAAGGATTCCAATTTCTCTACATCTTTGCCAACACTAGTTATTTTCTAGTTTTTTTTTTTTTAATAGTAGCCATCCTAATGGATGTGAGGTGTTAATGTCATTATGGTTTTAATTTGCTTTTCCCTAATGATGAGGGGAAAGATGTTGGGCATCTCTTCATGGACTTGAATAGACATTTTTTAAAGAAAATATACAAACAGCGAATATGCCCCTTTTTGAATCAGGTTGTTTGGTTTTTGTTGTTGAGTTGTAGGAGCTCTTTATATATTCTAGATATTCACCCTTATCAGATATGATAGGTAAATATTTTCTCCCATTCCTTAGGTTGCCTTTTCACTCTGTTGATTATGGCCTTTGATGCACAGAAGCTTTTAATTTTGATATAGTCCAATTTATGTTTACTTCTGTGGTCTGTACTCTTGCTATCATATCCAAGAAATCATTGCCAAATCCAATGTCATGAAGCTTTTCCCTTGTTTTCTTCTAAGAGTTAAATGGTTTAAGCTCTTACATTTAGGTCTTTAATCCATTTTGAGTTAATCAGGCACATTCACTTTTAAATTACCCTGTTAAGATGTGATTCTGATAAATCTAAAATTTCTGAGCCTTGTTTAAATAGCATATGAGAATAAATATAAGTAGTATTGTCTGTTTTTTCTTTATGCCATGAAAGCAAGTAATGGTAATTATTTTTATTATTTGCAATATAATATGTACTTAGTTATTTTTTAAATTAGTTGGGGAGTGGAGGAATTACCTTAAAGCAGTCTTGTCCAAATGCCCTCCTAGGAAGCCTTTCTACAGTTTTCTAACACAATTACAATCCCAGTGATGAATGCCGTGATGGTTAATACTGAGTGTCAACTTGATTGGATTGAAGGATACAAAGTTTGATCCTGGGTGTGTTTGTGAGGGTGCTGCCAAAAGAGATTAACATATGAGTCTGGGCTGGGAAATATCCACCCTTATTCTGGTGGACACAATCTAATCAGCTGCCAGCAAATATAAAGCAGGCAGTAAAATGTGAAAAGGAGACACTGGCCTAGCCTCCCAGCCTACATCTTTGTCCTGTGCTGGATGCTTCCTGCCTTCGAACGTCGGACTTCAGGTTCTTCAGTTTTGGAACTCGGACTCGCTCTCCTTGCTCTTCAGCTTGCAGACAGCCTATTGTGGGACCTTGTGATCATGTAAGTTAATACTTAATAAACTCCCCTTTATATACATATATATACACATATTACATATATATACATATTACCTATATACATATTACATATATCTATATATATCCTATTCTGTCCATCTAGAGAACCCTGACTAATACAGATGCTTACTAGTTAGTGAATTCGTGTGTTTCAGTACTGTTATTATAAACACTTCTTGGAAGCTCACTTCTTTAACCGTTCTTCATGGTTTATTTAACTGATTAAAAAGTTTTTTTGTCATGAATGTTTTCAAATACATACAACAGTAAAGAGGACAGTATAATGAAACCCATACACATCACCTAGACCCAAGTTATTAGATGTTGCCATACTTGCTTAACTATACCTTCCTTTTTCTCTGAAGTCATCTAACCACATTGCCAATATCACACCTCACAAAATTAATAGTAACTATCATCAAATGTGAAATTCATAATCTAAATGTCTCAAAAATATCTTTTTATTGCTTGCTCAAATCAGGGTCAACACAAGGTTCACACTTGACATTGAGTTGTGAATTTTTAATTATAAATGTAATACATGCGGGCCAGGCGCAGTGGCTCACACCTGTAATCCCAGCACTTTGGGAGGCCGAGGTGGGCAGATCACGAGGTCAAGAGATCGAGACCATCCTGGCCAGCATGGTGAAAGCCCATCTCTACTAAAAACACAAAAATTAGCTGGGCGTGGTGGCGCATGCCTGTAGTCCCAGCTACTTGGGAGGCTGAGGCAGGAGAAATCACTTGAACTCGGGAGGTGGATGTTGCAGTAAGCCAAGATTGCGCCACTGCACTCCAGCCTGGCAACAGAGTGAGACTCCATCTTGGAAAGAAAAAAAAAAAAAGGAATACATGCTCATTGTAAAAAAAAAAAAAAAAAAGATTCAAAAGGTTCAGAAAGATAAATGAAAAGTGGAATTCCCCCTCTCCCAATCACCCACTTTTCACACTCCACTGTTAAGTTTCTTGCATATCCTACGGTTTTTTAATGCACATATAAGCATATGTCTCTTCACAAATGGGATGATACCATATATACATTCTATAATTTAAGAAAAAATGGCTTTCAGTATATCTAGATCTATCTATAACAGCTGTGAGGTATTCCACTACATGGATGTGGCAAAATTCATTTAACTAAAACCAAACTAATAGGCATGTGTTGGTTGTTTTTACTGGGCCATTAGCAACAGTGCTATAGTAAACATCATTTTGAATAAATCTCTATACAATTGTTCAAGTACGGAGGGATAAATTTCTAGAAATAAAATTTCTGGATGAAAGAAAGCATGGGAATGACTTTTATTTGGATACATATCCATCAAAAGTGGGAGAATGCCATTTTCCCCACAGCCTCACCAATTCTTCACCAATCTGACAGGTGGAAAAAGTGTGCCCCAACTACCTTTTAGAGTTTCTCTGCCCAGCAGTTTCCAGTGACTGTACATGCAAATGGAAAAGTCCCATTAGAAATAGTTGACCCAACACAGTTGCAATCAAGTATTTGAGCTAAGTACACACCAGCAAATTACTAAAAATATCCAGAAAAACTCAAGCTTCATAAAACCTCAAATTTCAAAAAAAGGATGCTAAAATCCACATAGGTCACTTGTGTTGGCCTGGCCTAAACAGACCCCTCAAAGGAACTTTGGAGGGAAATTGTTTCTCTAGGTAAGGAATAACAGCATAAAGGGAAAAAAATTAAAATTGTTAGATACAGGATTCTCTCTAGATCTGCCCTGTCCAATATAGATGCCACTAACCACGTGTGGCTATTAAACACTTAAAATGTGGCTAGTGCAACTGCAGAACTGAATTTCTAATTTTATTTAATTTTAATACATGTAAAAGTGGATACTTCAGTTATTGGAAAACAGTGAGTTATGTTTCAAACAACTTGAGTATGTAAATACATTTTCCACAGTAAGTTTTAAGAAATCTAAATACAGATTAAGTACGTCTGATGAAAACCTAGCATCTGAATTGACAGGTTTTTTTTTGTTTTGTTTGTTTGTTTGTTTTTTGTCAGGGGTGGGGACAAAGTTTTGCTCTGCCACCCAGGCTGGAGTGCAGTGGTGTGATCTCAGCTCACTGCAACCCCTGCCTCCTGTTTAAGTGATTCTTGTGCCTTAGCCTCCCAAGTAGCTGGGATTACAGGTATGCGCCACCACGCCCAGCTAATTTTTATATTTTTAGAGATGGGGTTTTACCATGTTGGCCAGCAATCTGCCCACCTTGGCCTCCCAAAGTGCTGGGATTACAGATGTGAGCCACCATGCCTAGCCTTGACATGTGTTTTTAAGTGTAAAATATACCAGATTTTTGAGACTTAGTATGAGAAAAAGAATATAAAATATCTCTTTTTTTTTGAGACGGAGTTTTGCTCTTGTTGCCCAGGCTGGAGTTCAATGGTGTGATCTTGGCTCACTGCAACCTCCACCCCCTGGGTTCAAGTGATTCTCTGGCCTCAGCCTCCCTAGTAGCTGGTAAAGTATCTCAATTTTATGTTGATTACATATTGAAATATTTTTGATACACTAAGTTATATAAATTATTAAAATTGGCTTTCAATGGGTTTTGTTAGAGAAGCTACTAGAAATGTTTTAATTATGTGTATAGCCTGTACTATATTTTTGTTGGGCAGTGCTGCTCTAGATATGGTAATTAACTGTCTTTTTCTGGGGAGATGTTTCATAGCATTCTCCAGAATCTTAAGTCGAAAACAGGGTATGAACCACAATAGAACTATAAAATATACTCTCTAGCTCCTTCTGGAGGCTGCCCTCAAAAAACCTTTTAAAGAAAGATAACTGACATTTAAAAAATAAGACATTTTACCAAATCACTATCACTGTCTCATCAAAGGACAACTTTCAGCAGCTGTGTCTTCTGATGTTCATTCTTCAGCTGACCAACTTGGAGCAGGCCTAGACTTGCTGGTATTGAAACTGTTAGTTCCCAACAAGGGTTAGCCTTCCAGAGGAAACTTAACAACTTGAGAACTGCAGCAGCAGGATAACCTCTCCACCTGCCTACCTCTCTGTCAAAAAGCAAGAGCCTCTGTTACAGGACAAAAATCCTGAAAGGTAGTGAAACTGTTGCATGTCTAATTAAAATCTAAAATTCACAACATTGACTAAAGCTGCTCACCTGAGGCCAAGCACAGTGGCTCATGCCTATATTCCCAGCTCTTTGGGAGGCCAAGACAGGTGGATCATCTGAGGTCAGGAGTTCGAGACCAGCCTGGCCAACATGGCAAAACCCCATCTCTACCAAAAATACAAAAATTAGCTGGGCGTGGCAGCACACGCCTGTAATCCCAGCTACCTGGGAGGCTGAGGCACAAGATCACTTGAACCCGGGAGGCAGAGGTTGCAGTGAGCCAAGAACACACCAGTGCACTCCAGCCTGGGTGACAGAGGAAGACTCTCTCAAAAAAAATAAAAAACTAAAGCTGCTCACCTGAGGAAAAAAATGGGAATAGCACAAAAATCATGTAGAAGTAAGGAAATTTTAAAGATTGTATATTTTTTCATAATAAAGTACTCCTTTAACCATTTTACAAGTTGGTAAAGTATCTAAATATACATGTATACAAGTTCGTAAATGTGTTAGTTGAAGCTGGGTGTGGTGGCTCACACCTATAATCCCAGCACTTTGGGAGGCTGGGGCAGGTGGATCGCTTGAGCTCAAGACCAGGTTGGGCAACATGGCAAAACCCTATCTCCACTAAAAATACAAAAATTAGCTGGGTGTAGTAGCGGGCACCTATGGTCCCAGGTACTCATGATCGCCTGAGCCCAGGAGGCGGAGGCTACAGTGAGCCAAGATCACACCACTGCACTGCAGCCTGGGCAACAGAGTGAGACCCTGTCTCAAAAAAAAAAAAAAGTGTTAGTTGCTTGCCATGTTGAGAACAGTATGATTTCAGTGAAGGGATGACAGGGCTACTCTAATGCATATAGAAAAGTGTTTAAATGTACAGTGGACCCTTGAACAATGTGAGGGTTAGGAGTGCCTACCCCCTTGCAGTAGAAAATCTGAGTATAACTTTTGTCTCCCCAAAAACTTAACTACTAATAGCCTAATGTTGACTGGAAGCCCTATCAATAATATAAACAGTCAGTTAATACCCATACACACATATGTGTTCGTGTGTGTGTGTGTTTGTGTGTGTGTATATATACATATACTGTATTCTTTTTTTTTTTTTTTTTTGAGACGGAGTCTTGCTCTGTTGCCTAGGCTGGAGTGCAGTGGTGCAATCTTGGCTCACTGCAAACTCCACCTCCCAGGTTCAAGCAGTTCTCCTGCCTCAGCCTCCAGAGTAGCTGACATTACAGGCATCCGCCACCACGCCCCACTAATTTTTGTATTTTTAGTAGAGATGGGGTTTCACTGTGTTGGCCAGGCTGGTCTTGAACTCCTGACCTCAAGTGATCTGCCTGCCTCAGCCTCCCAAAGTGCTGGGATTATGGGCATGAGCCACCACACCCAGCTTATATACTGTATTCTTACAATAAAGTAAGCTAGAGAAAAGTTACTAAAATCATAAGGAGGAAAACATATGTTTACTATTCATTAAGTGAAAGTGGATCATCATAAAGGTGTTCATCTTCATCATCTTCCTGTTGAGTAGGCTGCAGAGTGGGATGAAGAGGAGAGCATGGTGTTGCTGTCTCAGGGGTGACAAAGGTGAAAGAAAATCCACATTTAAGTTGACTGCAATTCAAACCCTGTTCAAGGGTCAACTGTACATGTATATAGAAAGTGTATGTGTAGAGTGACAACATTGAGAGTGCTACAGCCTGAGGCAGCAGAAGAGCAGCTTTCCTTTATGTCTCAGGATGTATCATTTCTGTGTTTCTCAGAAAGCGGAACCTCATTACATTCTTATCTCTTTCATAAATTGCCTATCAGCTTCCAGACTTACAAGACCAGAAATTTATAACTAAGACAGAGGGGTTAAGACAGGCAGAATTAGGAGAGAGGTGGAGGTGTGTGGAGATTTAAAAAGCACAGTCAAAATGATCACTTCTTTGATTTGGCTATGAGAGTTGACATATTTTGACATTTCAAGTGATGCTGATTCTCAAAAGGGAGCATAAGTTAAAGCAAGTTTGAAGATCACTGTCCTAAATCCACATGGCTTAACACAAGAATGGGGTAGTACAATAAAATGTCAGCTCACACCTGAGCAAATCAAAATTCTAGGAATTCTTTGTACTGGAGGAGATAACACTGAATAACATGGCCCCTGCAAAGTAGTCTACTGAGTTCCTTAATCAGTGTGAGTTTAGAATTTAAATTCGACAGATGCAAAGTACCTACCTAAAGCATCCCTACACTTACCACCAAAAGTAGGTATATTTGAAAGGTACTCAGAGCATTTCACACGTAGTGATCTTACAAGGCAGAAAAAAACGTTCTTAGGAAGCTTCTTTACAGCCACTTTTCATCCACAAGGAAGGCAGCAGCCATAACCATTTTTACAAAATAAGTGGAATCAATAATACCAAAAAGCCAAATTATTTAAATGTTTGAGTCATCTCTTCACTTCACCACTGGCCTCAGTAATTTCTGGACCCATTGGAGCAGCAGAGTTGAAGATTAGGGAGAAGTTGGAAATTTCCTTAACCTGTTGGCAGCAGTCACCACATAGAAATGTTTCTTGAGGCAAGGAGAGAATAAAAGAAAAGAAAAAGCATGTATTTTAGACCAGTTGCCTTATGAAGAAACAATAAAAGGATTTAAGTGAGTCCAGCCACTGGGGTTGGTTTAAATCTGATACCTAAAGGGAAACAAGTTTCTAAAATAATTATAGAATAGTCACATGACTTTCAGGGGCATGTTGGGAGTAAATATGAAGTGGGAAGATACATCATCCTGCCCTCTTTTTTTTCTTTTTTTGGGGAGGGGGTAGGGGGGTCAGGATGGGGTCTGGCTCTGTTGTCCAGGCTGGAGTGCAGTGGCGTGATCTTGGCTCACTGCAACCTCTACCTCCTGGGCTCAAGCAATCCTCCCACCTCAGCCTCCCAAGTAGCTGGGACTACAGGCAACCACCACCACGACCAGCTAACTTTTGTCTTGTTTGTAAAGATACAGTCTCACTAGGTTACCCAGGTTTATCCTGCCCTTTTCACATGAAAAATGGAGCACCCTAGAACAGTGTCTTATTTTTATTTTTCATCAGCCTACATCATGCTTTGATAGAACAGTGTTTTTCAAATTGTGATTCACAACCGAGCAATGGGTCATGAAATCAAATTGGTGGGTTGTGAACAGCATTTAAAAAATAAAACCAAGTGGCACAGAATAGAAAATATCAGAATACATCATATTCTGTTAGAGAAAATGTTGTGATTTTTTTTTTAAACAGAGATGGGAGTCTCCCTCTGTCACCCAGGCTAGAGTACACTGGCGTGATCACGGCTCACTGCAGCCTCAAACTCCTGAACTCAAGTGATCCTCCCCATTCAGCCTCCCAAATAGCTGGAACTATAGGTGCAGGCCACCACGCCTGAGTCAAATTTTTGTTGTGTGTTTCCCGGTAAGTGTGTACATGTATAGGTATTCTTGTGTACTGGCTCCATACATAAAGGGTTTTGTTTGTGCTTTTGGATCCCCAGTGAGGATCTAAGTCCATATTAAATTGTTGGAAGCCACTTCCCTGGATCACAATTGCTTTTAAGATAGGTTTTATGTCCATGGGACTAAAGAATTCTGTTGTAAACAAAATTATAAAGTTTTAAAAGTTTAACAGGCCTTTCTTATCTCCCATTTCTGAAATGTGGAAGAATCAGGCCTCAAGCTCTAAGCAGTTAGTTCAGGAGCTTCACGATGATTGCCACTGAGAACATATGCTTAAGCTTCATTCTGTCACTTCAAGTGTCCATATAAGCACAAACCAAATGTAAGTTTTATGCCAGTTATTTTTGCTCTGTGACATTTTTAAATCAAGCTAGCAGCTTTTGACATGAGAGAGATTTTTCCCCCTAAATAATCTTTCTGTTTAGAATCAAAATGTAAGTAAAACCCTGGCTACAGGCTGGGTGCAGTGGCTCATGCCTGTAATGCCAGCAATTTGGGAGGCTGAGGCAGGAGGAGTGCTTGAAGCCAGGAGTTCAAGACCATCCTAGGCAACTTAACAAGACCCTGTCTGTGCAAAAAATATGAAAGTTAGCAAGGCATGGTGGTACATGCCTGTAGTCCCAACTACTTAGGAGGCTGAGGTGGGAGGATTGCTTGAACCCAGGAATTTAAGGTTACAGTGAACCATGATCATGCCACTATACTCCAGCCTGGGCAACAGAGCAAGACCCTGTCTATAAAAACAAACCCAAAAAGAAGAAAAAAAAAAAAAGAAAAGGAAACTTAGCTACAGTTTTTTCCAAGGACAGATTAGGATGACAAATTCCACCTTTACTAAGAGAAAAACCAAATACCTTCCATTTTCTTTGAGCTATGTATTTCTGCAGCAGTAGTTGGGATTTGAGACGAGTTTTGGATCTTGAAGCTTTGGCAGGCAAATTATTCAGCCACTCGTGTTTCAGGCACTGTGTGGCACTCATTCTGCAGCTGTGAAATCAAAGAGCAGTTAAGACTTTTAGTTGGAGTTGCCTTTTCTCATCCAAAAATCTGTTCACTTGAGTAGGAAGCCTGAGTCAGTGGAACAGATTAATCATTTAGGCAGATTCATGCCATGTACCAAAAAGGGAACTCCTTGTGTCTAAAATTCCCTTCCTTCAAAGTGCCAGAAGGTCGTCAGCAAAATGTTCTCTGACCTCTATAGGGGGAACATATTCCAGTGATTCTGGGAGGAACCACTTCCCAGAGGGGGCTGAGAAGTTGAGGCAGGGCAGTAGGAAGGCTAGCTATGCCTGGAATTGCTCTTAAAGAAGCAAAAGAACAGGAAATTTGAAGGAAGCTCATTTCTCCTTCCAGAGTATAAAGCCAACTTGTTCATCTGACTTAGAATTTTTTTTCCTCTCACATAACTTTTCACAGTCAGAAAGAAACAAAATTGTAAAAGTCAGGGAAATACAAGCTGTCTTAGAGCCCAGACTCCTGGGCCTTAGCCTTGGGTGGTTAATACCTTTGGTTATGTCCAGTTATTACCTTATTCTGAGTATCAAAAAACTCAAATGGCTTGACCCATGACTTTGATATAGACGCTGAAGCCTAAATAGATCTTCTTCACCAAGAAACAAGGTATTCAGATCTTTATTCTGGAAATAACATCTGCATATCTCAGTTCTTTTCTTCAACCTTAGCCTATGACAACTGATAACTTGCAGATAGGACCAATCTACATATGCTTCTTTCTAAAACTATATTTTATGCCCCTACTTGTTTGTTGTTTCATTGATTTCCTTTGTCCCTTTCTCTGTTCCCTTTATTTTTCCAAAGAAGTAGCAAACTAAGAAATCTTGAATGGAATTTGTCCACAGGAAGAAGGACCTTCACGGTCAGCAGTCCTGCCCAGCTCCCAGACCTGGGGTCCCCATCAGAAGGGCCCATGAGTGACAAGCAATGAAAGGTACCTCTTCTCTTTGACCAGCAACCGGGAAACAAAGTCCTTGGCCTCCTCCGAGAGCCCTTCAAAGGTGTCAGCATCAAAATCCCAGCTACAGTTTACAATGAAATTCATGGTCTCTGCATCTGTTTCCCCTAGAAATGGGGACAAGCCACTGAGTCTATAGAAGAGAGAAAGGACCATCAGTAGGTGGAGGCCACATTTGCCAACATGCATTGGCAGAATAGAGAAGCTTACAGAGTTCAAGTGGACCTAGCCAGAACCAAGAGGGTTCAAAATAAAAGCACCTCCACTACTTCTCCACAGGATGGAGTCCAGTGTGTTCATTAAAGGGAGGAAGCGGAAGGATTTAAAATTTGGAGGCAAGAAGAATTTTTGGAATAAGTCCCCTCTTGTGCTCACCTCTTTCCACCTCATTCCTGAAGTAAAGAGTAAAATTAGGGCCCAACTTGGTATGCCCAGTTATCAAGTACACATTGATTTAATTTTAGAAATAGAAATAGCCTTCCATGTCCTTGAGACAGCCAGGCTTATTTAGATGCTACCCAGGCCCCAAGCCAAAGGAAAATGGGCTTTATTAGGTTCCCGCCTGAGGGAGGATAGAGAATCAGGACACCCTGACGGCCAGCCTCAGGGATCTGAACTTCCCCAGCCTGGCGCAGCTCCCATATCTGAGTGCAGGGACAGTGCGCAGCAGTTACACAATAATCAGGAGACCAGAAGTAAAACATGACTTTACCTCTGAGGAAGCAGCCACGGGAAGTCCACAGCCAGACAGAGAAGAAAACAGGGAGCACAGGGGTTCAATGATGCCACAAAGGGTATCCTGCCCTGCCCCCCACCCCCTTACCCCTTCGGTGCACTCCAGCCTCATTTGGGTTTTTATTTTGTTTTGTCTTTAAACAGTGCCTCATTCTGTCACCCAGGCTGGAGTGCTATGGTGCAATCATAGCTCACCGCAGCCTCAAACTCCTGGGCTCAGGCAATCCTCCCGCCACAGCTTCCCAAAGTGCTGGGATTATAGGCATGATCCAGCTCCATTTGTACCAAAGCACCTGCATGTCTTTGCTGGAGGGCTTTCTCTCCAGCTGAAGCTTGCTTTACCCACCCAGAAGTATCAGGAAATCAATTCCACCCCATCTCCATTAGTCCACAAGGAATAACTGGTAAGAATTAGTGTATAAATACCCCCTAGATGAAATAACTCTCAGGGGGTATTCCATGATGCATTCTGGAGTTCCCCAGCAGAATGAAACTCCAGTTGCCCACAATCGGGCCTTACTCTCGATGAATACCTTTGTTATTTTCAGTTATTACTTTTATGTCTCAGTACCAAAAAATTCAATGGCTCAAGCCATAATTTTTTTTTTTTTTTTTTTGAGACATGGTCTTGCTCTGTCACTCAGGCTGGAATGCAATGGCATGATCATGGCTCACTGCAGCCTCAACTTCCCAGGCTCAAGCAATCCTCCCACCTCAGTCTCCCTAGTAACTGGGACGATAGGCACGCACCACAATGCCCAACTAATTTTTTTTGGTTTTGGTAGAGACAGGGTCTCCCTATGTTGCCCAGGTTGGTCTTGAACTCTTTGGCTCAAGCAATCCTCCCACCTTGGCCTCCCAAAGTGCTGCGATTACAGGCATGAGCCACCATGCCCAGCTCAACCCATAACTTTGATACAGCTGCTGAAGCCCAAGTAGGCCTTCCTCACCGAGAAACAGGCCTTTAGACCTTTGTTCCAGGGAATAATATCGGCACATCTCAATTTTTTCAATATTAACCTACTAAAATTATAACTTGGAAATACGACTGCCTTGTAAATATGGTAACTGGCTTGATAACATACCCTTCCCTGGCTCCTTTCCTTCCCCATCTCACTACCCTATTCCTCTATTGGGGTTTCCTGGGGTTACCTCCCAAATAGACTACTTGTGCTCAAAATTTTGCTTCTAAGATTACCCAAAGGAAGACAAATGACCCCTGTCCCCACTTCAGAGCCAGGGTGCTAAGCACTCACAGCATGTAGGTGATGACTCCCACACTCCACATGTCTGTGGGGAATGAGACAAACTCATAATTGACGACTTCTGGGGCCAGGAACTCAGGAGTGCCGAAGTTCACCTTCAGCTTCTCTCGAGGCTTGTACCTGGGGAGAAGGGGAGGGTACAAAGAAGCATGGGGTGAGGCCTGGGAGATGTGGTGCTGGGGCTCATTTCTGGTGGGATGCAGACATTCCCCACTTCCCATCAGCCATATGGCCTGGACTCCACACCCACATTACACCTGTGAATTACTGGGGAATAATCAGATCCCAGGCCCCAAACTTCTGGCTTTTCTAAGTCAGCGATAGAATCAGAAAACCACAGTCTTCCTCCTCCAGGCATTTGCTTCTTTCAGTAGTCAAATTTATGAAACAGAAATTAGGAAGGGGTTAGGGGCAGGCAGAAAATGGGAAGTTATTATTTAATGGGTATAGAATTTCAGTTTTGCAAGATGAAAAAGTTCTGGAGATTGGTTGCACAACAACGAGAATGTACTAATTGTATATATTTATGGTATATATGATGCCTTTTTTTTTTTTTTTTGAAACAGGGTCTCACTCTGTCACCCAAGCTGGAGTGCAGTGATAAGATCTCGGCTCACTGCAACCTCTGCCTCCCAGGCTCAAGCAATTCTCTCACCTCAGCCTCCTGAGTATCTGGGGCTACAGGCACACGCCACTACATCTGACTAATTTTTTGTATTTTTTGTAGAGATGAGGTTTCACCATGTTGCCCAGGCTGGCCTCAAACTCCTGAGCTCAAACAATCTGCCTGTCTCAGCCTCCCAAAGTGCTGGATTACATGCATGAGCCACTACACCCAGCCGGTATATATGATGCTTTGATACATGTGTACATTGTAGGATGGCTAAGTCAAGCTAATTAACATAAGTATTACCTCACATACTTATTTTTTGTGGTGAGAACACTTAAAATCTATTCTCTTGGCAATTCTGAAGTATACAATACATTAACTATAATCACCATGTTGTACAATGGCTCTCTTGAATTTATTCCTCCTTTCTAAGTGAAATATTGTATCCTTTGGCAGACGTCTCCCCAGTGCCACCTGCCCTGTCTTCGGTAACCACCATCCAACTCTCTGCCTGTAAGAGTTTGTCTTTTTTAGATTCCACACCTAAGTGAGATCACGTGGTACTTGTCTTTCTGAGCCTGGCTTATTTCACCTAACATAATGCCCTACAGGGTCATCCATGTTGCTGCAAATGACAGGATTCCCTTATCTTTTGAAGCTGAACAGTATTCATCTGCATATATACACCCCAGATTTTTTATCCACTGATGGACACTAGGTGGTAACTTTTATGTTATGTATTTTTTTAACCACAATTCCAAAAATAAAAAATTAGAAAAAGTTCTGGACATGAAGTTTAAGGCTAGGAAGAGAGTCAACGGTTGAGTGGGAAAGGGGGGCAAACAGTGTGTTTTAGAATCACTCTTGAAGAAAAAGAGTCTCTAGCTAAAATTTCATGGGCACTTTATTTGCCAGATACTATGCTAAAAGTTTTATACATGTATAGCATCTCTTTCCCTCCTCCCAATAGCCCTATGAAATAGGTAGGATTATTGTCCCCATTTTATAGATGAGGCAATTGAGAATAACAATAATAAAATAAATAAAATGAACATTCTGCCAATATGCCCTGCTTCCTTTAAATCAGCTTTCAGAGAGCAGTCTCCTCTCCTCCAAATTTGCTGAGAGCCAGGCAGACAAAGACTCAGCGCCAACACAGCTGAGCCCATCCAGTGAAAGAGCAGCAAGGTGACGGGGGTTGAAGGACTGGGCCTCGGGGGGCAAGCGCTCCTCTGGCACCTGTCCCTCCCCTGCCCAGCAGCTGACCCAGGACTCAAGGATCAGGAGCCGAACTCCAACTAAGGGAAGAGCCTTCCCCTCAAGGAGAAGCCCCCAAAGCCACTCTCCCCAGTTGCATTACTGTTCCCAGTGCCTCTTCGTGCCCCACAGCCACACCTCGTGTCATGTGACTTTGTAGTTCCCTCCACAAGAGGTGTAATATATCACCCCCACTGACAGTGGGCCCATGCCAACCTAGGCCATCAGAGCTTGTCCTCTCCTTCACCATCACCATGAGAATGAGGGCACACGGAGCAGACCCACCCTCACTGACCTGCACCCTGGATTCAAGCCCAACTGTGCCCAGTCTAGATCAGCGACTCCCAGTCAGGGGTATGTGGGTAAATGCTTCACAATCATCTATTTGTTTTTGTTGTTGTTTTAAAGCCCTGATTTGTAGCATTTGCAATTTCTGTGGTGTAGATACCAATTTCACCATGGTCAATGTCAAGGTATTATCATGACGTCACTGAACGAAGGTGGGAAGAGCTGCACAGTGGCACCCCCCTCAAGTATTTCCACCATAGAGACACGATGGGCAGAAGCAACCTCAAGCACAGAGCACAGCAGCATAGTTAGGAAGCAATGGAGTCTGAATATTTAGTATCTTCTATTTTAATATAATTTCTTTATTTGTAAACTTACAGAATTTAATTCTTACTAATGGCTGTGTTTAACAACTGGATTACAAAACTCCTTATCATGAGCTAATACAGTAAGTACTAGTTAAAGTTGCATCCAGCATACCACTCCCCCAGCTAAATCACAAATGTGTGGATGGGAATAAATTACTGTCATGTTAAGCCTCTGGTTTTGGGGTGGTTTGTTACACAGCAGTATTGCAGCAATAGCTAACTGAGACATTCACCCCAAAGCTGTCAAAATATCCATCAAAACGCTCTCTTCATATTCTTAGCTCAAGTCTGTCTATGGCCATAAGGTCAAATAGGAGACCGTATCCTCACAGGGCTCGGGGAAGGCATCCTCTTACTCTGCCAAAGGATCTGATGAAATGGGATCTTTTGTGCTCTGACTCTAGTCTGAGCACTGGACTGGGAGTCAGGGGACTCCCAAAATGTTTAAGATAATTTCCATTGTGTCTCCAGCCTTAACCCTGGACATGTCACTATTTAGATGCACTGATGGCTCTCACTGCCTGGCCTGGGATAAACCTGGTCCCTCTTGCTGGAGATCCTGATATCAGAGAATTGTACAAATATGTGCCTCCACTGCACCAGGAGCCATGTCCCTGCTGAAAACCAACTTTATTTTCTATAGTTTGTATTGGGGGGAAATTAGCATTCCCTTTGTCTTTACAAACATTTATTTATTCTGCAGCATGGAATATGCTTCCTTAACCTGCAAAACCCCCACAGATCCTCTTGGAAAGACACTGTGCCCAAGAAGCAGGCCAGTTTGGCAAAAAACAATTTGCTAAATAAAACTGCTGAATGACCTGTGTGCCAGATGATGGAGGTTGTTTTTGACGTTTTCAGTCCACCTCACAGCCAGAACCTGTGTCTCTGCCAGCCCGGCCCCACGGAGTGCGGTTTCCTGCATTATCATGGGTTTTGGGTGCCTGCCCGTCACCAGAGCCCAGCTGTTTTCCATGAGTGGCCTGCTCTTACATGTGGCACCATGTTTATTTTCTGGAACTTGCCCTCTGCTTCTGGTCCCGCCAGCAAATTCTTGCCCTTGACCAGGTTAAGGAATTTGTCTGACACTTTTGAATGGATTGGGCACTGTAGTGTTATGGGATAGATAGATGGATAGATAGATAGACAGATAGATGTTATGAGAGATATATATAGCCCGCATATATATATATGTATATGTATATATATATAGCCCACATATATATGTATGTGTATATATATATATAGCCCGCATATATGTATGTATGTGTATATATATGTGTGTATATATATATGTGTGTGTGTATGTGTATATATATGTGTGTGTGTGTGTGTGTGTGTGTGTGTGTGTGTGTATGTTTATTCCTGGCTTCTAACTTGCATAGTCCTTGTTATAATGTTGGGACACTTTAGGCCTCAGGAGAGAATCTCTCTCTCTGTCCTTCTCCAGTCCTTCTTTCACCTGCCCAAGGCAGGACTCTACTCTGACTGTGGATCAAAAGACTCTCATTCTAGAGAGGGTCCTGCCCCCTACCCTAAAGGAAGGAATGCAACACAGAAAGGCTAAGAAAAAGACAGGCCTTGCTGGGTTTAGATCATGGGCTTTTTGTCCAATCACCTTTCTATGCCATTGTCAATCATGCCTATGTATTGATGCCTCCATAAAACCCCAAGAGGACAGGGTTGGAGAGCTTCCCGATGGCTGAACATGGGGAGATTCCTGGAGAGAGGGGGCACCCAGGGAAGGCATGGAAGCTCCATGCCCCTTCCCCCATACCTTGCCCTGTGCCCCTCTTCACCTGTATTCTTTGTAATATAAACAAGTAAATGTAAGTAAGTATTTCCTTGAGTTATTTGAGCCATTCCAGCAAATTAAGCAAACCCAAAGAGGGGGTCTTGGGAACCCCAACATGAAGACATTCCATCAGAAGCTCCAGAGGCCTGCACTTGTGACCACTGTCTGGGGGAAGAGAGGGTATCCTTGAGGACTGAGCCCTCAACCTGTGGGATCTGACGCTATCTCCCGGTAGGGGATGTCGGAACTGAACTGCAGGACACCCAGCTGGCATCCACTGCTCACTGGTAGGGAACCCAGCTGCCCGCTTTTGATCACAGAAGTCTTCAGTGTTGTTTGCTGTGGTGTGAGAGCAGAGGAAATACAATTTGAGAGTTTTTCCCCAAACAGCCACTCAGCATGGAGGCTTTTGGCTTGACTAATTTTTGGTAAATTGACCTATAGCCCTTTTCACATCCCCACCAGGTAAGACTCTGTGGCCTATAGGATAATGTTCAGACGTGTGAGCCTCGCATTCAGGATTCCCCATTAGTGCCCTCATCTTCCACTGTATGTTCCCCCAACCAGCCCGCACATACACGGCATGCACCCTGTTCTCAGCCCATAACTCACAGGGCGCCCCCCCCACCTCCCCTCCAGGCAGTGCTGCACTAGAGCCGGCTCTCAGGTGCACGGGAGTCCTGAGTGCCTCTCCTTCCAACTCCACCTTCAGTGATATCATCTTGGTAGTGTGTAATTAGCAAACCCTGGCAAAGATTACAAATCAAACCCATCCCCTCTCACTCCCCACTCCCCCAGGCTGGTGCTGAAGCATTTGCCAGCATAGCAGCATTGCCTGCAGACAGCAAATCCTGTCCACCAGTCCCTGCCAACCGCTCAGAAAAGCCTTCCCAGATTTCAGGGGTGTCCAATAATTGCTTCTTTCTTGGTGTTCACAATGTGTCCCTGCAAATGCTCATTTGGCAGCGGGCCATCAGGTATTTGAGAGTGTACTGCATACACCAGCATGTGCATTCTCAGTGAAGACAATATTGCCCCATGGGGGACAAACATTGGTTCTTGGGGGACAAAACAACCTTAGCTATTGCAATGGTTTGTGGCTCTCCAAAGGGCCACAGCACATAAACAGATACACAGTACATCAGTGGTATTAAATTTCATGGCATAGGGGGACTAGGCAATTGGGGAAATAAAGTCAAAAAGGGCTCACTACAGGGCAGGCAGCGATAATGAAATAGGTTGAGAAACACTGCCCTAGTGTATACAACGTGCAAGCATGTGGGAGGCATCTGAATTTTATAGCACATTACCAGGGAAAATACTAAGCAATTTGCTAACATGATAGATTGAATGTGATTTTTTTTCTGTTCATGAACTACAATACACTGTGTGATAGAGACCCTGTCTCGTGGGATGATGTGAAATTCCTCCTGCGGTTACACTAGCAGCACATGGGGCACTGAAAATGCATCATCACACTGCAAATGGGTAATGTTTACACTTCAACCAGTGGAGGAGTGACCAGGAAGACCAGCACTGAGGGTGTAGGTGCTGCTTGGGAGGCAGGTGCTGGAAGGCAGAGCTGAGCTCAGGCGCGCGGCTCTGCATCCAGGGGCGATGCTGTGTTTCCTTCCACTCGTGGATGTGATAGAGGGTACCGCGTGGCCATGAAATAACAAAACTACTTCTGCATGGAAAACAGCCATCAGGGCCAGGCGTGGTGGCTCACGCCTGTAATCCCAGCACTTTGGGAGGCTGAGGCGGGCAGATCACTTGAAGTCAGGAGTTCAAGACCAGCCTGGCCAACATGGTGAAACCCTGTCTCTACTAAAAATATAAAAATTAGCCAGGCGTGGTGGCAGGCGCCTGCAGTTCCAGCTACTCGGGAGGCTGAGGCAGGAAAATTGTTTGAACCCAGGAGGCAGAGGTTGCAGTGAGCCTGACAGAGCAAGACTCTGTCTGAAAAAAAAAGAGGAAGAAGAAAACAGCCAGCCATTAGGAGAGAGAAGGAGCTTCCAGAAGAGTTGAAAATTCAGCTGCAGCTGAAAGACCTACCTGGAAGATATGTGATTCGGCCTGCCGTGGTGGCTCATACCTATAATCCCAGCACTTTGGGAGGCCAGGCAGGCGGATCACGACGTCAAGAGATCAAGACCATCCTGGCCAACATGGTGAAACCCCGTCTCTACTAAAAATACAAAAATTAGCTGGGCATGGTGGCGGCCACCTGTAATCCCAGCTACTTGGGAAGCGGAGGCAGGAGAATTGCTTGAATCCAGGAGACGGAGGTTGCAGTGAGCCGAGATCGTGCCACTGCACTCCAGCCTGGGTGACAGCATGAGACTCGGTCTCAAAAAAAAAAAAAAAAGAAGATATGTGATTCCCAGAGAAATGTCATTCTCGGAGGAAACAGAATCCTGGAGGAATCCTAGAAGCTGGGCATACAACTACTGCCATGTTTACGAACTGAGGATGCCTGAAGGTTTAGGGGAAGCCTTCCCAAATGCCAAGGGTCTGCTACTACCACTGCCAAGAACCCACACCACTGGGCATGCATGCCGTGGGCAGGAGCTCTCCAGGCGCACAGTATTCAGCACACATGTGACTGGACTTCACAGCACCTATCTGTGAAGAGAGTAGGGTGATGGTGAAGGGAGCCACTGAGTGGGGTGCTGGGCTGCTCAGTTCTGTGGGTTCCGCAGGCCTCCTGGGGCTAGGACATGCTGGGCTATGCGATGCATCTGTCACCACCCCTGCCCTCCAGGAAATGACCAGTTTAAATACAAAAAGTGAGTATGTGACAGTGTTGGGTGGCGCCATGGGTAGTGTGGCACCCCTGGGCTACACAGCAACATTAGCCACACTGCACTAGGCTTCAGGCATTTTAAGAGACTATGAGATTTTTAACATCATATACAATGGGCCTGATGTGGTGGCTCACGCCTGTAATCCCAGTACTTTGGGAGTCTGAGGCAGGAGGATCACTTGAGGTCAGGAGTTTGAGACCAGTCTGACCCACTTAGTGAAACCCCATTTCTACTAAAAATACAAAAATTAGCCACGTGTGGTGGCAGGCGCCTGTAATCCCAACTACTTGGGAGGCTAAGGCAGGTGAATTGCTAGAATCCGGGAGGCAGAGGTTGTAGTGAACAGAGATTGCACCACTGCACTCCAGTCTGGGCAACAGAGCAAGACTCCATCTCAAAATAATAATAAATAATATACAATGTTTACTTTATTTATTATTTATTTATTTTTAGACAGGGTCTAGCTCTACTGCCCAGACTGGAGTGTAATAGTGTGATTTTGGCTCACTGCAGGCTCAAGTGATCCTCCCACCTCAGCCTCCCAAGTAGCTGAGACTACAGGTGCTCATCACCATGCTGGGCTAATTTTTGTATTTTTTGTAGAGATGAGGTCTTGCTGTGTTGCCCAGGCTGGTCTCGAACTCCTGGGGTCAAGAGATCCTCCCTCCTTGGCCTTCCAAAAGTGTTGGGATTATAAGCATTAGCCACTGTGCTGGGCCTACAATGTTTACTTTATGCCCTGAAACTTGAGAACCTAACCTCCTGGATAGGATGGGTCCACACTGTCTGTGTATTTTCTCATTTAACCCTCATAACCACCCCATGCCAGCAGGTAATGTATTATATCACCATTTCACCAAGATGTAAACCAGTCCTGAGTGGTTACAGAAACACCTACCCATGGCGCCACCCAACACTGTCACATACTCACTTTTTGTATTTAATCTGGTCATTTCCTGGAGGGCAGGGATGGTGACAGATGCATCACATAGCCCAGCACCTCCTGGCCCCAGGATGCCTGGGGAACCCATAGAACTAAGCAGCCCAGCACCTCGCTCAGCAGCCCCCTTCACCATCACTCTCCTCTCTTCTGACAGGTGGAGTGAAGTTCAGTTAATTCCATAGCCTTTTAGGAAGAAGCAGAGCCCACAGCACAAAGCCAGCCCATGCAAGAGCAACAAGGCCTGTCTGCAAGTCAAAGGCCACCAGCTTCTGCACACAAGAGCTTTCTTGCATCAGTTCCAAAACTCAAGCATTAGCTGGGTCAGGAGTAACCATGCCCAGAGAGCCACAAAGAGTCCCAAGGAATTTTGTTAAGGTATCTAAATAAAACCCCCTTACCTTCTGGCCAGCCCAAAGTCAATGATCTTAATTTGATGTCCTGTCTGATTGACGCACAATATGTTCTCCGGCTGGGAAAGAAAGAAGTCTGCTTAGCCCAAGCAATAGCTGAGGAGGTCTGCAGCTGCCACACTTGTCTATAGGCCTCTGTTTTCCAGCCTTCAAGGGACATGAATGGCTCAGGGCAGCCCTGCAAGGGCTGGATAGATAATGGAAATACATGAAGGGGCTGGTGAGACAATAAGGATTGGTGTAGAGTGTGGGGAACTGGAGGCTCCCAGCCTGTGTAAAGGGACAGCACTACCCAGTACCAGACACTGGTCACTATGTAGGAGTGCAGACACAATGCCAGAGTTTTTCAGTCCTCAAGAGAAGCCGGGAATTCAGGGGTGTTTTGTTTGGTCAGTTTTGTTTTTAATTTAAAAAACAGAGATGGGGTCTCGCCATGTTGCCCAGGCCTGTCTCGAATTGCTGGGCTCAAGAGATCCTCCAGCCTCAGCCTCCCAAAATGCTGGGCTTACAGGCGTGAGCCACCATGTCCAGCTAGGAATTCAGGTTTTTATGTGAAAATTCCATGCTTTTAAATGTTAACAACTAAACGAAATCTAAACTCACGTCTCAGAACCCAACAGAATACCTCTGTGATATATAATTGGCCCATGAGCTGCTTGTATGGGGCTGGGTTCCCAACCCTGGCTGTACATTGGAATCATCAGGGGAGCTTTTAAAATCCCAATGTTATACTGGAATGCTAAGAGAATTAAAAAAAGAAGAAAAAGAAAAAGTCCCAGTGCCGAGGCCTCAATCCTGACCAATTACATCAGAACCTCTGGGGTGAGACCAAAGCATCACTGGTTGGTTAAGGAGAGCAGAGCTGCTGAATGTCCACCTGCCATTCTGCAGTGACAGCTGTGGCCCATGGCATGAGGGTGGCAGCCTTGGCACGCCTCTCCTCTTAGGGCATTTGGATCAGCTCTGAGGCCCTGAGGGAGTCTGGAAGGATGCTCGCTGCTCATGCATGACAAATTTGGGGGTATGTGTGTTGGGGGCTTGGGGAGAGAAGCTGAGTGAAGATGTAGGGCTTATGATAGACAGGACTTGCAGACCCAGGGTCCAGTGCCTGAGGCCCAGGGGCTCATTACCTGGTTCTGTAGCCCGAGATGAGTCCCTCCCCATTCCTGAAGACTCAATGTCTCCATACGTAAAACGGGAGTAATAACCTCTTCCTGTCTGTCCCCCCAGAGGGTGTGAGGATAAAATGACATAACATGCATGAAACACTTTACAGCTTCCAAAGCAAATGTCAGCTACTGTTTCTCCCAACAGAAGTTTTCATTGTTATTTATGTTACAATGGGGTTGTACAATTCCTCAGATAGGTGTGAGAGAATGGTGTTTAAAAATCTCTGTCTTCTATATAAGATCTAGAATAACACTGTCCAATAAAAATATAATGTGAGCCACATATATAGTAATTTAAAGTTTACTAGAATGTACATTTAAAAAGGTCAAAAGAAACAGGTGAACTTAAATTTTATAACATTATAAGTAATACAAATAATACTGATTTTTACCATAAAACTCACCTTTTTTGGGGTGGGGGTGGGGACAGAGTTTCACTCTTGTTGCCCAGGCTGGAGGGCAGTGACACGATCTCGGCTCACTGCAACCTCCGCCTCCCAGGTTCAAGTGATTCTCCTGCCTCAGCCTCCCGAGTAGCTGGGATTACAGGTGTGGGCCACCACACCCAGCAAATTTGTTTGTATTTTTAGTTGAGACGGGGTTTCACCATGTTGGCCAGGCTGGTCTCAAACTCCCGACCTCAGGTGATCTGCCTGCCTCAACCTCCCAAAGTACTGGGATCACAGGCATGAGCCCCTCACCATTTTAAAGTGTGCGATTCAATTATTTTTAGTATATTCACAGAGTTGTGTAATGATATCACTATCTAATTTTGGAACATTTTCATCACCTCAAAAAAAAAACAAAACCATACCCATCATCAGTTCCTGTCCATTCTTTCCTCACTTCCCACCCCATGGCAATCATTAATGTATTCTCTTTCTCTGTGGATTTGCCTATTCTGGACATTTCATATAAATGGAATCATAAAAGATATGGCCTTTCATGTCTGATTTCTTTCACTTACCAGAATGTTTTCAAGGTTTATCCGTGTTGTGTAGCAGGTATCAGCACTTCATTCCTTTTCATGGCTAAATAATATTCCATTGTATGGATTAGACCATATTTTGTTTATCCGTTAACTAATAAAATTAATGAATATCTGGGTTGTTTACACTTTTGGCTATTATAAGTAATGCTGCTAAAAACATTTGTGTGCAAGTTTTTGTGTCAACTTATGTTTTAATTCTCTTAGGGGTATAGCTAGGAGTAAAATTGCTGGGTTATATGGTAATTCTATGTTTAGCATTTTTAGGAACTGCCAAACTTTTTAAAAAGCGAATGCACATTTTACAACCCCACCAGCAATGTATGAGGGTTCCAATTTTCCCATATCCTAGCTGATGCTTTTTTTTTTTTTTTTTGAGATGGGGTTTCACTCTTGTCACCCAGGCTGGAGTGCAGTGCCCTGATTCCGCTCACCGCAACCTCCACCTCCCAGGTTCAAGTGATTCTCCTGCCTCAGCCTCCCGAGTAGCTGGGATTACAGGCATGTGCCACGACACCCAGATAATTTTGTATTTTTAGTAGATATGGGGCTTCTCCATGTTGGTCAGGCTGGGCTCAAATTCCAGAGCTCAGGTGATCCGCCTGCCTCGGCCTCCCAAAGTGCTGGGATTACAGGCGTGAGCCACCGTGCCCAGACTTTAACACTTTTTATTGTCTGTCATTTTTACTTTTTATTGTAGTCAGTCTAGTGGATATGAAATAGTATCTCATTCTGATTTTGATTTACAATTCCCTAGTGACTAATGATGCTGAGAATCACTTCATGTGCTTAGTGGCAATTGTATGTTTTCATTGGATAAATATCTATTCAAATCCTTTGACCATTTTTAAATTGGGTTATTTCTTTCTATTGTTGAGTTATAAGAGTTTGTTATATGTTGTAGATACAAATCCTTTATCTGATATATGATTTGGAAATATTTTCTCCCATTCTGTGAGCTATTATTTTACTTTTCTCATGGTATCCTTTGAAGTATGAGATTTTTTTCATTTTGATGAAGTCTAATTTATCTTTTTTTAATTATATTTTTAGTGTCATATCTAAGAAACCATTGCCTAATCCAAGGTCATAAGGATTTATTACTATGTTTTCTTCTAACAATTTTATAGTTTTAGCTCTTACATTTACGTCTACAATCCATTTTGAATTAATTTTTGTATATGGTGTGAGGTAAGGGTCCAACTTCGTTCTTTCACATGTAGCTCCCTAGCATGGGGTCCCAGCACAATTGTTGAAAAGACTATAATTTTCTACTGAATTGTCATAGCACCATTGTCACAAATCAATTGACCATAAATGTAATGGTTTATGTCTAGACTCTCAAGTGTATTAATTTGATGCACATATCTAACCTTACATTAGTAATACGTTGTTTTGGTTTCTGTAGCATTGTAGAAAGTTTCAAAATTGGGAAAAGTTAGTCCTCCAAATTCGTTCTTTTTCAAGATTGTTTTTGTTATTCTAGGTCCCTTGAATTCCCATCTGAATTTTAGGATTTCATTAATATCTGGAAAGAAGCCAGCTATGACTTTGATAAGGATTATGTTGAATCTATAGATCAATGGGGGAGTATTGTCACCTTAACAATATTAAATTTTCCAATCCATGACCATGGCATGCCTTTCCATTTATTTAGGTCTTTGAATTATCTTAACATTTTGTTGTAGTTTTCAGAGAATGTCTTGCACTTATTTTGTTAATTTTTTTCTAAGTATATTTCTAAGTGTATTTTTTCTTTTGATATTGTCATAAATGAAATTATTTTCTTGATTTTATTTACAGATTGTTCAGTCCCAGTATTTAGAAATACAATTGATTTTTGTATATTTGTCTTGTATACTGCAACCTTGATGAATTTATTAATCCTAATAGTCTCCTCTCTTTAAGAGTTTTTATATACAAGAGCGTGTCATTTGCAAATAGAGACAGTTTTACTTCCTTCCCAATCTGAATGCCTTTTATTTTCTTGCCTAATTGCCCTAGTGATAGCCTCCAGTAAAATGTTTAATACAAGTTGCAAGAACAGATATCCTTGTCTTATTCCTGATTTTAAGGAGAAAACATTCAGTCTCCTACTACAAACTATAGTGTCAGCTGTGGGTTTTTCACAAATGGCCGTTATCAGGTTGAGGAAGTTCTGTTCCTCATTTGTTTATTATTTTCATCATGAAAAGTTTTTGGATTTTGTCAATTATTTTTTCTCATCTATTAAAATGATTACATGATTTCATCCTTTATTCTATTAATATGGCCCATTACGTTGGTTGATTTTCATATGTTAAACCAACCTTGCATTCTTGGGATAAATTCCACTTTGTCATGAATATAATCCTTTTTATATGTTTTATTCAGTTTGCTAATACTTTATTGAGAATTTTTGCATCTATATCCATAAGGGATTTTGGTCTGTAGCCCTCTTTCCTTGTGATGTCTTTGATTTTGGTATCAGGATAAGATTAGCCTCATAAAATGAGAAGCAAGTGTTCTCTCCTCTTCTATTTTTGGAAGAATTTGTAAAGGTGTTAATTCTTCTTCAAACATTTGGTTTTTATTGCATTTGCTTTTGGGTTCTTGCTCATGAAATCCTTGCCTAAGCCAATGTCTAGAAGGATTTTTTCCAATGTTATCTTCTACAATTTTTAGTTTCAGGCCTTAGATTTAAGTCCTTGATCCATCTTGAGTTGATTTTTGTATAAGGTGAGAGATGAGGATCCAGTTTCATTCTCTTACATGTGGCTTGCCAATTATCCCAGCACCATTTGTTGAATAGGGTGTCATTTCTTCACTTGTTTTTGTTTGCTTTGTCAGTCAGTTGGCTGTAAGTATTAGGGTTTATTTCTGGGTTCTCGATTATGTTCCATTGGTCTATGTGCCTATTTTTATGCCAGTACCATATACCACTCAGCGCCTATTATTATGCCAGTACCATATACTACTCAGCCATAAAAAGGAATGAATTAATGGCATTTGCAGCCATCTGGGCTAGGTGTGGTGGCTCATGCCTGTAATCCCAGCACTTTGGGAGGCTGAGGCAGGATTGCTTGAGTCCAGGAGTTCAAGACCAGCCTGGGCAACATGGTGAAACCTTGTCTCTATACAAAATACAAAAATTAGCCAAGTGTGGTGGCACGTGCCTGTAGTCCTAGCTACTTGGGAGACTGAGGATCACTTAAGCCTGGGAGGTCCAGGCTGCAGTGAGATATGATGGCACCACTGCACTCCAGCCTGGGCAACAGAGAGAGGCCCTGTCTCCAAAAAAGAAAGAGAGGAGAGAGGAGAGAAGAGAGAGAGAGAGAGAAAAGAGAAAGAGAAAGAAAAAGAAAGTGAGAGAAAGAAAGAAAGAAGAAAGAAAAAGAAAGAAAGAGAAAGAAAGAAAGAAAGAAAGAAAGAAAGAAAGAAAGAAAGAAAGAAAGAAAGAAAGAAAAGAAAGAGAGAGAGAAAGAAAGAAAAGAAAGAGAGAGAGGGGGAGGGAGGGAGGGAAGAATGCATCGTAGGATCTCCTTTTGTGTGTCTGTGAGTCATGCCAGCTTGCTCACAGAGAAGTCCCTTCCGCACGGAGGGCTGGCGGGAGGAACTTTCACTGTGTATTTTACACACTACTCTGTTGTCTATAGTTGTTACCAAAAGCCTATGTTCCCTTTTGAACTTTTAAAAAAAGTAATCTTAAAGATATTTTTAAAGAAGAAAAGCTCATTGTTTCACTTAATCTTCAAATAATACTTAAAGAGGTACCATTATCCAGATGGAAGAACTACAGCCCCAAGAGGCAGCAAGAGTGGCCTGTCCCAGACTCCAGAACTACAAAATGACAGAGAGCCAGGAATGGAAGCTGGGACTGTCTGTGGATAGAGCTCTCAATGGTGAGAGCACGCCAGGAGCTAGGACACCAGGGGCCCCTACCGCATGCCCAGGGCAGAACCCACCTTGAGGTCCAGGTGCAGGATGTAGTGCTGGTGCAGGTAATGCACACCCTCACAGATCTGCCTGGTGAACAGGACCACATCCAGCTCAGTCAGGTGGTACTTCTCATCTGTGATCCGGTCGAAGAGCTCACCCCCGTCCACGCTGCCAGAGCAAAGGGAGAGGCAGGCACCAGCCTAAGCAAGGCTCTTCAGGGCTTGTCCACTGTCATTATAGGGCCAAAAGAGGCCAGCCCGGGTAGGCCCACCATCACACCCCATGGGTCACAGGGCTGCTGCCACTGCCCTTGGGTTTTTTGTGTGTTTTGTTTTTAGACAGAGTCTCACCCTGTCGCCCAGGCTGGAGTGCAGTGGCGCGATCTCTGCTCACTGCAACCTCCGTCTCCTGGGTTCAAGTGATTCTCCTGCCTCAGCTTTCCAAGTAGCTGGGATTATAGGTGCTCACCACCACACCCGGCTAATTTTTGTATTTTTAATAGAGACAGGGTTTCACCATGTCGGTCAGCCTTGTCTCGAACTCCTGACCTCATGTGATCCACCCACCTCGGCCTCCCGAAGTGCTGAGATTATAGGCGTGAGCCACCCCGCCGGGCCTGCCATTGGGGTTTTATTGGGACCTTTGCTCCAGTCTGCTCCCAGCAAAGATTAGGCGTGGTAAAAAGGAAGTGACAGGTCAAAGGGAAGAGGGGATGGCCATCAGTGTTGATGATCCAGGCACACTCTGGATGATTCTGACCAGGGCTGTGAACTCATTCACCTATGGAGGCCAACTCAGACCTTTGTGGCATAAGCCTAAATGGGCCAATAAGGCCATACATGAAGCAAACATGTTCTGAAGACACATAGTCTTTCGCTTATCTTTTCTTTTTCCACTTTCAATAAGGACATGACATGACAAATGTTTTACTCTCTTCAGCTCTGCCCATAAGGAAAACAGCAACACAAGCACAAATATGAACGGCCTCTGAGCCCTTGGCCCCAGCACTGGGGCGGTTGGGAGTGGTGGGGATTGTGGCAAAGGAAGCCTGGTCACCCTGTATACAAACAGCAACCCCTGGGAGCTCCCACACATCACTTCCACTTGGAAAGGCAGGCCCGGCATTTACTACATCTTTTATGTTTTCAAGAAAAGCCAGATATCTAGGTTTTAATGTGAAGCTTCCTAATTTCCAATGGTTAACAACAAATCCCACATTACTAAAAATAGGCAGAGTGTGGTGGCTCACACCTGTAATCCCAGCACTTTGGGAAGCTGAGGCAGAAGTATCACTTGAGTTCAGGAGTTCAAGACCAGCCTGGGCGACATAGCAAGACCTCATCTCTACAAAAAATTTAAAAATTAGCTGGGCATTGTGGCACACGCCTGTGGTCACAGCTTCATGGGAGGCTACAGTGGGAGGATCACTGGAGTCTGGGAGTTCAAGGCTGCAGTGAGCTGTGATCACACCACTGCACTCCAGCCTGGGTGACAGAGTAAGACCTTGTCTCTAAAAAAAGTTTCAATTTAATTTAATTTTCAAAAAATCACTGAAAGTAGTATAGGTCAATTGACATACATACACCTGCAGGTCAAATCAGGCTCACTGGCCACTGGTTTGTGACAAAGTTGCTTTGTCCTCCACATTCCGTATTGGAGGTCAAATAGCCAAGCCAGAGAAGACAGGATGACACGACCCTGGACGTGCCAGGAAGGGGAAAGGAGAGAGAGGGCTTTGCCTCGAATGAAGGCTCTAAGCCCCAGCACTGAGCCCTGGCTTGAGCCGAGGCGGCCGCCCCGCCTCTGATACTCACTACTCCATGACAAGGGTGCAGCTGTGCTTGCTCTCGAAGGCGTCATAGAGCTGGATCAGGTTCACGTGGCTGAGCTGGTTCATGATGTTGATCTCGTTCTTCACGTCCTCCTTGGGGGAACCAGAGGACAGAAGGATTTCCAAGCGAATGAGTCAAGAAGAGGAGCCAGCTGACCTCCCAAGACAGACACAGAACTCCTCATTCTTCCTTAGTTTCCTATTCTCACACCAGGTCTCCCTGACTCAACACCCAAACCAGATTCTACAACACAAAGGGCCTGAGTGTGACCCACTCATCTCACAGACAGGAAACCTAAGGCCCAACAAGGACAGGACCTTCTTGCCCCAGGCCCCACAGGCAGCTCTACAGAGCTGTGCCTGGACACCTGCGCATGGAGGGTGGGTCTGGACCCAGGGCTGTGAAGGGGACTGCCTGACTGGAGGGTGGGAATTCTGGAAAAGAGCAGGAATAAGTAGCATTTCCAGCTCAGCATGGGAGCCTGGGGGCCCTGAGGGAAGGAAAGGAATCCTGAGGCTGGCCACAGGGACCTGGCCCAGCCAGATGCCTCACCCGGTCCTTGGCGCTCTTCACTTTGATGATCTTGGCAGCCAGTGGGAGGCCTGTGGACTTCTCTGTGCACCTGTGGACCTGGCCAAACCGACCCCTGCAGAGACATAGCCACACGGCAGGCTGAGAGCCCAGAGGCTCATCCCACACCCATCCCTGGACTTCTGGGTCCAACTCATCCACACACAGGCCATGTGGACCATCCTACATCCCAGAGTGCAGCCTGTCATCACCCCAAAACCCTGCTGGCTATCCCGAAACCTGCAAAGCAACTCTTCACCCCACACCACCCAGGCCATTCCACATCCCAGGGAACATCCCCTCATCCCTCACCACTGAGGCCATCCTGCACCCGAAGGAACATCCCCTTCACCCCACACCACCCAGGCCATCCTGCACCCCAGGGAACATCCCCTCACCCCACACCACCCAGGCCATCCTGCACCCCAGGGAACATCCCCTCACCCCACACCACCCAGGCCATCCTGCACCCCAGGGAACATCTCCTCACCCCACACCACTGAGGCCATCCTGCACCTGAAGGAACATCCCCCTCACCGCACACCACCTGGGCCATCCTGCACCCCAGGGAACATCCCCTCACCCCACACCACCTGGGCCATCTTGCATCCCAGGGAACATCCCCTCACCCCACACCACCTGGGCTATCCACCCTAAAGAAGCTTCTCCTCACCCCACCTCATGTCGGCTTTCCGGCCACCTCCAGGCTGTGCCTCCTCCCATACCCACAGGGTGCCCGCCCTCCTGAGCCTCCCCTCCCCGATGCCACGTGGGCTCTCGTGTCCTCTCAAGCTATTCTCTTTCCCCTACTCTGTGGGCCACCATGCACCCCATGCTGTACAGGATGTCCCACCCCAGCCTTGGCTCCATCAGCTCGAGAGAGAGTCATCCTGCAGCACCCACCCCAGTTCTCCAGGTGGTCCCGACCCTGCCCCGTGACTCCTGCTCTAAGCCCCCCAACCAAGGCAGATGCCCACCTACCCTCCCAAGACTTCGTGCTGGCACACCTCGTAACCCGCAGAGATGGAGGTCTCCTTGACGCTCACTACCCGGTGTTCAAAAGGAGCTGGTGGGGCCGGACTGTCATCTGCTCAGGAGGCAATAAGGACCTGTGAGCCTCCTCTGTGCAGCCCACACCTCTCGGTCACCTGTGCCAGACCCACTTAGCTTCTCTTGGTCCACCAGGCCCTATGTACAGCCCTGGTATTTGAAACCTTTTCTCCAAACCATCTCAGTAGAGCCATCCATTCGGCAGAGAAGGGAGCCCGTGACAGACAGCACTCAAACCCAGGTCTCCCGGCACCCAGGACAGTGCCCTTGGCAAGGCCGAGAAGTTCTATCCAGTCTGTTCATGACATCTAGAAGGTGATCCTAGTGGATCTGTGTGGCCCACAGGAAACAGAGGGCCCATGTGGACAAGGTGATGGGGCAGTTAGTGACGCCACTATTTTTAAAGGGACTGTAAAGTCAGGGCTGTGGAAACTCATGAGGGTGTTATGAGAGGGAGGCAGCTGGAGAAATAAACATCCACCCTCTCTCCTCTCACCCTCCATCTCCTGCCAGCTGAGCCCAACCAGAAGCTCAGCATGACAGCCCGTGATGGAGCCAGAGGGGCAGGCCCCGGGGCACAGGATTGGGGAGGGGGTGGACAGGGGATCTGTCGGCAAGGGAAATAGAGGACGGCCAGCACTTGGAAAGGTTTGCTTGTTTGTTTGTTTTTTAATGGTTTAGGGTTGTTTTATTTTAATCTTGTCCTTCAGAGGTGATATGAATACCTAGAAATGTTACAGGAAATAGACTAAATGAATAAAACAGAATCTAGAACACACAGCAAGTGCAGTGGTATGAACCGGTTGTGCACCAAGGGCTGGAAGGAAGTTGGCTCGGGCTAGCGTTTGTTCAGTGCTCGCCATGGGAGCACTTTGCCTGCTCTCCAACTACCGGGAACACCGACAGTGGTCCGTGGACAATTCTCAGACCAAGGAGGGTGTGACCCTAGGGCTGGAGGGGTTGAGGGCTTTTAGATCATAAGAACACACCCTGGGTCACTAGCCCGGGTGGGTGGGAATGGCTGACAGTGGTCACAGACACCAATTCATGTCTTCGCTTTTTAACAGAGCCTTCTCTCTCTCAATCCAAAATGAGACTCATGGTGGCAAGCTCAGGTGGGCAGGTGGCGGTAAGAAATCTCCCCAGTGGCCAGGCACAGCGGCTTATGCCTGCAATCCCAAAGCTCTGGGAGGCCGAGGCTGGAGGATCACTTGAACCTGGGTCAAGCCTGCAGGGGACTATGATCATGCCACTGGACTCCAGCCTGGGCAACAGAGCAAGACCCTGTCTCCAAAAAAGGAAATGTACCCAGGTGGGCCACACGTGTCCCCTCTCCCTTACCCCTGCAGCCAGCCCAAGTTCAGGCCCCACATCTCTGCGCCTTGGTCTCCAGCCCCAGGATGTACCTGGAGATGTTCCCGACTCTTGGACGCCCCCAGACTCATATGATCTACCCCTGGAAGCTACAGGAAGACTCCCCAGGAGTAGGGGCTCCAAACTCCCTCCCCTCAGGGCTCGTGTCTAGCCAGGCAACAGCCCCACTTACCCAGAACCACGCTGCCAGCCTCGGCGCCTGGGGGCATCCTCCTTACTGCTTCAGCTCTCACCGGAGCCCTGGCTGCACAGTCCTGCTCAGGCTCAGGGTTTCCCGCCCCTGGGCTTTTGCCCTGCTGCAGGCCCAGGGCCCCAACCTCGTGGTCATTGTCGTCACTCCTGGCCAAGCTTGGTCTCGTGCCAGGCTCGGCCCCAGCCCTTTGCTCCTCCTCTGCCTTCACTCCCCCGGGGCTGCTGCTCTCCTGCAGCGGGGAGAGCTCTCTGGCTCCTTCAGGGGTCTGTTCTCCGGGCTCAGTCCCAGGGGCTTGGAGGCAGCGCCCGGTCCCAGGTGGGCCCTGCTTGCCTGGCTGGGCAGCTGCTGGAGCCTCTGTGGTGAGGGTGGGTCCAAGGCTGCCCCTGCCTGTCATCAGCATCTCCCCAGGAGTATCCATCTCTTGTATGTGGATGGAGATCCTGGGGTGGAGAGAAACATGGTGCTGAGGTTAGAGGCAAGGACTCTGGAGTCAGAACAGACGTGGGTTCCAATGCCCACTGCTGCCATCATTGACAATGGCCCTGGGGCCCTGCTAGACAGGACACCAGGGCAGGAGCTGACTTCAGTGACAGTTGGTGCCATCAGCTCCCAGGATCCCACCGGATGAGGGTCCTGGGAAGCTTGAGAATGGACAGGGGTGAGGACCATACACCCCTGAGAACCTGCTTCTGTCCCAGGAGAACTGAGGCCTGTAGGCGGGAGGCCCGGGTCCCTCTACCTTCCCCTGGGCCCAGTTTCCCTTTCACTTAAATGAAGATAAGGAGAAACCAACTCAAACGTCACACTGGAAGCCCCAGATCAGAAGTATTTGTTTAAAATCAGTCAATTCCAGCTGGGCACAGTGGCTCACACCTGTAATCCCAGTGCTTTGGGAGGCCAAGGTGGGAGGATCCCTTGAGGCCAGGAGTTTGAGACCAGCCTGGGCAACATAGCAAGACCCCACCTCTACAAAAAATAATTTTAAAAAACTTAGCCAGGAGTGGTGGTCCCAGATACTCAGGAGGCTGAGGCAAGAGGACTGCTTAAACCCAGGAGATGGAGGCTACAGTGAGCTATGATCATACCACTGCACTCCAGCCTGGGCGACAGAGTGAGAGACCCTGTCTCAAAAACTAAAATAAAATAAAATCAGGCAATTCTCATAAAAGACTAGACTTTCTGTTCATCTTGAACAAACAGAAGAGCTGGCTGTGCTGGGCCCACGTGCCCACATGGTTGAGGAACAGCTCTCCACTTCAGCACAGGCCCTGCGCACCCTGGCAATGCCCCAGCTCACTTCACTCATTTTCACTGCCCAGACTCTGCAATACTAGGGTTTGTGAGCCCAGATGGAGGTGGGAAAGGCCCTCTGAGCCCCGACCTCTAGAAGGAAGGACCCTGATCCTGGCAGTCAAGTCACCCGGGAATCCAAACCCTCTCTCTCCGAGTCTCCCCACCTCTGGCTGCCTCTTGGTGGGGCTTCTTTTTGCTGGGCCACAATCCCACAGCACGGGGTCTATGTGTGTTAGGGGGTGAGGGTGACAGTGTCTGGCGGGGACTGAGTCTCAGCAGGGAGGCAGGTGGCCTCGATTCTGGGCTTAGCTCTGCCAGCAGGTTGCTGGACAGCTTTGGATAAGTCTGGCCTCAGTTCTCTCTTTTCTCTTCAGGGACGGTGATACCTTACAGATGCACCAAGAGTCAACCAAGAGAGGAAGGCACAAATGCAGGGGTTCAAAAGGGCTAAAATGGCACAACTGCTGTGGAAAACTGGAGGCTCTTCAGAAATTAAAAGTAGGATTACCGCATGTTTCAGCAACTCCACTTCTGGGTATATATCCCAGAGAATCCAAAGCAGGGTCTCCAAGAGACATCTGTACACTCATAACTGTAGCAGCATTACTCACAAAAGCCAAAAGGTGGAAGCAACCCAAATGCCCAGTGATGGATAATACATAGACAGAAGGTGGTGTCTACGCATTATATAGCACAGAATACTATTCAGCCTTAAAGAGGAGGGACGTTCTGACACACACTACAGCATCGATGGACCCTGAGGACACTGTGCTCAGTGAAATGAGCCAGGCACAAAAAGACAAATCCTGTGGCCAGGTGCAGTGGCTCACATCTGTAATCCCAGCGCTTTGGGAGGCCAAGGAGAATGGATCACCTGAGATCAGGAGTTTGATACCAGACTGGCCAACATGGAGAAAGTCCATCTCTACTAAAAATACAAAAATTAGCTGAGTGTGGTGGCACGTGCTTGTAGTCCCAGCTACTTGGGAGGCTGAGGGAGGAGAATAGCTAATCGCTTGAACCCAGGAGGTGGAGTTTGCAGTGAGTTGAGATCATGCCACTGCACTCCAGCCTGGGTGACACAGTGAGACTCCATCACACACACACACACAAAAAGACAAATCCTGTATGATTCCACTGATATTAGGACCCTCAAATACTCAGATTCATGGAGACAGAAAGTACAATGGTGGCTGTCAAGGGCTGAGGGGCAGGAGGTGTTATTTAGTGGATGATGAATCTCAGTTTTGCTAGATGGAAACGTCCTGGAGATCTGTCTCACAACAACGTGAATATACTTAACACTACTGAGTGTACACTTTTAAAAGGTTAAGATGGGGCTGGGCACTGTGGCTCACACTTGTAATCCCAGCACTTTGGGAGGCTGAGGCAGGAGGATCACTTGAGGCCAGGAGTTCGAGACCAGCCTGAGCAACATAGTGGGACCTGTCTCTACAAAAACATAAAAAATTAACCAGGCATGGTGGCACATGCTTGTAATCCCAGCTACACTGCAGGCTGAGGCAGGAGGCTCACTTGAGCCCGAGAAGTGGAGGCTGAAGTGAGCCGAGATGGCACCACTGCACTCCAGCCTCGGTGACAGAGTGAGACCCTGTCTCAAAAAAAAAAAAGGAGGGGGGCGCTAAGATGTTAAATTTTACATTATGTGGTTTTTACCCCTATTTATTTATTTATTTATTTGCAACAAAGTCTCGGTCTTGTCCCCTAGGCTGGAGTGCAATGGCACAATCTTGGCTCACCGCAACCTCCGCCTCCCAGGTTCAAGAGATTCTCCTGCCTCAGTCTCCTGAGTAGCTGGGATTACAGGCACCCGCCACCATGCCCAGCTAATTTTTGTATTTTTAGTAGAGACAGGGTTTCACCATTTTGGCCAGGCTGGTCTTGAACTCTTGACCTCAGCTGATCCGCCCGCCTCGGCCTCCCAAAGTGCTGGGATTACAAGCATGAGCCACTGTGCCTGGACAGTTTTTATCCCAATTTTTTAAAAGAAAACAGTGACGCCTTTCTCCAGCAGCTGAAGGCCCCGTCCCCGTGTCTGAGCTGCTGGACCTCTCTGACACACCTGTCCCTAGGTGCGTGTGACTCACTGGGTGGGAGGTAGAAATCCTTCCAACACTGTGCCTTGGGACTGGGCATGGTTCGGTAATGACAGGTAGGAAGGGAAGTGTGGCATCCATAGCAAGGCACTCCAAATCTAACTCAGGCCTCCTGCCAGACCAAGGGACACAGGAAACTGCTGCCAGTCAACGGTCAGCTGAGAAGGCCAGCAGTCATGACTTCCCTTTGGGTCTTCACTTCCAGGGGCATGAAGTGAAGCCCCTAAAGGCACTTACAAGCAGCTCCTGCCACCTTCAGTACCCAAAGCTGTCTACCCGCCATGTGGCAGACTCACGGCAGGCAGTGCTGACCAGGTCCAGCTCAATGCCTCAGTAGTCATGGCCTCAGGATCCTCTGGGTTTGTTTGTTGTTGTTGTTGTTTGTTTCAAATAGGGTCTCACTTTGTCTCCCAGGCTGGAGTGCAATGGTGTGATCATAACTCACTACAGCCTCAACCTCCTGGGCTCAAGTGATCCTCCCACCTCAGCCTCCCCAGTAGCATGCATGGATTACAGGTGCACGCCACCATGCCCACGGTAGCCCAGCTAATTTTTGTAGAGATAGGGTCTTGCTTTGTTGCCCAGGCTGGCCTCAAGCTCCTAGGCTCAAGCGATCCTCCCGCCTCGGCCTCTCACAGTGCTGGGATCAAGGCATGAGCCACAGTGCCCGGCAGGATCCTCTGCACAGGCAGCCATGGCCCGTCAGAGCTGATACTTGACTTCCAACCTATTTTCCTCAAAATACACCCATGTCTGAGGTGAGGAAGGGCAGGTAGTGATCTCCTCTCTTCCTGAGGCCGCTGCAGGTCTGCTGGGCCTGAATTCAGCCAAGGGTTGAAACTGAGATAGAGAACTTTTCTTCTCTGTCAGAATCTTTTGAGGCCCCTAACAACTTCATAGACAGTTCACCCCCAGCCCCAGATTCCACATTTAGTGTCCTGGTTCCGATCCCGGGATGCCTGCCAGGAACCCCTTCCTCCATCCTGCGAGGCCTCCTGGGAGGCTCCCATTTCCTCCTAGAACCAAGTCTGACAAATGATCTGGGCTTCTCTGCCTGTCACCACAGCAAACACAGACACCAGATCCACTCCCTGAGCCAGGCTTGGGTTCTCCGTGACAGGTCAGGGCCACCCTAGGCAGGCGCAGAAGATGCTAGGAAACACCAGGTCCCTCCGAGAGAAGCCCGGGGCCACAGCGCCCTTCAGCAGGGCTGCCCTGGGGACCGGGACGTGCTGGGGAGGGCATGAGAGTCTGCGGGTTCTTTACTCTGCTACAGACATCTGCCTGCCGAGAGCAGGTCCTCAGGCTGCGTTCTAGGGGCAGGGCAGCTGCCACGACTCCACCTCCAGGACTTCTGCGTGAGCCTGCTGAAAGCTCCTGGGGCTGACTCAGCCTGCACTCCTCTCACATTCCTGAGGGCCCTGTCCTTCTCTCCCCACCATATTATTTAGAACTTAATTAAATGCCGACTTGAGGAAGCAGGATGGTGCAGTGATTGGGGCACAGGTTCCGGAATCCGGTAACCCGGATTCAGATCCCAACTCTATGAATTCCTAGCTGTGGGGCCCTGGGCACTGGGAGCCTAAGTATTCTCATCAATGAAATGGGGATAACAACCACATTCACCTTCTGTGGATGGCTTGAGAATAGAAGGTGAACCCGGTGAAATGCCCAGCCAATGGCCAGCTCAGGGGCAGGTGCTCCGTGAGCCCCATCTTTTAGCTACTGTTAGTACTGATCTAAGAGCTAGTGATTCTCAACCCTGTTCCCCATTAGGACCACCTGGGAAGCATGTAAAAAAGAAAAATCTAATTCCTGAGACTCACTCCAGACCAATTCAATCAACATCTCCAGGCATCTTTATTTTCCAAACTCCCCCCAGTTATTTCTAGTGGGCAGCCGGTGAGCACTGGTACTCTAAGCTCCCAGAGGCAGGGCCCAGGCCTCCTCCCCATTCCCCTCGCAAGAACAGCCCAGGAACATGTATGCAGTGGATGCTGCCCACGGCCGAGCTCCAGCGAGGGGCCACAGTCCATCCCCTCCCTCACCCAGCCTGGAAGAGCTCCCCTTACCTTGGAGGTGTTTCTCCACCACTGTGGGTTGCCCTGGCCTGGGCTGGCAGCCCTGGAGGCCCTGGGCACTGAGGGCCAGGCCCTGGAGTCAGCCTCGTGCCTTCCTCTAAGGGCTCAGGGTCAGGCCTGCTGGACGATGCTCCTTGTCCTGCACCTGGTGCAACCTCCAGGCTCGGGGAGACCACATTGACCCTGCCGGGTGCTGGAGCCAATTCCAGGCCAGTCCTGAGGTTCTCGCTGGGTGTCTCAGGAGCCTTGGCTTCCACCTTTGTGGGCAGGGGCAGGTGGCCAGGGAATGCCTGGGCTGGGCCAGGAACACCATCTCCCTGGCCCGGTGAGACCACTGCCTGGGCGGGGTCAGCTCCCAGCCCTGACGCTCTGATGGGGGGCAGCCTCTCCGCTGTCCCCTCCAGCACGTCCGCCTTCTGGCTCTCTACAGGAAAACAGGCAGGACAAAAATGCACTCCCATGTGGAGGAGTCTGCCACAAAGATACTGCAAGGAATCTGCACAAGGCCATTCAGTGCTCAGGTTTATAATAGCCAAAGACTGGAAGCAACCCAAATGAAAGGGGCTGGTTGACTAAACCATGATGCATCCAACAAGGAGTGCGGCACAGCCGTGAAAAAGGAGAAATTAATATCTCTATGGAAGCCTGGGCAACACAATGAAAGCTTGCCTCTACTAAAAATAAACATTTTTAAATGAGTTGGGCATGGTCACATGTGCCTGCAATCCCAGCTACTTGGGAGGCTGAGGCAGGAGGATTGAGCACAGTAGATAGAGGCTGCAGTGAGCCATATTCACGCCACTTGCACTCCAGCCTGGGCAACAGAGTGAGACCCCATCTCAAAAAAACAATCTCTAAGCACAGCTAAGGAGTGATCTCTGAATATACTGTAAGTGAAAGAAAGCAAGGTGGAGAATGGTGTGTCTGGCATCCTGTTTCTCTAAGAAGGGAGCATGTGTGAGTGTGCATGTGTGCACATGTGCACATAACCACTGATCATGTTGTCTAGTTAGACTGGACCTCAAGGGAAAGAAAAGACAAAAGTTTTTTAAATGGTTACTTACATATCAGGGGAGGAAGCAGGGTGCAGAGAACAAAGGTAGAAGATAGACTTCTCTTTTATTTGTTTTTTATTTTTGAGACAGAGTCTTGCTCTTGTCACCCAGGCTGGAGTACAGTGGCGTGATCTCGGCTCACTGCAACCTCCACCTCCCTGGTCCAAGCGATTCTCCTGCCTCAGCCTCCTGAGTAGCTGGGATTACAGGCACATGCCACCATGCCCAGTTAATTTTTGTATTTTTAGTAGAGACAGTATTTCACCATGTTGGCCAGGCTGGTCTCGAACTCCTAACCTCAGCTGATCTGCCCACCTCAGCCTCCCAAAGTGCTGGGATTACAGGTGTGAGCCACCGTGCCCGGCCTCTTATTTTGAAGTAAAAAAAAATTTCATAGTGATGGAGTCTCACTATGTTGCCCAGGCTGGTCTCAAACTCCTGGGCTCAAATGATACTCCTGCCTTGGCCTCCCAAATTGCTAGGATTACAGGAATGGACCATTGCACCTGGCCTCTAGACTTCTCTTAATACGCATTGTTTTGTCTATTTGACTTTGGAACCACATAAATATCATGCAAAATTATACAAGAAAATTAAAGGTTAAGAAAGTAATCCATAAACATTTAAAGCATTTGAGTAACAAGTTGGTGGCATAGCCTGCACAGAAAGGTACTACAGTTGGCCCTTGAGCAACACAGGTTTGAACTGCACGGGTTCACTTAGACGTAGATTTTCTTCCTCCTCTGCCACCAAGACAACAAGACCAACCCCTCACCTTCCTCATCCTCCTCAGCCTACTCAATGTGAAAATGACAAGAATGAAGACCCACTTCCACTGAATGAATAGGGAATATATTTTATCTTCCTTGTGATCACCGTAATAACATTTTCTTTTCTTTAGCTTACTCTAAGAATACCATATTTAACAAGCATGTGTTAATTGCTTATTTATGTTATCAGCAAGACTTCCAGTCAACAGTAGGCTATTAGTAGTTAAATTTTGGAAGATTCAAAAATTATACTTGAATTTTCAACTGTGCAGGAAGTCAGTTCCCCAACCCCGAGGTGTTCAAGGGTCAACTGTATTCCAGGTGGTTTTGAAATGCAGCAATTGACTATGTGTCTCTGGTGGGATATATATGACAAAAAACCCTGCAAAAACAAGAAAAAAAGAAGCTTTGACAGTTGCCCAGGAATCATACTGTGGGCCGTGTTGTTGGGGCCTTTATTCTGAAGCTGTTGTGTCTGCAATGTTAGATAAAGCAAATGGGGTCCCACTCACCTTCCCCAGGCTCCCTGGCATCAGACTGCACCCCACTGGTGCTCAGCACATGCTTTGGTTTTCCTCCCTCTTCTTCCACTCGCTCTTTATTCTAAAATAACAACCATAAAAAATGTCATCATTATCATCAACATTGCCATTCAGGCCACAGACATTTGTTTAGCACCTCCCCCTTGTTTAAGATAAGGGCATTTAGATTACTTCACACAGTCTCACAGTAACATTGGAGAGTAGATACTGCAATTATCACTTTAGAGAGAAGGACACTGAGGCCTTCCCAACGTCATAAAATTTAAAAGAGGAGGCGCCCAGCTTCACACCCAGAACCACCTCCTTTTCCAGGGCTTCACCATATTCCCCATAAGGGATGAACCCAGCCCCCGATACAGGGTTCAAAATAGGCTGGACCCCAAAGGACTTAGACTACAGATGCAAAATAATCATTTAAAAATATATACATAAATATATATATATACATACATATATATATATATATTTTTTTTTTTTTTTTTTGAGACAAGGTCTTGCTCTGTCATCCAGGCTGCAGTGCAGTGGCACAATCTCGGCTCACTGCAACCGCTGCCTCCCAGGTTCAAACGACCCTCCCAGTTCAGCCTCCCGAGTAGCTGGGACTACAGGCATGGGCCAACATGCCCGGCTAATTTTTGTATTTTTAGTAGAGACAGGGTTTCACCATGTTGGCCAGGCTGGTCTCAAGCTCCTGGACTCAAGCTACTCTCCCTCCTCAGCCTCCCAAAGTGCTGGGATTACAGATGTGAGCTACCACGCCCGGCCAGAGATGGAAAATAATCTCAATATGCCAACCCAGATCAACTGGTCATGGCTACTACAGCATTGGTTTCGGTTGAATTCTGAAGTCAAATCCATGCTTAGGGGGAAACAGTGCCAAGGTCAATTAGTAATGTGTGCCTGGGAGCTGGGTTGGGGGATCCCATGGTCACCTCTTTACAGTGTAGCAGTGTAGCCAGGGGCATGGACTCTGGAGCCAGCCATGCTGGGTTTGAACCCCACCTTCACCACTTGGCCAAGATCCTTAAATTCTCTGCATCTCACTTTCCTCATCTGTAAAATGGGGATAATCATGTTATCAGCCTTGTAGAGTCAGTAGGAGGATTTGGGAGTAATGTGCAAATGTCCTAGAAGTGTGCCCAGCACATAGTGGGTGCTCAATAGCTCTGCTAATTTTGTCCTGCCAGGAACCAAGAGCTATCAGTGTTAAATGAGCCCAGTGTAAGGAACTGGCCCAGAGAAGCTCTCAGAAGCTTTTCCTTAAATCCAAAGGGTCCACACCAGACCAGTGCCTGGCCTGCCCATGCTTTCACCCATAAAACAGCCCAGAGCCATCAGTATGCTTAGTTAGTCCACACTCAAGCAAATATTTCCAGATGGTCTGACCTCTTGCAAGAGCATGGTGCTTCTGGGGTTTGGACCCTTCCGTGAAGTCCCTAAGATGAATCCTGGCACATGTTACAGCAGCAGTGCCAGCCACAGCCCAGAGCCTTGCTGGGCCCCCAGGCATAAGGCACTCACCAGTCTCCGGGCTTCTGTGGCCAAGGCAAGAGAGGCCGCTGTATCAGTGAGTGCCTTACACCTGGGGGCCCAGCCAGGGCCTTCCCCTGCCTTGCCACAGAAGCCCTTAATTAGAAGCCCAGAGGCCAAAAACAGCTCAGGACATATTTTGTTGGGCTTGCAATTTTTTTTTTTTTTTTTTGAGACAGAGTCTCGCTCTGTTGTCCAGCCTGGAGTGCAGTGGTTGGATCCCAGCTCACTGCAGCCTCGACCTTCCAGGATTAAGTGATCCTCTCACCTCAGCCTCACGAGTAGCTGGGACTACAGGCACGTGCCACCACCTCCAGCTAATTGTTGGTTGATGTTGTTTTATAGAGACAAGGTACTCACTTTGTTACCCAGGTTTAAATTTTTCAATTTATTCCCAACTTTTAAAATCTATGAGATTTTTACAGTCAGGATCCATTTTGGGGTGACAGAATTGTTTCCCATTTTTATTGTGGTGATGGTGACATGGATGGAAACATTTGTGGAGCTATATATTTGAAATGTGCATAGTTTGTGTGTATGTGCAGTTTATTATATGTAAATTATACCATCATAATTATTATGTAATTACTATACCTTAATAAACTCACTAGAAAAAAAAAAATCTAAGTTCCCAGCTTTTCTTTAAAAATCTGAGGATGGCGGGGCGTGGTAGCTCACGCCTGTAATCCCAGCACTTTGGGAGGCCGAGGAGGGTGTATCACATGAGGTCAGGAGTTCAAGACCAGCCTGGCCAACAGGGTGAAACCCTGTCTCTACAAAAATACAAAAATTAGCCAGGCGTGGTGACAGGCACCTGTAATCCCAGCAAAAACACACACACACACACACACACACACACACACACACACACACACAGAAAAAAACCTGAAGATCTGGCAACTCTAGGCCAAGATGGCAAAACTCGGCTAGGGCAGTCCCCTCTAAGCAGGGCACCACAGCTGTCCCAAATGTCTCCCCAACCCTAAGGTGGTGGTTCCACTGTTTGTCTACATCATGCCCCTCCTCTCAGTTACTACCTGCTCATTATTTTGCGATTCCAGGACACCAAGCTTTGACCTCTGAACAGTAAGGACATAGCACATGGAGAACACACAGCCCAGCACCGGCGTGGGGGAGGCACTTCATCAAAACTGCTCACTGCCGCTGTCACCATGATCACCAGCGTCATCAATGTGGCCCAGATCCCCTGCTCGGCAGACAGCTCCCCCTTATCCTTCTGCAGGCTCTGTCCTGCTGCCCCCGGAGCTGGGGGAACTGGAGGCATGAAACAGACCTCCTCCTCTTTTACCCACTGGCAGAAAGGGACTTGGACAGACTGTCCTTTGGCAGACCTTGTTGGGCTCAAACTGTCCTCTCCTTCCCTTATCTTTAGGGTAGGCAGGCGCATGCGTACGCACCCCCCACCCCCAGCTGGGTGCTGTCTTCAGGGCTCAGCCTTCTAGTCCCTGCCGTTTCTGTGCTTCCTCACACACCATTCTAGAAGACTGGTGCCTCTGAACACATATGCCTGGGGCTGTTTTCCAGGAGACCGCACCTGGCTTCCAGGGATCATCGAATTCACTGCTGGAACCAAATGAAGTGCTGCTGGGGACTTCTGAAGATCTCAGGAGGACCTTCAAAAAGTCCTGGCACAATTTTCAAATTTAACCGCCAGTTGCTAGGATTTAATTCCATTCCACAGATGGTTGCCATGCCCCACTCTCCCAGGAAACACAGTCCCCAAGAAGCCTCCATAATGCACGGCGTTCAGCACTGACGATGTGTTTAGCAGCTGTGGCTGTGTCTCAGTTCACCGCTCATTCTCTGAGCCCTTCCTGCAAGACCTGCCCTGGCCTCAGAACACGGAGGGAAGCAGAGGCTTCCTGTCAATGGGCCAATCAGCAGCCGACAGCCTGATGGGGAGCCTGGACCAAACCTAAAGACATTCCTAACATGTTTATTAAACGCCAGGACCAGAGGAGAAATCTAGCAAGTTCCAGTGGGGCAGGACAGACGGGAAATGGCACAAGAACTCAGAAAAGAGGAAGCTCTATGACTTCCCTTACCCAGAAATGCCTTCATGCAACACGTATAACAGCTAATTTCATTAATACATGAAGTGCTCTTACAAATCAATAAGAAAAAGGCAAAAAAACAAAATAGGAAAGAGGGGGAAAAGATATGAGCAGGCAGTTCACAGAAAATACAAAAGGTTTCAAACCTGTGAGTGATGTTCAGTCCTCTAGTAAAATAAATATAAATCAAAACTATGAGACATAAACCAAAACTAGCTTTGGTTATATTTGAAATTTTCCATAATAAAAACCTAAAATTTTTTCATAAGTTCAAAAGGTTAGCTTTAAGAGACATATAAATAATTGTCTTATCTGGGTCTGATACAAATAAACTGTAAATTTTATTTTATTTTATTTTTGTGAGATGGAGTCTCGCTGTCACCCAGGCTGGAGTGCAGTGGTGCAGTCTTGGCTCACTGCAACCTCCGCCTCCCGGGTTCAAGTGATTCTTCTGCCTCAGCCTCCCGGGTAGCTAGGACTACAAGTGCACGCCACCATGCCCGGCTAATTTTTGTATTTTTAGTAGAGACGGGGGTTTCACCATATTGGCCAGACTAGTCTCGAACTCCTGACCTCGTGATCTGCCCACCTTGGCCTCCCAAAATGCTGGAATTACAGGCGTGAGCCACCACACCCAGCTTTTTTTTTTTTTTTTTTTTTTTTTTAAGATGGTGTTTTTGCTCTTATTGCCCAGGCTGCAGTATGGTGGTGCAATCTTGGCTCACTGCAACCTCCAACCTCCTGGGTTCAAGCAATTCTCCTGCCTCAGCCTCCCAAGTAGCTGGCATTACAGGTATGCGCCACCATGCCCAGCTAATTTTTGTATTTCTATTAAAGACAGGGTTTCAGCATGTTGGCCAGGCTGGTCTCGAACTCCTGACCTCAGGTGATCCCCCCACCTCGGCCTCCCAAAGTGCTGGGATTACAGGCTTGAGCCACCTCGCCCAGCCTAAAATATTTTTAAAGTATAAGATAATCAGGGAAATTTGAACACTGAACTTCAGTAACACTAAAAAGTTATCATTTGGCCCAGTGCAGTGGCTCGTGCCTATAATCCCAACACTTCGGGAGGCTGAGGCAGGAGGATTGCTTGAGCCCAGGAGTTCAAGACCAGCCTGGGCAATGTAGTAAGACCCTGTCTCTAAATAAAAATAAATAAACAAAGTTATTCACTTTTTTAGGTGTGATGATAGTATCAAGATTATGTTTTTTAAAAGAGCCCTTATCTTTTTGCTATAAATGCTAAAACATTTATGAAAGAAATGATCCAACATCTCAGATTTCCTTAAAATAATCTGAAGGGGGAAGTGGGTGGGGAAAAGAGAAAAAAAAAAACATGCACAATAATTTCCCGTTTTCATTCACCAGAAAGGCAAAGAATCAAAAGCATTCCCACACCTTGATGGTAGGAGACTGATTTGGAGTAACTTCTTTGAAGGCTGACTTGCCTTTATCTGTATAAATTTACCATTTGGCTTGGTATTTCCACTGCCAGGAGTGTAACATGCAGATAAACTCACACTTGTGTTCAGTGACATACATCTATGGATATTCACTGCATCTTTATTTATAGTTGCTAAAAATAAGAAACAACAGAAACAAACGAGGATCTGGGCTGGTTAACAACTGAAGACACAGCCCCCAAAGGGAGTACCCAGATATATTCATAACGATATGAACATCAATCAATGCCCAAAATATATTAAGTAAAAAATTAGAAATCGGGGCCAGGACAATGTGAATAACATTTGAATTAAAATAAAACAATTCTGCCAGGAGCGGTAACTCACACCTGTAATCCCAGCACTTTGGGAGGCCAAAGCAGGCAGATCACTTGAGGTCAGGAGCTCAAGACCAGCCTGGCCAACATGGTGAAACCCCATCTCTACTAAAAATACAAAAAAATTAGCCGGGCATGGTGGAGGGCGTCTGTAATCCCAGCTATTCAGGAGGCTGAGACAGGAGAATCGCTTGAACCCAGGAGGTGGAGATTGCAGTCAGTCGAGATCGCGCCATTGAACTCCAGGGGTGACAGAGTGAAGCTCCGTCTCAAAAACAAACAAAAACAACAAAGCAGTTCTGGTGCTACAGATTGTGGGAAAAACAAAACAAAACAAAAGGGTGCTGTGGATACCAAACAAAAGGGTGCTCCAGATAGAGGCTTGTAGACACAGCCTCTATCTGGAAGGATTCAAAGGAACTCAGAATCCACGCTTGCCTAGGGGGCCAGGGTATTGGTGTTCTGGGGCCTGGGGGATGGAATAGGAAGGAGATGTATGCTCTTTACTCTACATGATTTTTTTTACTATGTGCATATTAATTTTGTTAAAGCTATTGATTAGATCTATTTTATTATTTACAGTCGTGACTCTGTATGTGCCAGGGATTGGTTCCCGGGCCCCCTCCACAGCAAAATCTATGGCTGCTCAAGTCCCTGATATAAAATGTCATGGTATTTGCATGTAACCTACACACACCCTCCCATACACTTTAAATCACCTCTAGATTACTTATAATACCTAATAAAATGTAGATGCTATATGAGAAGTTGTTATACTATTGTATAACAACTGTATTATTATTTAGAGAATAATGACAAGAAAGAAAAACCTGTACATGCTCAGTACGGACACACCATCATAGGACTAAGTACATTTTGATCCGAGATTTGATTGAATCTGCAGATGTAGAACCCACAAATATGGAGGGCTGACTATAATTAAATTAAATTTCTTTATTTTTTTTAAGAGACAGGGCCTCACTCTGTGGCCCAGGCTGGAGTGCACTGGCACAAACATAGCTCACCGAAGCCTCCATTTCCAGGACTCAAACAATTCTCCCACCTTAGCCTCCCGAGTAGCTAGGACTACAGGTTTGTGCCACAATGCCTGGTAAATTTATTTATTTATTTTTTGTAGAGACGGGGTCTTCCTATGTTGCCTAGGCTGGTCTCAAACTCTTGGCCTCAAGCAATCCTCCCACCTCGGCCTCCCAAAGCACTAGGATTACAGGCATCAGCCACTGCACCCAGCATAATTTTATTTTTTAAAGCCGGGCTTTGTTAGGGTCACACTGCCCTGCAGGCCAAGTCCTCAGAAAAGGCACGGTGCAGACAGCGGGGGCTAGGGAGAGGGGCAGCTCTGAAGGAGCTGCAGGGCAGGGAGGGGAAGGGGCAGCAGGGGAGCTCTGGCCTGGTGCGGGGAGGGGAGGCATGCTCCTGTCCTCGGCAGGCAGCCGACACAGAGTCAAGCACGGACCCCTCTGACCCCAGCTCATCTCTTGCCAGAGGCTGGTGAGTCACTGCAGGGGTCTGAAATGGTGGCTCCAGGTTGTCTGAGTGTTGCTAAGTGGCTGACCCCTAGCTGTCCCCAAACAGGGTGTTCCCTCTACAGACCTCACCCCCCATATCCTTCTCCCAGCAGCCAAGCTTCCATTAGCCTGCAGGATTGATTATGCAACTCTTAGGAACAGCCGCTCCCAGGAATGCCACCCTCCACCCCCAGGCTCCGGCTCCTGCCTGCTGTCCCCCTGGGTCACTGTCAACACTCGTCTCCCCACAGGCAGCTGCACTCTCCACTCCCTCTGGAGCTAAGCTCAAGGTTGGGGACAGGAGGTGGCGGGTGGGTTTCTGAGCAGGGCTCCATCAGGACAAACTGGCCACTCCTGCCTGTCCCACCCCATGTGTGAAGGAGCAGAAGGGCAGTCACGGGGGTGTCAGAGAAGTGTGGTGGTCCTCCCTCCCAAACCGCCAGCGTGTCCCCCACAGCTAGGTTCCCTGGAGCTGCCAAGACCCTGCAGTCCTGGCCAGAGCCCCGCTTCTTCCCTTCCCTGGGGAGAATGGCAGGCAGTGTCCGGACTGGAAATCCACCTATGACCTGTAAGTTTCCAGCTCTCCTTTTCCCCATCAACAGGTCACACAGGAAGGGGACACCATGCCTCCAGCTCTCCAAACACTGGCTGCCTGGCCAGTCTCCCACCAGGGCCGGGGCCTCCCATCCAGCCAGGGCAGGGAAGCAGGAACCAACCTCCTCAGGGCTGTCACCTGGGCTGCCTCTCCTCCAGGGCACACGCCCCTGCATGAGGAAATCCGCCACCTTTGATTTCTGGAACGTGGCCCCCACCAAAGCGATGGCCCTGTCCACCGCAGCCACCATCCTGAAGAGGGCCTCCAGCCTGGCACCGTGCTGGGCCGCATCCTGCTGCATGGCCCTCACCAGCTCCAGGACCTCGGGCCACCCAGCCTGGGTGTCAATGTGGGGAACCCCATCAGCCCCGCCCGGGCCCGGTGCCCGGGAGGCCTCCAGCCTGTGCAGGCCCCGCTCCAGGTGGCCCATGTCTCGGCACATGCTCTGCAACTTCTCTGTGACATCTTCTTGGAAGTGCAGGAGCTGGTCCACCTTCTCGTTCAGCATGTTCAGCTTTGTGTCCATGGTTGTTAAGCAGGTCTTGCCCAACCCTGGCAGCCCCCCATGCCCCAGACTCTCCTTGGAGGTTCCTGACATGCTGGTGCAGGCTTGACAAGGGCAAGAGCGGGGAATGAGGAGAGGCACAGACCCCTGGTTCTCACTCAGGCGGTGGTGTCTGCAAGGTCATTGTCCTCCGTAGCTGACAGACTCCTGGCAGCACCAACCTCCACGATGGCCTGGGCTGTGTGAGGAGCGCAGAGGCCCAGGTTCTTCCTGTGCCTTTGCTTTGCTTATCTCCCACCCTACACGGGCCTGTGAGTGACAGGCCGAGGTCAGCCCAGGCCCTTCTCCTTGGGGCCCCTTTGACATCACGGCAGCATTTAACATTCCTCTCTGAGAGGCTGCTGATGGGCAAATATGTTAAGAATCTGCCCAGAGCCAGCAGGGTTCATGCAACTAATGGTTCGGAGGAAAGGAAAGGGTCCTTTGGAGAACGGCACCTGCCAGCTGGGCTCCAGGAGGGATCCCAGGGCGGAGGAAGGTCCTTAGAGGCCCAGAGCCCTGAGGCCACACACATCAGAGTCACAATAAAAAGCAAGACCAAGACAGAAAGGAATGTGAGACCACTCAGCAAAGTTGTGACTTCTGCCATGATGAAAATTTTGATGCTTCTGCAAATTTAAAACAAACTTCAGGTGCCCCTACTACACCAGCGTTCAGAACATGTGTTTAGACTGTCTGTGGGGTGGCCGGCAGGTCCCTCCCCACCGGAGCCCTCAGTGACTAGTCCCTTGTACCTAAAAATAGAACTGAGGGCAATGGCCCTGGCCACCTGCCAAGCGCTGTCCCGAGGGCCATGTTCTTCACAGGGCCCTCAGGGGGACACTCACCAGAGACACCTGCTCCCCCAATAACAACTATGCAGGTATCAGACATGCAATTTCCATACTGAAACAGACTAGCAGGGACCCAGAGCACAACAGGCCTGTGTTTCCTGTGGTTTACAAACGTTTTTGCCTTATAAGCCCTTGGTTCAAATAAAACGTTTTACAGAAGTATCAGTCAATAAAGCAGACACAAGCAGAGATGCTAAGGTTACCCCCGAGGTGGGGCACAGGGAGCCCCTTAAAGTCCCAAGGACGCCACGGAGCAGTCTGACCTACACCATTTCCATCCAGCTCCCCGTGGGCAGAGGGCAAAGCCCAGAGAGGGGCATTTGCCCAAGGTGGCCCAGGCAGGCACACGGCCTCCTGAGGATGGTCCAGCCATGGGCAGGGCTGCCCCCAAGGGAGGGGGCTTTAGTGTCCCCCTCAAGCTTCCCCCTTCTGAATAAAAGCAATTATGATAAAAACTGACCTGGACATTTGGAATCTAAAAGCACTATTAGGGCCGGATGCAGTGGCTCACATCTGTAATCCCAGCACTTTGGCAGGCGGATTGCTTGTGTCCAGGTGTTCGAAACCAGCCTGGGCAACATGGCGAGACCTGGTCTCTACAAAAAATAAGCCAGGCGTGGTGGCACGCACCTGTGGACCTAGCTACTCAGGAGGCTAAGGCGGGAGGATTGCTTGAGGCTGCAGCGAGCTCTGATCCTGCCACTACACTCCAGCCTGGCCAACAGAACGAGACCCTGTCTTCAAAATAAATAAATACACGAAAGCACCATTAGAGGTTTTGCTATGTTAGACCATTAACCTATCAATGCAGTGAGCTTGCTATGCAAATGCAGCTTGACCACAACCTTCTCTACCTACCCTTCTATCCCGATAGTTGCCCCTGGGCAGCCCACAGAGAAATCCAAACCCATTCCTGAGAGCACAGCCCTGGGTGTCATTGGTGGAATGACCCAGAACATGCTAGAAAGAGCAGGGTCTGTTATATTCACCGCCACTGAAAACAAACACACAAATAAACAAAGTCTCCCTGGAAAAGGAAATTTGAGGGGTAACCCTGTGTTCCAGTCCCTCTGGGGATTCACCGTGCACCTCAGGAGGACCTCATCTGCCACAGAAGACTCCCCCACCCGACCAGGGCAGGGGGCTCTCCTGACACTTCACACTTAGCACTTCCCTGCAGATCGGGGCTCCCTGGGCCAACCTTTGGGAAATGGCTGCTTAGAGAAGTCTCAGAAGTCTAACACACCCAGCCCCTGTGCCTCTCCCCAGCTGGTGCCCATAATTTTTGTGGAATAAAATTCCCACCAGACAAGAGAGGCAGACCCTGGTCTCTGGAGGAGAGACTTTATTATTGCCACTGCTGTGGAGATCTCTGGAGAACCAGCAACCAGGCAAGTCCTGGGTTAATAAAGCCGGAAAGGGCCGGGTGCAGTGGCTCACGCCTATAATCCCAGCACTTTGGGAGGCCAAAGCAAATGGATCACGAGGTCAAGAGATTGAGACCATCCTGGCCAACATGGTGAAACACCGTCTCTACTGAAAATACAAAAATTTGCTGGGCATGATGGCGTGCACCTATAATCCCAGCTACTTGGGAGGCTGAGGCAGGAGAATTGCTTGAACTGGTAAGGCAGAGGTTGCAGTGAGCCAAGATTGCGCCACTGCCCTCCAGCCTGGTGACAGAGCAAGACTGTGTCTCAAAAATAAATATATAGGCCGGTTGTGGTGGCTCATGCCTGTAATCCCAGCACTTTGGGAGGCCGAGGCAGGTGGATCACCTGAGGTCAGGATTTCGAGACCAGCCTGGCTAACATGGTGAAATCCCATCTCTACTAAAAAAACACAAAAAATTAGCCGGGTGTGGTAGTGCATGCCTGTAATCCCAGCTACTTGGGAGGCTGAGGCAGGAGAATCTCTTGAACCCAGGAGACGGAGATTGCAGTGAGCTGAGATCACGCCATTGCACTCCAGCCTGGGCAACAAGAGTGAAACTCTGTCTCAAAAATAATAAAAATAATAATAAATAAAACAAATAAATAAATAAAGCCAGAAAGATAACTTCAAAGTCTAAATGAATCCAGAGGAAAACACCAAATACCCCAGCCATGTATCTATAACAAACATGAATTATCTGAGGCCGGGCGTGGTGGCTCATACCTGTAATCCCAGCACTTTGGGAGGCCAAGGCAGGCGAATCACTTGAGGCCAGGAGTTTGAGACCAGCCTGGTCAACATGATGAAACCCCATCTCTACTAAAAATACAAAAATTAGCAGGACATGATGGTGAGCACCTGTGATCCCAGTTACTCAGGAGGCTGAGGAGAATCACTTGAACCTGGGAGACAGAGGTTGCAGTGAACTGAGATGGTGCCACTGCACTCCAGCCTGGGTGACAGAGCAAGACTCTGTCTCAAAAAAGAAAAAAAAAAGAATTAAATTACAAAAGGATTTGTCATGTCTTCATTAAGCAACAAGTTTACAAGGTAGCTCATTTGCTAAGAAGGTGGCTGCGGCTGGAAGCTCCCTGAGGGCAGACCAAGCCTCTTGGGCTTGGCCTGGATTCCCGGAGGCACCAGCCGCCTGGTACATGGCAGGTGTTCAACATGGAGGAATGAGCTAAGGAGGAGGCAGCAGGCGGCTGAGCAGACCGTCCTGAGACTTCTGTGGAAGGAGGAGGCCTCAAAGTGAGCACAGGGCAGGAAACCCTGACAATCCGGGAAGGGAGCTCCAGGGAGCTCCGGGGCCCTCTGGGAGAAAGCCTAGAACATATTGCAGGCAGTTCCTGGGGCCTCTGTGGTGGAAAGGAGTAGCCAGAAGGACCAGCTTTAACCTCTTTCATTCTCACTTTAGGAGAAATGAGTTTGGAGCACATGGATTTCCTGCGGGGATGCTTCTCTCTAACTCTCCCTGATGCACAGGACACAGCAGGGGGCTTGGCCAGTTTTTGGGTGATGGTGCTTGCCCAGAGGATGGGGAGGCATTGACCCCCCAAGCCAAGAGAAAGAAGACCAGAGAAGAGGTAGCTGAACTGGATTGACAGAGCAGCAAATACAATAACCCCTTGTCTTTCCTGGGTAAGGACAGGGCAGCGGATCCTCTCGCGGAAAAAGACAGGCTGACCTCTATTCACCCTAGGGTGGGGCCAGCACGCACCAGGCCCCAAGACCCTTCCCTGGCCTTCTGGTGACCTAACAGTCTCGGGGATCATGGGGTGAGAGAGATTTCAACACCCTCATTTTATTTTACTTTGTTTTTTTCTAAGATATGGTCTCGATCTGTTGCCCAGGCTGGAGTGCAATGGCACAACCACAGCTCACTGCAACTGGAACTCCTAGGCTCAAGCGATCCTCCAGCATCAGCCTCCTGCATAACTGGGATTACAGGTGCATGCCCCCACACCCAGCTAATTTTTAATTTTTTTAAATGTCGTCACCCAGGTATTAAGCCTAGTACCCACTAGTTAATCTATACAACAAGCCCCCATGACACAAGTTTACTTATGTAACAAACTTGCACATGTATCACTGAACTTAAAAGTTAAAAAAAAAACTTTTTTGTAGAGATGGGGTCTTTCAATAACTTTCCAGGCTTTATTAACCCAGGACAGTGGTGGCTCACACCTGTAACCCCACACTTTGGGAGGCTGAGGCAGGAGGATTGCTTGAGCCCAGGAGTTCAAGACCAGCCTGGGCAACATAGCAAGACCCTGTCTCTACAAAAGAACATATATGTATATATTAGCCAAGCATGGTGGCATGTGCCTGTCATCCCAGTTATCAGGAGGCTGAGGCAGAAGGATCTCTTGAGCCTGGGAGGTTGAGGCAACAGTGAGCAGCAATGGAGACACTGTACTCCAACCTGGACAACAGAAAAAGACCCTGACTCAAAAAATAAAATAAAATAAAATGATATCAAGGCTCTGACTCAAGTTGAAAGACTGACCTCTCATATTTCTCTCCTTCCCCTCCAGAGACTTCACGGTAAAGGAAGAAAATAAATACCCACCCGCAACGATGAACAGAATGGAAGGGGCCATTGGTGAATGAGTGTTATCAATGAATTTCTAGGAGATAGAAAACTGGTGGAGGAGAGGTAACTGGAGAAACAAGAAAAACTGCAGCCTCACTGGCCACAAAGGTGAATACAGATACAGGCGAATACAAAAGCTGGCATGGAGCCAGCTTTCCCTGTAGGACCCCAGAGAGGCTTCGGACCCCGATACCCCCGGTAGGGTAAATGGGGAGCAGGAATGCAAGACTGAAAAGTCCATCCCTCCTCCTGCCCCACACCTCAGCACAGAAGGGCCTGACCAGGCCCACCCTCCCTAGAGATCAGAGCCTGCTTCTGGAGAAATGTAATGGTCCACACCACAATAGTTCCAGGGGCTGGCTTTTGGGGTTCCTCAGGAGCGTCCCACCTGATCATCCTCAACAAAACCATGCAGTTAACAAGCCTCAACCACCCACCCAGCTGTTAGTACCTTCTTCAGAAATATGCACAGACAAAAAGGATCACTGGATGTTCAAAGAAAGCCTTCAAGATGAAAAGGGAAGACTAAAGCAAATAAACAGAAACACGATCATAGAAGAAACAGAGAAAATGAGAAACAGAAAGTTTCAAAAAGGCTGTCATTTTGCGGGGTGAGGTGGCTCACGCCTGTAAACCTAGCACTTTGGGAGGCCAGGGTGGGGGGCTCGATTGAGCACAAGAATTCAAGACCAGCCTGGGCAATATAGGGAGACCCTGTCTCTACAAAAAAAAAATTTTAATTAGCTGGGTGTGGTGGCATGCACCTGTACTCCCAGATATTTGGGAAGCTGAGGTGGCAGGATTGTTTAAGCCCAAGAGGCAGAGGTTGCAGCGAACTGTGTTTGTGCCACTGCACTCCAACCAGGGTGACAGGACGAGACCCTGTCTCAAAAAACAAACAGACAAAGCTGTCATTTGTGGCCACAGAAAAGCGTGAAAGGCTATTCCATTCTTTAAAAAAGGAGAGGATGCTATGGAAAAAGACAACTGTAGAATAAAAGAGAGGCCTTGGAATTTAAAAATATGAATAGTAAAATTTAAAAATTCAATATAGGGATTCGAAGATGAAGCTAAGATAATGTCCCAGAAAATAAAACTAAAAGATAAAGACATGTGCAGGAGAGAAAGCTGTTTGACAATGAGTCCAGCTAGCCTTATATCTAATTAACTGGAGTTTCAGAAAGAGAAATGAAAGAAGGAAAGAATTTATAAAAGAAATACTACAGTCATTATGCAATTTTAGAACACAGGGATAAAGAGAAGATTTAAAAACTCCCTGAAATTTAAAAGAAAAAAAAAAAACACATACTTGTGAGAATTTGTCCCCTTCAAAATTCATGTCAAAATTTAATCCCAGTGTGGCAGTATTGAGAGGTAAGGCCTTTAAGAAGCAACTGGATCACGAGGTCCCTGACCTTATGGGTTAATGGATGAATAGGTTATCATGGGAGTGGGCCTGGTGATTTCATAAGAGGAGGAACAGAGATCTGAGGGAGCACACTCAGCCCCTTCGCCATGGGATACCCTGGGCCACCTCTGGACTCTACAGAGAGGGCCCACCAGCAAGAAGGTCCTCACCAGATGCAGCCCCTCAACCTTGGACTTCTCAGCCTCCATAACTAAAGAAACACATTTCTTTTCTTTATAAATTATCCAGTTTCAGGTATTTCTGAAAATAGACTACTACACATACCAAACAACTAGAATCAGAATGACATGAAACTTCTCATCCTAAAAACAACTGGATGCTGGAAGAGAGGCTGGATGTCAAAGTCTAGATAGGAAAGCACTTCCCCTTAGAATTTTGAAGACATTACACCACCATCAGAGAACAAAATGAAGGGTTTTGTGATTTGCAAAAATGCAAACAATTCGTGCTTTTTTTTTTTTTGAGACATGGTCTCACTCTGTCACCCAGGCTGGAGTGCTGTGGTGTGATCTCGGCTCACTGCTGCCTCAACCTCCTGGACTCAAGCAGTCTTCCACCTCAGCCTCCCAAGTAGCCAGGACTATGGGCGTGTGCCACTACGCTTGGCTAATTTTTGTGGGGTTTTTTTTAGAGATGGGGTTTTGCCATGTTGCCCAGGCTGCTTTTGAACTCCTGGGCTCAAACAATCCACCTGCCTCAGCCTACCAAAGTGCTGGGATTATAGGCTTGAGCCACCACACCTGACCCACGCACGCTTTCTAAGGAAGCTGCTTTGACGATATACTCCAGCAAAATGAGGGGGTAAACAGCCTGGCCAACAAGGTGAAACCCCGTCTCTACTAAAAATACAAAAAAATTAACTGGGCATGGTGGTGGGTGCCTGTAATCCCAGCTACTCAGGAGGCTGAGGCAGGAGAATTGCTTGAACTTGGGAGGTGGAGGTTGGAGTGAGCCGAGATTGCGCCATTGCACTCCAGCCTGGGTGACAAGAGTGAAACTCTGTCTCAAAAAAAAAAAAAAGCTCCAAGAAACAATAGCTTCAACCTAGGCCCAAAGTTGAAGCAAGAAAATCAAGAGTGTTCAACAGGAACCCTCCCGGGGGAAAAAGAGTGTACAATAGAATGCAATTAAACACATGCAGCAAAATGTGGAGAGCATGGGACCTGGAGTCAGACTGCCTGGATTTAACTTCTGCCTCTGCCAGTTATTAGCCAGAGCCATGGGCCATTGTTCACTTAACCTCTCTGAGTCTATACTTCCTTGTTTGTAACAGGAGAATAATAATAACACATACCCTCATGGAGTGGTCGGGAGGTGCCATGAGAATGCCTGAGAGGCACCCAGCAAGTGCTCAAACATTAGCCATCAGCATGATGATGGCAGATATGGCAAAAGGGGAACAAAAGGAATTAGAGATGCCAGGACAACTAGAGTTCTTTTTTCTTTTTTCTTTCTTTTTTTTTTTTTTTTTTTGAGATGGAGTCTTGCTCTGTTGCCCAGGCTGGAGTGCAGTGGCGCGATCTTGGCTCACTGCAACCTCCGCCTCCCGGGTTCAAGCAATTCTCCTGCCTCAGCCTCCTGAGAGTAGCTGGGACTACAGGTACATGCCACCACACCCGGCTAATTTTTTGTATTTCAGTAGAGATGGGCTTTCACCGTGTTGCCCAGGCTGGTCTCGAACTCCTAAGCTCAGGCAATCCACCCGCCTTGGTCTCCCAAAGTGCTAGGATTACAAGTGTGAGCCACCTCGCCCAGCCCAGAGTTCTTACAAGAAAGAATGAGATTAAAATACAATCATTGATTTTGCATTGAAGAATATTTACAGTCATAGTAAAGTAAACCCTTTATTAAGTAAAAGCAGTGACATCTGTCTTGTGAGGGTGAGGGAGGGAAAGTGGGGAGTGTGAGAAAGCTAAGTCCTCATTTATCTTACCGGCAACTCCATATATCATGCACAAAACAGAGAATGAAGAAATATGGAGGCAAATATCAAAAGAAACAAAGAAACAGCTTCAACGTGTTTGCTTCTGGGGACCAGGACAGGAGACGGGTTATCCAGAACCTAAGGACAGCCTCTTAGGGGAGAAACACACAGTGCCCTTTGTTGATTTGTGTATTTATTTATAACAGTCGTGTTGCAGCGTGTAGCAGTGAAAGGTCTTGTTCTAACAAAATCATATATGATGACGATTTTCCGAGGGAAGGAAGCCACATGTTGAGAGGAAAGTTTTCTAATTCACACAAAATGCCATAGGGGCTCACGGTGCACCTGGCACTTAGCCTCTGTGAACACAGGTTTCCTCATCTGCACTGGGGGCCCATTAACTGCAATAACCACAGGGCTGTTGGACATTAACGTAAGCAAAATGTCTAGCACAGCACCTGGCACGTGGTAAGTCCACGAAAATGGCAGCGATTGGAACGGCCATCCTTAAGACCAGCCACACCTTCTCCCCGTCTGACCGCAGACGGTCAGCCCAGCAAGGCAGCAATGTGCTTGCTCAGTCACTTCATTGTGGGGTGAGGGGCAGGAGGAGGAAGGGGGACAGCTTCCCAGTCCTAAGCCAGTGGACCTCCTCCCAGCCCAGGCCACCTCCCCGCCCGCACCACACCATTGCTGGAATGCACTGAGGAAGTACACACATCTCCTCCATGGCACCAAGCTCACTTAAGAAAGGAAAGCAGAGATGAAGAAGAACTCCAGAAAGCCACGCAGAGTTTAATGCGGACAACTTCAGGGGTAGCTGCCATCCACATTGTCTGTCCACCACACGATGCATTTGTTGCAGAAGGCCCAAGCTGACCATCCCCAAACTGTCCCCCTAAACCAAAGCTTTCTGCTGACTTTCTTGGCGCAAGAGAACCCAGGACCGGGGAACAACTGTCACCAGGTCTCCCTTAGTCCCGTGCCCTACCAATTGTTCCTCAGGCTCTTACTTCAAAGCACACTTGCCCAGAGCTGCCCTTACCGCAAATATCTGGGTGTAACCCGACGCCCGCTGCTGGCCTCTGGTGCTGGGACCGCGCAGTGCTGGAGTGGGGCACAGAGTCCCCATCCATCAGCCACTGTGACTGTGCCAACTCCGTGTTTACTCTGCCTAGAGATGGATGCTGCCCAAACGCCCGGAGCGCTGGGAATGAGGTGGGCTGGCTGGCCAGGATGATTTCTCTGGAAGAACTCAGGCAGGAGCGATAAGCCTGGCATTTCCGCTTATCTCTGACCCTGTCCAGGCCCCAGCGGCATCCAGAGGCTTCACTTGGTTATCTGCCTTGCTGGGCTCTATCTGCCTCCCCGGGGGCCTACTTCCTGCATCACTTAGCAAAGTGTCCAGCTGTGAAACAAACACCGTGTGGTCCAAGGAGGGAGGAATGAAGGGAGGGAGTCCTCGGGCAGAACTGACCTGAGTTCAAAACCCCACATCCGGGTGCAGGGGCCCTGGGGATGTGCAGGGACTCCTTGCATTCAGGGAGCCCTGAGGACAGAGGAGAGGCCGGGTCTGCAGCAGAGAGGTGGCGGCCCTGCAGGTCTTCAGTGGGGCTGCTTGTACCCTGGCCGGACCTGGTCAGTCACTTCTGTGCTGGGAGGGTCCTGCTATTGGCCCTCCAAATAAAACTACTCAGGAGGCAGCAAAGAGGCACAGAGTCCCCAAAGCCTGGGGCTGCAGTGCAGGAGAAGACAAGGAGACAAGGACACGTGGCTCTGTCAGGGACATGCCAGGGAGGGCTCCCTGGCCAGATCTTCCCAAAGCGCCTGGGAGAGACCAAGCTATACACACACACACTGCCATACACACACACACTGCCTCTCTCTCTCCACACACACACACACACACACACACACACACACACACACTCTCTCTCTCTCTCTCTCTCTCTCTCTCTCTCTCTCTCAACTTTGGGACCACAAATTAACTAGCTTGGCTGACGGGAAGGAGAGACAGGGCTGTCGGCTTCTGTACGCACTCACAGCCCCTGCGCTGAGCGCTTTGGCTGCCTCTCCTTATTTGAGACACACTGCAGCCCTGTGGGGTGGGTCATTGTTTGTCATCCCCATTTCACAGAGGAGGAGCAACCTGGGGAACTTTAACAGCTGCCCAGGGCCAGTCCCCCAGAAAGGCATGGGGACAGCGTTCCAACACCATGCTCATCACTCACACCCTCTGCCACTTTCACAGACAGGAGGGATCTCAGACACGAGAAGGGTCATTTCCCTTATTTTGTAGATGGAGATTCTGACGCCCAGAGATGGGAAGGGGCTTTCTGAAGGTCACACAGCACGTAAGTAGCAAAGACAGGGCCAGATGGTAAAACCATTGCCCTTGTAATGACCTGGAACTCCCTGGCTCTGTGGGTTGAGAGGTGTGTGCGGGGTGCGGGGTGAGACTGGATATAGGCTCGGCTCTGACGGTTGTCTGAGAAGATGGGGAGAGGGCCGAGGGGCAGGGACTCCGAGATATTCAATATTGGTTGCTTATTCTTCCATAGTAAAATGTCTATGACCTGTCTCATCCTGGCCATACAGAAAGATGATAAAGCAACAGCCACAGCCCTGCCAGGATGAATCAAGGAGCTGAGCTTGGGAGTAAAACCAAAGTGCAAGTCTGACTTTACAGAAGTGGAGAGGGAAATGGCAGCCTCAGGGAAACCTGGCCTGGTGAGGGGGTGTCCCCACTGGCTCTCCGGTGCCACTGGGTTTGCTCCCAGGATCTTACTGCCTTCTGTGTGCAGTCCTGCACCCCTGGGCGAAGACTTCTCATTTACTCTCTTCCTTCTCCACATGCAAGTCAAACTGTTCCCTGCCTAAGCAAAGTCAAATGGAATCAGCCTGAAAATGCTAGAGAATAACAAAAAAGCACCCCCTGAAGCTAAATCCAGACCAACGGCCATTCATCCATCCATCCATTCATTCACTGAGCAACAACAAACACTTATTAGGAAATAATAACACTAGTGTTGATTGAGCCAGGCACTGTGCTACATCCTTACATCAATTACTGTACTTGCCCCTCACAACAATTCTAGGAGGAAAAAACTGTTATCCCCATTTCACAGGCAAGTAAACTGAGGCACAGGGTGACGAAGGCATGTTCCAAAGTCAGACTCGAGTTTGCCTACAACTGAGGGTAGTGTCACTGCAGCTTTCTTTTCTTTCCTATTTTTTCTGCCCTTTTCTCCACTTTTTTTTTTTTTAATTTTTTTTATTTTTGCTCTGTCACCCAGGCTGGAGTGAAGAGGCGCGATCTCTGCTCACTGCAACCTCTGCCTCCCGGGCTCAAGCAGTTCTCCTGCCTCAGCCTCCCTAGTAGCTGGGATGACAGGCAGGCGGGCACCACCACACCTGGCTAATTTTTTGTATTTTTAGTAGAGATGGGGTTTCATCATGTTGGCCAGGCTGGTCTCGAATCCCTGACCTCAGGTGATCCACCCTCCTTGGCATCCCAAAGTGCGGGATTACAGGCGTTAGCCACCACGCCCAGCCCCTTTTCCACATGCTCTAATCTCACTGAAACTTTCTGCTTTCTGTCTAGAACCCAACTTTTTCTATGAGGGGCTACATCTTCCAGCTGCCAATTCAGAAGACTCAATTATGCTTAAGTTGGAACCAGGACAACCCGCCTCATGCAGGGTTCCATCTGCAAAGTCCTTGAGCACCAGTGCTCGTGATCTCTGCTCATCCAAGGGGGAGGGACCACTGCCCCATTTCACTCGTGGAGAGACTGAGGTCACAGGGAGAGTCCGCACGAAGCTGGGCCTCAGACCTGGCTCTGCTGCTCTGGGGCCTGTGTTCACTGTGGACGAGAGGGTTTCTGGAAGTCCCTTCGACTCCTACAAACACACGCGCAGCTTTGGGACCCCACCTCACCTCCCCGGCTGACAAGAATCAGAGAAGGGACTGCAGGGTCTTGAAGTTAACTCACTTCTCTCAGCCCTACCGTGGGCAGGCCCTGTGCTCAGCACCTTAGCTGCACTGTCTTATTTAATCCCCTTCACTGTGCCCATTCTTGTGGGCTCTGAGCTCTGCTTGTGCCATGGGAAACCCCAAAAGTCTGGACAGGAGTGAGGTTAACACATAGGAACAACAGAGAAAGTGGGACAGTCGCTAACTGCAAGGTGCAGGGGACATGAGTGAGATGGGATGACTATGTAACTCACCAGTGCTCCCAGCCCCACCCCACATCCCATCAAAAGAACTTTCTCTTCACCTGTGAACTCTCTCCCCTCAGTCTACCCCTACCCTCTGAGCTGAGCCCAGTCCCAAGATGTCTTGGTATCAAATCTGAAGAACTGGTAGCAGAGGCGGGACCTGAGGGTCCATAGGAGAGGACTTGGTTGATCTGGGTAGCAAAGTCCCAACACTGGGGCAGGAAAAAGGTGACACAGACACCGAGCAGGGTCTGAGGTCTGGGGAGGGACAGACCCTCAGGCAGCCGCAGGATGTGAGAGAGAATGGGTAAGGGCAGAGGAGGGTTTGGAAAAATGTCTGCTCCAAGATATAAATGGTTGTTGGGGATCAAAAGTTGGAATGACACAGTGGCCAGGGCAGGCTTCTGGGGCCCCACATCTGCAGAAACTCAGCCACATGGTGCCAGCGAACTCAGCATGTAAGAGGGAGGCAAAAAAATTAGGGAGGACTTCTTGGAGGAAATGGGACTTGAGCTGAGCCTTGAATGATGGGCAAGACTTGGAAGGCTAAGAAAAGACGGTTCTAGTGAGGTCACAGAGGGAGCAAAGCTCAGGTGGAGCCTGGCAGGTGGGGGTGAGGATGCAAGGACCACCCTCCAGCCACACGACATCAATGGAGGCCCAGCAGGTGGGACCCTTAAGACAGTGGACCAGGAAAATTAGGCCGAGACATACAGACCTGAAGCAGCAAGACAGAGGGACAGTGATGCTATGGAACATTTTGGGGTGGGCAGTAACATGATAAAGTTAGCATTTAGGAATGAATGGAAGTGATTACCTGGGGTGGGGGGATTGGTGCAGAGAGGATACAAAGTGAATTCTGGGATGCTGGAGGTAAGTGTTTTATGTCTTGGGTGGTGTCACAAGAGTGTATGTGTATGTTCAAATTCCATAGGCTGAGCAGGGCACAGTGGCTCACGCCTGTAATCCCAGCACTTTGGGAGGCTGAGGCAGGTGGATCACCTGAGGTCAGGAGTTCGAGACCAGCCTGGCCAACATGGCGAAACCCGGTCTCTACTAAAAAATACAAAAAATAGCCAGGTGTGGTAGCACACACCTGTAATCCCAGCTACTCAGGAGGCTGAGGCAGGAGAATCACTTGAACCTGGGGGGTGGGGGTTGCAGTGAGCTGAGATTGCACCACTGCACTCCAGCCTGGGCAACAGAGCGAGACTCCATTTCAAAACAAAACAAAACAAAAAACAAATTCCACAGGCTGTAATGTGTGTGTATTGCACTGCATGTAAGTCATGCCTTAATCAGTTCTGCTAGCATGAAAAAAAAAAAAAAAGGAAGGAGGATAGAGGGGAGTGGTAGGGACCAGCATCCACATAGAAGCTCAAATCAGCAAGTGTTTACCACTTCTGGGAAGCATGTTGTTGCCAAAACACAGGGGCGCTAAGTGGAGCAACATCTCAAGGAACGAGTCTTTGAAAGTTCTTCCAAGGCCTCTCATTCTGCCACCCCGCAGGCGGGCAACAGAAGCAGGACCCCTCCCTGCTGCAGGCAAAAAGGCAAAAATCTCTAAGGATATGCAATGCTCTTCCAGGTTTACTAGGTAAAGACTTCACCTCAAGCGTATACATAGAATCCCATTTTTGTTGAAAATATACATGTATGTATGCCAGTATGGTTCATTCCGCCTGTGAGAATTACAGATAATCTCTATTTTCTATATTTCATTTATATTTTTCTAATAAAAAATTAAGTGTGTAGTTTATTACTCAACAATTTTTTTCTATAATAGTCATCATTCACCTAGAGCCAGAGGAATTATTCTAGACAGATGATACGCCTAAGAGACAGGTTTAACTAACCAAGAACACGGAGCAATAGACTCCCGCAGGACCCCAGCTGACGGAAAACATTTACAAACGTTATTGGGAGGTCTGAGGTCAATTGCTTAGGCTTAAATGAACAGAAACATGTCTATTTAGCAGCCGCAGGAAGACTCCTCAGAAATCACACATGTCACGGGGAAGGAACAATTATCCTCCTGTGTGCTTTGTTTTTAAATAGATTCCCCACCCACCTTGGGAAGAAATGTTCCAGACTCCATGTACAACTCATAAACCACACAGTAGAATTGGGAAGTTTTGTAAAGCAAAGTTGGCAAATATTTGGGAACAATCACTACAGCATTCTCAGATGATCTGAGCACCTGTATGACTCATCACAGCGACAGGTGGAAAACAATTCTGAAGTCTGAGTTACACATGCAATTCTCCCAGACCTGTACAAAACCAAAGCAAACCCATGCACTTGCAACCAAGAGCTGCTCATTTTTCTTGTCGTTTTTGATCAGACTCCAAAAGTGTTTTCTGGTGGGTCTACAAGTCCCTAATACACTGCTGAAAACACCCCCCCACACACACACAGTAGGTTTATCACTGCACTTACATACCACTTTCCATCCATGGGTCCCAAGGGATCTGTCCAAAATCTTGTTTTCATAAGTCTCCAGTGAGATGTATAAATATTGTTACCTCCATCTTATACACAGACAAACTTAAACCTGGAGGCAGTTAAGTGGCTTGTCAACAGTTATAACCCAAGACAAGATCTGTGCAAGCTGCCCTCTGGTCTCCCTTCCTCTGCTGGTCGGCCCTCTGAGCGTTCTCGTTGGCTCCAGTTTAAATCATGTCCGTAGACCATTGTTTCCCTGGCAATGGAGGTGGTATTCTATTTCCTGCCCTGAATCTGGCCCGGGGCCCTGACTGCACCGCATTTAGCCACAAGTGCATCAGCCGTGCGTGAGTGGGGACAGCTTGGCTCCCTGGAAACCTAAGTGGCGTGTGTCAGCTGGCCCAGGCCTGCTCAGAGCCGCTCCAGGCCATGCTGCTAATTCCTCCATCATTTGCCCAAAACAACCCACAATGAAGGCGATGACTTCTCTTGGAGCTGGGCGAACAAATGGGAACATCTCAAAGGCAAACTCATTGGCTCTGCTGCAGTCTGGCCCTTGGGGAGAAATAGCTCTCAGGCATCTGGGACCCGGGTGCCTAGATCAAAACAGCCCTCCCTCTGCTCATTTCCGTGGATGAAATGAGCATCCATGCTTTGCTGTAGCAAAGCGTGCAGGTCACTTGTTACATTCCTGATGGGCAACTGAATTTGCACTTATAATTCCCAGCTGCCATGTTTACTTTTATGTTTATTAATTAAGTGTCCTGGAATGACCACTCAGAATTAGATCCAGAAAATAAGAAGTTACTGGGGCATCCACCAGGTAATAAAAATTACTACCTGAAAAGTGTTTCTCTGATGGCTACAGTCACACTAGAAATTGGAAGGGGAGGCTGGGCTGGTTGCTCACACCTGTAATCCCAGCCTTCTGAAAGGCCAAGGTGAAAATAGTGCTTAAGGCCAGGAGTTTGAAACCAGCCTAGGTAACATAGTGGCCCCTGTCTCTACATAGAGACCCCTGTCTCTACAAAAAATAAAGATAAAAAACATTAGCCAGGCATGGTGGCAGGCACCCATAGTCCCACCTACTTGAGAGGTCATGATGGGAGAATCACTTGAGGCCAGGAGTTGGATTCCAAGCTAGGGCAACATGGCAAGATCCTGTATCTAAAAAAAAAAAAAAAAATCAATAATTAGCCAGGTGTGGTGGTGGGTGCCTGTAGTCCCAGCTACTTGGAAGGGTGAGGCAGGAGGATCATTTGAGCCCAGGAGTTGAGGCTGCAGTGCTCTATGATCACGCCACTGCACTCCAGCCTGGGTAATAGCATGAGACCCTGTCTCAAACAAAAAAAAAAAAAAAAAAAGGAAATTGGAGGTGAAGATTTTTGGGTGAATTTCCTGCCAGTTGGTCAGTAAATACCATGTATTGTCACTTTTAACTAATTTCAACTTCTTTGCCTCTAAAGTGCCCTGTGGACCTTACTGGATAACCAAGCACATCACATGAACTAAAGTTGGGTTTGCTGAGTGGCCCATGTGCTCCCCAAAAACCCATGTGTGCTCCTATCAGAGCCAATTAGTGATCACAATACCTCATCTCGGTTGAGCATATATTCATGCCAGGCCTCCTGCCAAGCATTTTAAATTCCTTAGTTTTAAAAAATACTAGGCTGGATGTGGTGGCTCATGCTTGTAATCCCAGCACTTTGGGAGGCCGCAGTGGGCGGATCACTTAAAGTCAGGAGTTCGAGACCAGCCTGGCCAACATGGCAAAACCCTGTCTCTACTAAAAATACAAAAATTGGCCGGGCGTGGTGGCGCATGCCTGTAATCCTAGCTAGTCAGGAGGCTGAGGCAAGGCTGAGAATCGCTTGAACCCGGGAGGTAGAGGAAGCAGTGAACCAAGATTGTGCCATTGTACTCCAGCCTGGGTGACAGAGAGAGACCCTGAAAAAAAAAAAAACTAGGTATGTATCATTAATATCCTTGTTTTACAGATAAGGAAACTGAGGCCTAGAGAGACCACACAGTCACTGTATTAGTTTCTTATGCCTGCTCTAATTACCACAAACTTAGTGGCTCAAAAGAAATTTATTCCTTCATAGTTCAGGAACTATGCTGACTAATGCGTGCTCTAGAGGCCTCGGAGGAGAGCCCATTCCTTGTATCTTCCAGTTGCTGGCAGCCACTGGCTTTCGTGGTTTGTGGCTGCATCGTTCCGGTCTCTGCCTCCAGGACCACACATCCTCCTCTGTGTATGTCACACCTCCCTGTGCCTCCCTTTCATATTAATACACGTGATTGCATCGAGGCCCCCCTGGCTAATCCAGGACAGTCTCCCAATCTCAAGATCCTGAACTTAATCACATCTGCAAGGTCCTTTTTTTGATTTGTAAAGTGACATTCACAGGTTCCAGGGATTAACATAGGAACATCTTTTTTGGGGGGGCCATTATCTAGTCTACCACAGTCACCCATCCTGTTACTATCAGGTGGTGGCTGCAGGTCTCCCTTCTCACGTGCTCAAGAGGGCTCATTAAGCCAGATGGGGTGGCTCACGCCTGTAATCCCAGCACTCTGGGAGGCTGAGGCAGGAGGATCGTTTGAGGCCAGGAGTTCAGAGCCAGTCTGGGCACCACAGGGAGACCCTGTCTCTACACAAAATTTTAAAATTAGCTGGGTATAGTGGTGCATGCCCGGAGCTAGTTACTCTGGAGGCTGAAGCAGGAGGATCACTTGGGCCCACGAGTTTGAGGATGCCATGAGCTATGATTGCACCACTGCACTCCAACCTGGGCAACAGAGTGAGACTCTGTTGAAAGAATGAAAGAACCAAAGAATGAAAGGAAGGAAGGAGAGAGAGAGAGAGAGAGAGAGGGAGGGAGGGAGGGAGGGAGAGAGGGAGGGAGGGAGGGAGGGAGGGAGGGAGAGAGGGAGTGAGGGAGGGAGGGAGGGAGAGAGAGAGAGAGAGAGAAAGAAAGAGAAGGAAAGAGAAAGAAAGAAAGAAAGAAAGAAAGAAAGAAAGAAAGAAAGAAAGAAAGAAAGAAAGAAAGGAAAAAAGAAAGAAAGAAGGAAGGAAGGAAGGAAAGAAAGAAAGAAAGAAAGAAGAAAGAAAGGAAGGAAGGAAGGAAGGAAGAAAGAAAGAGAGAGAGAGTTGGTTAGTGGTGAACGTGTAGCACAGAGGCTAAAAGTCCAGGCTTTGGCACCAGGCAGACTGGGTCTGAAGCCCAGCTCTCTCAGGAATCTGAAGCACTGTGTGACTTAAGCAAGTGACCCAACTGCTCTGGGCCTCAGTTTCCCCATCAAGGCCTACTGCATGGGAATATTTTGAGGATTAAGTGAGAAAATGAATGTGAAACTCATACAACAGTGCCTGCACATAGTCAGGTGCCCCCTTAGTGGTAGCTGCTCTTGTTAAGAGCAGGATATAAGCTGGAGTTCTGACCCAGCCTTGCAAAGGGACACCTGGTGAGTACCAAGTTTCTGCAGATTAAAAAAATGTGAAAATGGGAAGTAAAGTCATTCTGCCACACAGCCAGTGAAATTCAATGCTAATCTCAGCATAGCAGAACTCTGAAAATCTTTTGGTGTGGAATGGTAGAAAAGACCTGCCAGAACTGGCCATGTAAAGGATTTGTGCTCTTTCAAAAGTGAAGACCTCGGCCAGGCGCAGTGGCTCATGCCTGTAATACCAAGCACTTTGGAAGGCTGAGGCAGGAGGATTACTTCAGCCCAGGATTTCAAGACCAGTCTGGGAGACATGGTGAGACCCCATTGCTACAAAAAATAAAAAAAAAGTTAGGCAGGCATGGTGGCATGTCCCGTGCCTATGGTCCCAACTACTCAGGAGGCTGAGGTGACAGGATCACTTGAGCCCAGGAGGTCGAGGCTGCAATGACTTGTGATCACACCACTACACTCCAGCCTGGGCAACAGAGCAAGACCCTGCCTCAAAAAAATAAATAAAAAGAGAGAGGAGACTTCTCCCTTTCTCCAGGGAAGGTGTGGATCTAGATCCTGAAAATGTGTGGTTTTGTCTATAGATGTTCTCTTCAGTTTGTTTTTTTGTTTCTGTTTTTGTTGTTTTCTGTTGTTGGTGTTGGTGGTTTTTTTGAGACAGGGTCTCACTCTGTTACCCAGGCTGGAGTGCAGTGGCACAACCACAGCTTACTGCAGCCTCAACTGCCCAAGCTCAAGGAATCCTCCCACCTTAGCCTCCTGAGTAGCTAGAACTACAAGTGTGCGCCACCATGCCCAGCTAATATTTTTATTTTTAAAATTTTTGTAGAGATGGGATCTCGCTTTGTTACCAGGGCTGGACTCAAACTCCTGGGCTCAAGGAATCCTCCCACCTCAGCCTCCCAAAATGCTGGCATTACAGGAATGAGCCATCGTGCCAGGCCCATGTTCTCATTGCTTTAAATGGGATTTGACTGGAAATTTACATTGTGATAGTCCCTTTGAGGTTAAACTGATTCCAGTTTCAAGACCTATAACAAAAAGAACAACTGATAAATCAAGAACTTAAGAGTGTGGAGAATAAGAAAAATAGGCATAAAATAGTAGGAAACAAACAGTAGGGGAGAAACAAGGACATTTTAAACTTGGGCACTTGTTATAAATATATTTGACAGAAGAAAAGCAAACTGGCTTGTCTCCTTAACTCGGAGCAAAATAAATTTGATTTGATTCTGCTTCATTCACGAACTGGGATAGAATAACACGCTTTATTAAAGAAGTTTTAGTATTTTATTTGGCTGATGTTGAAACTGCACTTCTAAGTTTTACCATATTTATGTATGATCTGCTCGACTTGTTGTATTTCATCCAATTAGGTTTTTCCATTCAACACACCGGGCTTCTTTACAGATATGACCAGGATTTCTTAATTTCAGTGAGAAACATGCTAAGAGTCAATGAAACAAGAAAGCAACAGATTCTGCCTTTTTAGAAAAACTGTAAACTACTTAAATGTCAACCAGTAGGGGAAAGAATGATAGCTCTACATGTACCGACATGGAAAGCCACCCAAGGCATATGACCGAGTTAAAAAAAAATCACAAAATAACATATACAATTTAATCCTGTCTAAATTGAGAAGAGACTGATAATCAGACAGATGAACATGGATACGTAAATCCATTAATAATGGTTGGCAAAGATATACACCCAATTATTAACAGCAGCCACTTCCTGGGAAAAGAGCAGAACTGGGGTGGGGAAATAAAGGGAAAAGCCATCTTGTATCTGCATTTTTACAAGAAACATGTGTTTTTTAGTTTTTTTTTTCTTCCCTTCTTTTTTTTTAAGACAGTGTCTCACTCTGTTGCCAGACTGGAGTGCAGTGGCGCGATCTCACCTCACTGCAACCTCCACCTCCCAGGTTCAAGCGATTCTCCTGCCTCAGCCTCCCAAATAGCTGGGACCACAGGCGCGCGCCACCATGCCCAGTAAATTTTTGTATTTTTAGTAGAGATGGGGTTTCACCATGCTGGCCAGGATGGTCTCGATCTCTTGACCTCGTGATCCCCCTGCCTCAGCCTCCCAAAGTGGGATTACAGGCGTGAGCCACTGTGCTCGGCCTAAGAAGCATGTTTTTGTATATTACATATATATCTTTTAAAGCAATACATTATTTACTTCAATGGAAATAATATGTTAATTTACAGTTCTTTTACTAGAGATACTACCCATGGGATAACAAATACTAAACGTGCATGTGGGATTTTTTTTTCATTTTTCATTAATAAACCAGACAGGATGTCTCTGCCTTGACTCTTCAGATTGATGGACAAGAAGTCCAATAAGGAATAAGCTCATACCCTGAGGACAGGGTAAGTGGGTACCACACAGGGATGAGAGTCCCTACACCCTGGAAGCTGAGGTCAGTTGGGAGAGGGTTAACAGACAAACAGCAGGCGGCAGGGAAGTGCTGCCAGGAGGCCTGTGAGCCGGGAAAGCTCTAGGGTGGATCAACTGTACCCACCTGCTTCTCTCTCTCCTCCCCCACCTTCCCCCATCCCCAGGCCCTCAGTCCAAGCAGCTGGCATCTACCCTCAGGCAAAAGTAAACAAACAAGTCCTTGACAGCTCTTTAAAGCAATTAAGTATTGGTCGGGCGGTGGCTAACGCCTGTAATCCCAGCACTTTGGGAGGCCGAGACGGGCGGATCACGAGGTCAAGAGATGGAGACCATCCTGGCTAACATGGTGAAACCATGTTACTCTACTAAAAATACAAAAAAAAATTACCTGGGCGTGGTGTCGGGCGCCTGTAGTCCCAGCTACTTGGGAGGCTGAGGCAGAAGAATGGCGTGAACCTGGAGGTGGAGCTTGCAGTGAGCCGAGATCTCGCCACTGCACTCCAGCCTGGGCGACAGAGCAAGACTCGGTCTCAAAAAAAAAAAAAAAGGGAAAGAAAAAGAAAAAAGAAATTAAGCAATCCATATTGGAGAATCAAAGGCTTTTATTCATCACCTTGGTACACTAAAGTCCTCATTCTGGGCAATCAAGTGACCTCATCCTCCTCGACCCCATACCCAGAGCACCCAGTCAGAATTCTCACTGGGGAGAAGCCACCGAGTCACATAGACCTTCTTTTTAAGATATGACCAGACAACCAAAGATCACCAAGACATTCCCAGAACCAGCAGCCTGAAAAAGAAAGAGCAAGATATATAGGTGAAAAATGAACTCTGGTGGAAAGATCGTCAGGGAATAGAAGAAAACTTGGCTCAAAGAGGTTTTTTGTTTTTTGTTTGTTTGTTTCGAGACAAGGTCTCGCTCTCTCACCCAGACTGGAGTGCAGTGGTGCAGTCATAGTTCACTGCAGCTGCAATCTCCCGGGCTCAAGCAAGCTTTGCAAAGTGCTAGGACTACAGACATGAGCCACTGTGCCCAGCCGACTAGAAGAGGTTTAAGAAAAAGTTTATAAAACCAGAACAGGTTGATCTGAAAAAAGAATAATCAGAAAACAAGGGGAAGCAATTAGATAGATTAAAAATATGATAGCTGGCCGGGCACAGTGACTCACACCTGTAATCCTAGCACTTTGGGAGGCCTAGGCAGGTGGATCACCTGAGGTCAGGAATTCGATACCAGCCTGACCAATATGGTGAAACCCTGTTTCTACAAAAAAAAAAAAAAAAAAAAATTAGCTGGGCGTGGTGGCGGGCACCTGTAATCCCAGCTACCTGGGAGGCTGAGATAGGAGAATTTCTTGAACCAAGGAGGCAGAGGTTGCAGTGAGCCAAGATCACACCTCTGCACTCTGGCCTGGGGGACAGAGCGAGACTCCATCTTAGAAAAAAAAAAATGATAGCTGAAATAAGATGTTCAAGGAATCATAAAAGAGGAAATTTCCCAGAACCTAGGGGAAAAAATAAACTGTGAAAGAACAGATGAGAAACAAAAGGACAATTCAAAACTCCACAATTCACTAATGGAGTCCCAGGAAAAGAGAATAAAGACTGGGGTGAACTGCAGTCTGCCATTCACTGCAATCAAAGACTGCGCTCCAGCCATTTCCCCACCTTTGCATCTTTCACTCCCAGGGCATCTGATGGGAACCTGTTTGGCGGCCACTGTGGAGCTTAGCTCCTGGATTTACTGTCCCACAAAGACTGCGGGATGGTATTTTGAGGAAGGGGCATTGACAGAGGGTGGTCAAAAAAATGAGAAATGTGCACGACTTTTTTAATGTGGCCTGCTTGCACCAAGGAAGCCAGGGCCATAGCCTGTGTGTGGACGCTTGCTGTCTAGGGATAACTCATTTGAGTCATTAAAAGAAATGCTAAAATCAGAGCAGAGTGAGCAGAGCCCTTCAGCTCATCACTGACGACTTGTCTCCAGGGTGACATCAGTTCACCCTCTTTGGGTGTGGTTGTTCAATTGCTTACAATCGCACACAAGTCCCCAGCTCATGTTTCTCCATGTTTGGACAAGAACATCACAACTTTTGCAATCCCTTGGTCTACAGCATAGAGCAGGCATTGTCTTGCATGAGTGCCTGGCTAAACCCAGTCTACATTGATGGTAGATTTCTATCAATTTGAAACAACTGGATTTTCCATCCTAGGAAGTTAAAAATTGGTCTGGTAAGACACAGATTCTAGAGACAGTCTTTAGGTTTCAGCCTAGAGAGGCCATCAACGCCCATAAATCAGAAAGGACAGGGTGAAAAAAAAAAAACACAAATGAGGATGTACAAGACAAAAGGCTCAGATAACAAAGAAAGTATCTTTGTCAACAATGGGGGTTGTGGGGTAAGAGTAGGGCTGTGATGTAGATAGAAGTAGATTAACTAAGCAGGGATGGTGGATTACTCTGCCTGTAATCCCAGAACTTTGGGAGGCTGAGGTGGGTGGATTGCTTGAGCTCAGGAGTTCAAGACCAGCTTGGGCAACATGGCAAAAACCCCACCTTTACAAAAAATACAAAAATTAGCTGGGCATGGTGGCATGTGCCTGTGGTCCCAGCTACTTAGGGGGCTGAGTCGAGAGGATCGCTTGAGCCCCAGAGCCCAAGGCTGCAGTGAGCCATGGTTGCACCACTGCACTCCAGCCTGGACAACAGAGCAAGACCCTGTCTCAAAAAAAAAGAAGTAGCAGATTAACTGGAGACCTGGAGACTTTCAAACCTCAAATGAAGGAGCAGAATCCATTAAAGACAGGTTTAGGGAAGTCATTAAGGTTAGAGGCAGAAAGATGAGAACATGGTAAGAATTCTTAGGAAAGGAGACTTTTGAAATAATATTTTGTTCAGGAAGAAGTGGTGACACCAATGAAGAGAGAACACAGTAACTGAAATAAAAGCCAATCAAAATATGAACAAGGGCAGGCATAGTGGCTCATGCCTGTAATCCCAGCACTTTGGGAGGTTCAGGCGGGTGGATTGCTTGAGTCCAGGAGTTCAAGATCAGCCTGGACAACACAGCGAGACCCCTGTCTCTACAAAAATACAAAAATTAGCCGGGTGTGGTGGTGCACCTGTAGTCCTAGCTATTTAGGAGGCTGATGTAGGAGGACTGCTTAAGCTCAGGAGTTTGAGACTGCAGTAAGCCATGATCACACCACTGCAGTCAGCCTGGGCAACAGACTGAGACCCTATCTCAAAATCCAAAACAAAATATAAACAAAATACTTGAATCCACCATTTGAATCTGGGCCAGGTGCAGTGGCTCATGCCTGTGATCTCAGCATTTTGGGAAGCCAATGTGGGAGGATCGCTTGAGCTCAGGAGTCTGAGGCTGCAGCGGGCTGTGATCATACCACTGCACTTCAGCCTGGGTGACAGAGTGAGACCCTGTCTTAAAAAAATAAAAATAAAAATAGACCCCAAAATCCCCCAAAATTTGAATCTGAAAAGAAAACCTACAACATATGTAGCGAGAACACCTGCATCAACCAGAAAGGTTACAATGAGCACTTGGCCTTCTGCGCTTGGAAGTAACATTACCAACACAGCTTAAGGACAAAAAGGTCTTTATATCCACTGAAATCCTCTATTTTCTAAATAATACCTATGTTGCTTTCCTAGTCAGTTGCAATAATGCTAAGCTATTTGAAATGTGTTTTCCTGTTTCTCCTCCACCCAACAAGCTGTCAGTACTTCCGCTCCAAAACAGGAGTCACACTGACCTAGGTTTGTATCCAGGCTCTGTCACGTATGAAGTATGTGACCTGGAGCAACTTTCTTAGCTCTTTGAGCTTTGTTTTCCTGATTTGTAGTGATCGAACACAATCATACATGGAAAGTATTTGGTACTGTGTCCACAGCAGTGACTACTCCAGAAATGGTCACTCTTTACTACTGTTTTTACTATTGTTTCTTGTAACCACACTCAAATGTTGGCACACCATAAAAGAATTCATAACTGCTCACATGTGTTCAAGTGATTTTTTTTTTTTTTTGAGACAGAGTCTGGCTCTGTCGCCCAGGCTGGAGTGCAGTGGCACAATCTTGGCTCACTGCAACTTCTGCCTCCCGAGTTCAGTGCCTCAGCCTCAGCCTCCCCAGTAGCTGGGATTACAGGCGCATGCTATCATGCCTGGCTAGTTTTTTTTATTTTCAGTAGAGACAGGGTTTTGCCATGTTGGCCAGGCTGGTCTTGAACTCCTGACCTCAAGTGATCTGCCTGCCTTGGCCTCCCAAAGTACTGAGATTACAGGTGTGAGCCACCACGCCCAGCTTCAAATGATTCTTTTAACTTGTAACAAACATGAGTTCTACTTTTTTTTAGGTGTTTTATATTCTTACAATCTCAAAATCCCACTTAAAACTTTGGACCCCAGGTTTCCTGATGAAGAGCAGGGGTGATATTTATCCGTATCCCTAACGGCAAGGGCATGTGTCTCCCAACCGAAATGGGGCACCTGGCAAGCTTCTGGCAGAGGCATTGCTGTTGCTGGTGACGTGAAATGACAGCAACCAGAGGCCAATAAGTGAGCGGTTTGTTTTGTTGTATTCTTATTTTACTAAAGAGATAAAATTTTCCAAGCAAAAGAAAAGTGAAGCTTAACAGGTCTATCACGGGAGCCTTGGGAGTCTCATTCCCAGATCACATCCCTGATCAGCCACTGGTTTGTTTTTTTTTTGAGATGGAGCCTCGCTCTGTCTCCCAGGCTGGAGTGCAGTGGCATGATCTCTGCTCACTGCAAGCTCCGCCTCCCGGGTTCACACAATCTCCCACCTCAGCCTCACGAGTAGCTGGGACTACAGGTGCCCACTACCACGCCTGGCTAATTTTGTTTTTGTATTTTTAGTAGAGATGGAGTTTCACCGTGTTAGCCAGGATGGTCTTGGCCAGGATGGTCTTGATCTCCTGACCTCATGATCTGCCCACCTCGGCCTCCCAAAATGCTGGGATTACAGGCGTGAGCCACCGCGCCCAGCCCTTTTTTTTTTTTTTTTTTTTTTTTTTTTTTTTTTATGGAGACAGTCTTGCTCTGTCGCTCAAGCTGGAGGGTGCACTCTTGGCTCACTGCAATCTCTGCCTCCTGGGTTCAAGAAATTCTCCTGCCTCAGCCTCCCACATATCTGGGATTACAGGCGTGTGCCACTACCACCTGGCTAATTTTTGTATTTCTAGTAAAGACAGGGTTTTACCATGTTGGCCAGGCTGGTCAGTTGAATTCCTGACTTCAAGTGATCCACTCGTCTCGGCCTCCCAAAGTTCTGGGATTACAGGTGTGGGCCTCCACTCCCGCCTCCTGGTCAGCCACTCTATAGCTGCATAGAAACAGAAAGGGCAGACTCTGGAAACAGCTCGGATACATGGGAAGCAACTTGAAATCACCATCTGCTTCATCTATTGCAAAGAAAAATCTGTCACATATGGGCAATTATCATGGAAACATGAAGCAATTTTCTATGGAGTACTTTCTAGATATGTTAGATATGAAACATCAGAAAGAATACCAAAACTCCAAAGATCACTTGGAGAGCAGATAGATTTGGGCATTAAGACATAACCCCTCCCAGGCCAAGTGCGGTGGCTCACGCCTGTAATCCCAGCACTTTGAGCGTTCAAGGCAGGTGGATCACTTGAGGTCAGGAGTTTGAGACCAGACTGGCCAACATGGTGAAACCCCATCTCTAATGAAAATACAAAAAACTAAATGGGCATGGTGGTGTGCACCTGTAGTCCCAGCTAATTGAGAGGCTGAGGCAGAAGAATCACTGGAATCTGGCAGGCGGAGGTTGCAGTGAGCCAAGATCGTACCATTGCACTCCAGCCTGAGTGACAGAGCAAGACCCTGTCTCAAAAAAAAACAAAAAACAAAAAAACCACAATCCCCACTGAAACAACCCCATTCAACGGTTGTTCTCAAAAATGGTCAAGTGATTTAAATAGACATTTCTATAAAAAGGACACAGAAATAGCCAATAAGCACATGACAAGCTTCTCAGTATCACTAGTCATTAGGGAAATGTAAGTTAAAACCACAATGAAATACCACTTTACACCCATTAGAATGGCTATTACTTACAAAAATAGAAAATAACAAGTATTGGTGAGGAGGTGGAGAAACTGGGACACTGTGCATCGCTGATGGGAATGCAAAAATGATGCAACCACTATGGAAAACAGTTTGGTGATTTCTCAAAAAGTGAAACATAGGATTACCACATGATCCAGCAGTTCCACTCCTAGGTACATAACCGAAAGAATGGAAAACTGGAACTCAAACAAATACTGGTACACCTATGGTCACAGCAGTATTATTCACAGTAGCTCAGAGGTGGAAACAACCCAAATGTTCAACAGATGAATGGGTAAGCAAAATGTGGAATATATACACGACGGAAAATTATTCAGCCTTATTATTACTCATTCAGAAGGAATGAAATTCTGATACCTGATACAACATGGATGAAGCTTGAAACCATTATGCTAAGTGAAATAAGCCAGATACTGAAAGGCAAATGTTGTTATGATCCCACTTATATGAGGTACCTAGAATAGGCAAATTCATAGAGACGAACAGTAGAATAGAGGTTGCCAGGGGCTGGGGAAGGAGGGAATGAGGAGTTACTGTGTAAGGGGTACAGAGTTTTAGTACGGGATGATGAAAAAGTTCTAGAATTAGATAGTAGTCACTGATACACAGCATTGTGAATGCCCTTAATGTCACTGAAATGGACAGTTAAAAATGATTAAAGCCAGATACGGTGCTTCATGCTTTTAATCGCAGCACTTTGGGAGGCCGAGGCGGGCAGATGGCTTGAGCCCAGGAGTTCGAGACCAGCCTGGACAATACAGAAAAGCCCTGTCTGTACAAAAAACACAAAAATTAGCCAGGTGGGGTGGCAAGTGCCTGTTGTCCCAGCTACTTGGGAGGTTGAGGAAGGAGAATTGCCTGAGCCCAGGAAGTTGAGGCTGCAGTGAGCTGTGATCGTGCCACTGCACTCCAGCCTGGGTGACGGAGCAAAATCAGCTCCTGTAATGTGCCCACCACCAAGCCCAGCTAATTTTTTGTATTTTTAGTAGAGACAGCGTTTCCCCATGTTGGCCAAGTCTCCAGCTCCTGACCTCAAGTGATCCGCCCACCTTGGCCTCCCAAAGTGCTGGGATTACAGGCGGCATGAGCCACCGTGCCTGGCCAGAAGTGACTTTTTTAATTGACAAAAAAGAAAGAGGCCAGGTGCTGTGGCTCACGCCTGTAATCCCTGTCTTGGAAAAAAAAAAAAAAAAAAAGAAAAGAAAAAATGGTAAATGTTGTTATATAGATTTTACCACAACTAAAAAAAATGTAACTCCACCTCAACCCACATTCTAAAGTTCTTGGGCCATATATAATGCATAAAAATGTTTGATAAGTACATCTGGGAAACAGCTCAGCCTAGGAATGTGATACCATAATAGATAATAAATAATAAAAGGATCTGAAGTAGATTTCTCTTACTGGTAAGGTCAGAAGTGACTTTTTTTTTTTTTTTGGAGACAGAGTCTCATTCTGTCACCCAGGCTGGAATGCAGTGGCCTGATCTCGGCTCACAGCAACTTCCACCTCCTGGGTTCAAGCGATTCTCATGCCTCAGCCTCCTGAGTAGCTGGGATTACAGGCGCCCACCACCACACCCAGCTAATTTTTTGTGTTTTTAGTAGAGACAGGGTTTCCCTGTGTTGGCCAAGTCTCCAGCTCCTGACCTCAAGTGATCCGCCCACCTCGGCCTCCCAAAGTGCTGGGATTACAGGCGGCATGAGCCACCGTGCCTGGCCAGAAGTGCCTTTTTTAATTGACAAGAAAGAGGCCAGGTGCAGTGGCTCACGCCTGTAATCCCAACACTTTGGGAGGCTGAGGTGGGTGGATCACTTGAGGCCAGGAGTTTGAGACCAGCCTGGCCAACATGGTGAAACCCCATCTCTACTAAAAATACAAAAATTAGCCGGGTATGTTTGCGCACACCTGTAATCCCAGCTACTCAGGAGACTGAGGCACGAGAACCACTTGAATCCGGGAGGTGGAGATTGCAGTGAGCCGAGATCGGGCCACTGCACTCCAGCCTGGGTGATGAAGCAAGACTGTCAAAAAAAAAAAAAAAAAAAAAAAAAGAAAGAGAAGAAGGAAAGGGAAAAGGAAGGAAAGGAAAGGAAAGGCAAAGCAAAGCCAGAGCTTTTTGAGAGCTATGTTGTTAATAAATACACAGTGAATGAAGATTAGTACGGAGATCAAAGTGAAGGCATGGGCTTTACCATGCAGCAGGAAAATTAGTTAGAATCTCAAGAGTTTTTTTATTAACAGCAACTCATTAAAATCAATATGTAGCCTACTTGCACATTTTAAAACCTTACAGTAAATATAAATATGAGCTAAATAATAAAGGTGGGGTACTCCTACATTCAGCCAAGATAAAGCAGGACTAGATTTACCCTCCTAAGGTAACAACCAAGGATCTGGACAGGATATAGGAAAGATCACTGCTCAAGACACTGGACATGGGTGATGCGGACAGTGAGGCATGAGAAGTGACGAGAAAATGAGGTGAACCCTCTGATGGCCCCAGCATCCAGATAACTAGAGAAAAAGTAGATGTTAAGCAGAGACATGGAACACATTTTTACTTTTAAATTTTTTATTTATTTTTATTTTTTTGAGATACAGTCTCATTCTGTCGCCCAGTCTGGAGTGTGGTGGTGCAATCTCGGCTCACTGCAACCTCCACCTCCCAGGTTCAAGCAATTTTCCTGCCTCAGTCTCCCAAGTGGCTGGGACTACAGGCCTGCACCGCTAAAGGTAGTGGCTGCTGTAATCACGCAGGCTGCAGCAGGGGCTACACACTCCATGGAGCCTGAGGGAGCCCCGCCCCTGCTAAGTTGGAGCCAGGAGCTCCCCGGGTGCAACTGCAGCCAGCCAAACCCCAGCTGCAGACCCAGACGTCCTGACCTACGGAGCAGGCCAGGAGCCCTGCCCTCCCAAACTACAGCTGTGGATCCGAGCCTACCTGTGCTCTTGTGGGGGCGGGGTGTGGGGGGAGCGCAGGAACAGGCAAGATCTACCCTCCCAGGTGCAGCGGACCTGTGGCTGCAGACCTGGGCCTCCCACTCTACAGAGGAGGCAGGAGCTGGGGGACAAGCGTGAGCCTTCCGAGTTGGCGGGATGGGAGCTCCAGGGTGCAGCTGTGGCTGCCCTCCCAGGTGCAGGACCGGACATCTCTGCAGCCTGCACCCTCCAAGGCCCCAGGAAGGACCCTCCGCCCATCTCTGCAGGCTCAGAGGTTTCCGCTCCCACTGCCTGGCCTCTCTTGGCTCCTGGCGCCTGCTCTCATCTCAGAGTGGGGTTGGGGCCCAGCCCCAGGGCCATGAATGGCAGCAGGAGACAGACAGAGTCCTGGGCAGAAGAGGCAGGTCCCCAGGAAGTCCCCATCTTCAACCAGGGAGGGCCAGAAGGCTGGGGACTGGGCTGCCAGTCCAATGGACTGGAGTGGGGACTTTTGCTGCCTTTTCCTGCTGGCCTATGGCGGCCCATGACACCCATGGACCAATGGGCACACACTTCCTCCCCTCTGAGGTCCATAAAGGCCCTGGGCTCAGCCAGAGCAGGGCAGCAGACAGCCAGAGGATGAAGGGGGCAGAGAGACAACAGGATGATCAGCTGCAGAGAGGAGTACCCTGTCTGCTGAGAGCTGGAGAGGATGGGACAACCACCTGCAGAGAGGAGCTACCCTCTCTGCTGAGAGCTTTAGTGACTACCTGACCGCACAGAAGAGGCACCCTTTCCAGGGCCTCCTCTCCACTGAGAACTGCAGATATCTGGGACAACCAGTTGCACAGAGGAGCTACCCTCTCCAGGGCCTCCTCTCTGCTGAGAACTGAACACTTGGTGGATGACCTGCCTATAGAGAGGAGCTACCCCCTGCAGGTCTCCTCTGAGCTACTGTAACACTTAATAAAGCTCATTTTCATTTGCTGAGTTGTTGTAATACTTGATAAAGCTCATCTTCATGTTCACCCTTCACTTTGCTGAACGCTGGACAAGAACTCAGACAATTGGTCACCCTTCACTTGTCTGCTCTTCCTGGACACAGACAGGACAAGAACTCAGGCAAAGGTGCCATGGCCTGCAGAGGTTTCTGGGAAGAAAACTGACATCCCAAAGATCCCGGCCATGCTTTAGTAGATGTTGACCAGGCTGTTCTCAAACTCCTGCCCTCAGGTGATCTGCCTACCTCTGCCTCCCAAAGTGCTAGATTACAGGTGTGAGCCGCCCACTGGGCCTGCCTGGAAAACATTTGTTGAAGTCCGAAGTTGAAATTCTAGAGATGAAACCTAAAACATTTTAGATGAAAAATACACTGGATGGGACTAAAGGCAGGTTAAACACTACAAAGGACAAAGATTAGTGAAGATTAAGACACAGTCATAACAATAGAACTATCCAAAAAAAAAGAGGAAAAAAAAGAGCAGTAAGCTGTAGGACTTTAAGTGGCCTAATATATGTGTAATTGGAATGTCCAAAGGAGAGGGGAGAAAATAATGGCCACGTCATTTCCAAATTTGATGAAAACTATAAACCCAGCCAGGTGCGTTGGCTCACATCTGTAATCCTAGCACTCTGGGAGGCTGAGGCTGGAGGATCACTTGAGCCCAGGAGTTTAAGACAAGCCTGAGCAACATAGTGAAACCTCATCTCTACAAAAAATTTAAAAAATTAGCTAGGCCTGGTGGCATGAACTTGTAGTCCCAGCTACTTGGGAGCCTGAAGCAGGAGAATCGCTTGAGCCCAGGAAGCAGCATGCAGTGAGCCAAGATCGCACCACTGCACTCCAGTCTGGACAACAGAGCCAGACCCTATAAAAACAAAGAAAATAAAATGAAAGAAGAAAGAAAGGAGAGAGAGACAGAGAGACAGAGAGAGAGAGAGCCAACTATAAATCCACAGATAAAAAGAAGAAGCTCAATGAACCTCAAGCACAAGAAACATCACTCTGTCATCAGGCCTCAGTTAAATGTCATCTTCCCAGAGAGACCTTCCCTTACCAGAAAACCCTAAGAATCATTATATCATTAACTTGTCTTTAAAGTGGTTTCCTTTTTTATTGCGTATCCTTACCCCCACCCTAAAGTAAGCTCCGCAAGGACAGGGACCTTGTCTGCATCCTCACCACCGAGTTCCCAGGGCCTAGCAGAACACCTGACATTTAGCAGGTGCTCAATACGTACTTCATGAATGAAGAGTAAATGACCTCTTCCATTCGTAAGCTTTAGGAATCAATTCCTATTTCAAAATCCCTCTCAAATGATCAAAAACCATTCTTTTTGCAGTCCCAACCTTTCCTTCTGCTCCCAGACTAATATAATGTTATCATTCAACAATATTGGCCAGCCGCAGTGGCTCAAGCCTGTAATCCCAGCACTTTGGGAGGCCAAGATGGGTGGATCATCTGAGGTCAAGGGGTTTGAGACTACCCTGACCAACATGGTGAAAACCTGTCTCTACTAAAAATACAAAAATTAACCGGGTGCGGAGGTGCACACCTATAGTCCCAGCTACTCTGGAGGCTGAGGCAGAAGAATCACTTGAACCCAGGAGGCAAAGGTTGCAGTGAGCTGAGATTGTGTTACTGCACTCCAGCCTGGGCAACAGAGTGAGTGTCCGTCTCAAAAAAAAAAACACAAAAACAAAACCCCAAAAAAGGCCAATATGGTGTTTATTAGCACTAATTCTATCTATCATCTATCTATCTATCTGAGTCAGGGCCACTTTTTAAAAATTTGACATAATTGTACATATTTAAGAGATACATAGTGATATTCTGATAATACAGTGTAGAGTGATCAAATCAGGGTAACTGGCATATCCATCATTTCAACCAGTTATCGTTTCTTCGTGTTGGGGACATTCAATATCCTCTTTCTAACTATTTGAAACTATATATTAGCCTGGGCAATATTATGAGACTCTGTCTCTACAAACTACTTTTAAAAAATTTAGCCAGTCATGGTGGCACCCACCTGTAGTCCCAGCTACTCGGGAGGCTAAGGTGGGAGGATTGCCTGAGCCCAAGAGTTTTAGGCTGCAGTGAGCCAGGATCACTCCACTGCACTCCAGCCTGGCCAATACAGTAAGACCCTGTCTCAAAAAAAAAAAAAAAAAAGAAAGAAACTATGTATTATTAACTATAGTCATCCTACGGTGCTATGGAACACTAGAATTTATTCCTTCTCTCTAGCGGCAATTTGTAACACTAATTCTTTTTGACTAATAGTAAAGTCACTTCATTTCCTGAGGAATGACCTATTAAAAAACTATCCTTCCTCTCCAGACTGACTCCAGGTAAGGTTCCAGCAACCCCACTGCCTGGCGTGCCATCCAGCTCTACCAATCGTGTATTCCTAGCACTCCAATAGACCATCATTTTCATCGATACAGCAGTTTACTAAACAACTGCTCTGGTAAACAGTTTATGCTTTATATACATTGTCTAATCTATGAGGAGTTTACAGAGGAGCAAACTGAGATCTAGGAAGGTGAAGTGACATACCGAGTCACATCATTAGTAAGTGGCAAAGCCAGAATATAAATCCAAGTCGGTCTGTTTGACTCCAAAATATTGTTCTTTATGCCACACTAAGAAGAAATTTAAAGTGTTATGAAATTGTAGCTAAGAATCAAACAGCATACATCTCTCTAGGAGGGTCATAAACTTTTAATCATCTTTTCTGTCTGATAAAATGAAAAAAACCAAATTCTTAATATGTATGTTTGACAACTCAGTCACAGAGCCTCTGCTATTGCCTGAAATAAGAATCAACAACAAATCATTGCCTCAGCCAAAATATTTTCTCTTAAAGCTAGAAACATTTTAAAATCTGAAGTCTTGGGACACAAAAATTATTTTACATAAATTCATGTATCAAAGACATGTAATTGAATCAAGAAAAATAAAGTCTCTATATTCTAGGGATTGGCTGAAGCAAAACATATTTCATTGACTTTAAGATGCGCTTTTTAAAATGTTGTTGTTGTTGTTGTTGTTGTTTTGGAGATGGAGTCTCGTTCTGTCACCTAGGCTGGAGTGCAGTGGTGTGATCTCGGCTCACTGCAAGCTCCATCTCTCGGGTTCACGCCATTCTCCTGCCTCAGCCTCCCAAGTAGCTGGGACTACAGGCGCCCGCCACGACCCCTGGCTAATTTTTTGTATTTTTAGTAGAGACGGGGTTTCACCGTGTTAGCCAGGATGGTCTCAATCTCCTGACCTCGTGATCCGCCTGCCTTGGCCTCCCAAAGTGCTAGGATTACAGGCGTGAGCCACCACGGCTGACCCTTTTTTTATTTTTTATCTTAGGTAAAGACAGGGTTTCACCATGTTGCCCAGGCTGGTCTTGAACTCCTGAGCTCAGGAGATCCACCCACCTCAGGCTCCTAAAGGGCTGGGATTACAGGCGTGAACCACCATGTCTGGCCAAGATGCACTTTCTTCCCCCACTTTTTAACATCTCTGAAATTCACGTGCATCATACAATCAATGGTATCTGACACCATCAGCCAGGTAGCAGTTGTGGTATGGTTATCATTGTCTGCACATGAGTGAACTTGGCCACAGCTGTTCATCATCATTAATTCTATGTCTAAATAAGTCTAAAATAAATTTTTTTTTTTTTTTTTTTTTTTTTTAGAGACAGAGTCTTTCTCTGTCACCCAGGCTGGAGTGCAGTGGTGTGATCACAGCTCACTGCAATGTCAAACTTGTGGGCTGAATCCTCCTGCCTCAGTTTCTTAAGTAGCTGGGTCTATAGGTGTGCATCTTGCCTGGTTAATTTTTTTTTTTTTTTTTTTGTAGAGAGGCTGTCTCCCTATGTGGCCCAGGCTGGTTTCAAACTTCTTGTCACAAGCAATCCTCCTACCTTGGCCTCCCAAGGTGCTGGGATTACAGGCATGAGCCACCATGCCCAGCCTAAAATAATTTTTAAGTACAAAATTAAAATGTTAAAGGTTAATTGGCTTCCTTATATGTGTTACATGACACAAAAGTGTATTTGACAGCTGACGGTGTCTTAGATCGAATGAGGTTCAATATTTTGTTCAGAAAGACTTTTTTTTTTTTTTTTGAGACAGAGTCTCGCTGTGTCGCTCAGGCTGGAATGCAATGGCATGATCTCAGCTCACTGCAACCTCTGCCTCCTGGGTTCAAGCAATTCTCCTGCCTCAGCCTCCTGGGTAACTAGCATTACAGGCGCCCACCACCACGCCCAGCTAATTTTTTTGTATTTTTAGTAGAGACGGAGTTTCACTGTGTTGGCCAGGCTGGTCTCAAACTCCTGACCTCATGATCCACCCACCTAGGCCTCCCAAAGTGCTGGGATTACAAGCGTGAGTCACCGTGCCCAGCCGCAATAAATTTCTTAATGGTTATCTCCTACTGGTCCTCTTTCCTTGGTTGAACCCTGACTGACAATGCTTTACCCTCAACAGATAAAAGCAAAAAGGAAACCCTATAGTAAGATTAGGGCATAAAACATTACAATATTTCAAATGGCCATTTTGGGGGGCATCCTGGAGGTTTTTGCACTCCAGAAAATGCTCCACAGTAAGATTCAGATGAGTGAAGGTTTCAACTTTATTTTGCCAGGTTGGGGAAGGACTGGAGAGAAAGGGGTGGTAGAAAAGAACTTATATGATGCCATAGTAAATAATAAAATAGAAGTTGAGGTTCTGGAATTGAGTTCCTTAAAATTACCAGTTGGAGATAAATATAATAGAGAATAGAAAACCAATAGAGAGAATCAATGAAACCATAAATTGGTTCTTTGAAATGATCAACAAAATTAACAAACATTTAGCTAGACTAAGGAAAAAGAAGAGGCAAATGAGTAAAGTCAGAAGTGAAAGTGAGGACATTACTACTGACCATACAGAAACACAAAGGATTATAAGAAAAGACTATGCACAATTGTATGCCAACAAATTAAATAACCTAGATGAAACAGACAAATTCCTAGAAACACACAAACTACCTAAATGACTCAAGAAGAAATAGAGAATCTCAACAGACACATAACGAGAGATTGACTCAGTAATCAAAAACCTTTCAACAAAGGAAAGTCCAGAACCAGATGGTTTCACTGATGAATTCCATAAAACATTTAAAGAATTTTTCTTTTTTTTTGAGACGGAGTCTCGCTCTGTTGCCCACGCTGGAGTGCAGTGGCATGATCTTGGCTCCCTGCAACCTCTGCCTCCTGGGTTCAAGCAATTTTCCTGCCCCAGCCTCCCAAGTAGTTGGGATTACAAGTGAGCACCACCATGCCTGACTAATTTTTGTATTTTTAGTAGAGATGGGGTTTTGCCATGTTGGCCAGGCTGGTCTCAAACTCCTGACCTCAGGTGATCCCCCTCCCTCAGCTTCCCAAAGTGCTGGGAATAGAGGCGTGAGCCACTGCACCCAGCCTAAGGAATTTTAATATCAAATACTTCTACAAAACAGAACAGGAGGCAACACATACTAACTCATTCTATGAGGCCAGCATTACCCTGATATAGACAGACAAAGACATCAAAAGAAAAGAAAATTAAGCTGGGCACAGTGGCTCATGCCTATAATCCCAACACTCTGGGAGGCCAAGGCAGTAGGATCACTTGAGCTCAGGAGTTTGAGACCAGCCTGGGAAACATAGTGAGACCTCATCTCTACAAAAAATTTTTTAAAATCCGCTGGGTGTGGTGGTGTGTGCCTGTAATCCCAGCTACTCAGGAAGCCTGAGGCCAGAGAATTGCTTGAGCCCAGGAAATTGAGGCTGCAGTGAGCTGTGATCATGCCACTGCATGCCAATCTGGGTGAGAGAGCAAGACCTTGTCTCAAAAAAAAAAAAAAAAAAAAAAAGAAAAGAAAAAGAAAATTACAATAAACATTAGCAAGATGGCAGAAAAGGAGAATGCTGACTTCATCTCCTCTCACAGACACACCAAATAAACATCTACGCACAAATTAAATCCCTCTGAGAGAATGCCAAAAACTAGTTGAAAGACTCTAACACACTGAGCAACTGAGAAAATATTCACATCAAAACAGGTAGTAAAAGCTGAGACACCTTTGTGCACAAACCCCACCACAGGGACAGCACTTTACAAACAGGAAGCATCCCCCAACTCCCAGCTTCTCCCTCAGGAATGAAGAGTTTGTTTGTGAGCTCATCTAACTTGTAGAGTTAAAGGGCACTTCCAGTGGCTGTAGCCCACCCAGGATCAGTCCAGAGAGAATAAGCTAAGAGGCCCAGCTCCAAGTATCTCTCTGAAAGAGGTCTGTCTGCATACTTTTCCAGCTACTGCCTGAGGGTCGGGCTTCTGGCTAGCCTGTATCTGGGAGCAAACAGAGCAGATAAACAATAAACCTCTGAAAGGCTCTAGGGAAGAATGGGCACTTCCTGTACCTTCTCCACCAGCTCAACTAAGTGATAAATCCAGGTCTGCAGATTTCCTGGAAAAAGTATATGTATGCATCAAGTGCCCCAATTTTAACAGTTCCCATATGAGGAACTGATTCCTAAATCACCTAGCTCTGGGAGTTGACAGGGCTCTGTATTCTGGAGTCTCCCCAGAACACAGAAGACAAAAAAAGCTGGTTGCTAAATGGGTGCACATCCAGTGGATTCCTTTGAAACTCGGAATGTGCAGACTGCATAAAAGTGCAGGCATTTGCCACAGATCCTCTTCCAGGCTTAGGACAGAGTAAGTGGGAGATAAACTCTAGCTCCCAGCTTCTCCCTGAGGTAGAAGGAATTGGAACATAAATCTAGCACTCCGACTTTTCAAGCTGCATCTCAAGGGACTGGCTTCTATCTCACATATCTTGGGGTGCTGACAGAACTTGGCACACCCTAGTATCCAAAGGGCCATGAAGAACAAAGCAATTTGGACAAGCAAAAAGATATGAGAGGCATCTAGAATTAGAATATCTGGTAGGGCTGGTTGGTGAGGTCCATCTCCCAGATGAGGCCAGTGTGACAAGACTAGAAGAGGTGGCTGTCTTACCTACTGTGCAAAAACCAACACAGAAAGTCAAGAAAAGTGAAGAAACAGGGAAATATGTTACAAATAGAACAAGATAAATCTCCAGAAACAGAACCTAGGGAAATAAAGATACGTGATTTACCTGATAGGGAATGTGAAATAGGTCATAAAGACGTTCACCAAGATTAAGAGAGCAATTCTTGAACTGAAAATTTCAACAGAGATAGGAAATATTTAAAATTATCAAGCAGAAATCGCAGAGCTGAAGAATAACTGAACTGAAAAATTCAATAGCATTCAACAGCAGACTAGATCAAGAAGACAGGATCAGTGAACTAGAAAAGAGGTCAATCACAATCACGCAATCTGAGAAGTAAAAATAGAATAAAAGAGTAAAGATAACTTAAAAGACTTATTGGAAAGCATTAAGGAGAACAATTTATACATTACTGGAGTACTAGGAGGAGAGAGAGAGAAAGAGATGGCTGAAAACTTCCCAAGACTGGGGAAGAAAAGAGAAATCTGGATCCAGGAAGCCCAAAGGATGCCAAATAAGAAGAATCCAAAGAGATCTACACAGAGACATATTATAATCAAACTAACAAAAGGTAAAGACAAAGAATTTTGAAGCAGCAAGAGAAAGGCAGCTTGGTACATACAAGGAAATCCACATTAGACTAACCGTTTTCAGCAGAAACCTTGCAGGACAGAAGGGAGTGGAACAGTACATTCAAAGTACTCAAGGAAGAAAACTGCCAACCAAAAATATTATGCCCATCAAAACTATCCTTAAAAAACAAGGGGCTGGGCCAGGTGGGGTGGCTCATGCCTGTAATCCCAGCACTTTGGGAGGCTGAGGCAGGCAGGTCACCTGAGGTCAGGAGTTCGAGACCAGCCTAGCCAACATGGTGAAACCCCATCTCTATTAAAAATACAAAAATTAGCTGAGCGTGGTGGCAGGTGCCTGTAATCCCAGCTACTTGGGAGGCTGAGGCAGGAGAATCACTTGAACTCGGGAGGCGGAGGTTGCAGTGACCCGAGATCACACCATTACACTCCAGCAAGAGTGAGACTCCAAAAAAAAAAAAAAAGAGGGGCTATAAAGACTTACTCAGACAAACAAAAACTGAGGGAGTTTATCACCACTAGACCTGTCTGACAAGAAATAAGAAATGATATGGGGAGTCCTTCAAGCTGAAAGAATGCTGAACAACAATAGGAAAGCAAAATAAAGCATAAAACTCATTGGTAGATGTAAATACACAGGCAAAAAATCTTTTATTATTCCAACAGTGGTGAGTAAATAGACTGCAATCTTACTATGAAAGTTTAGGCCAGGCACGGTGGCTCACACCTATAATCCCAGCACTTTGGGAGGCTGAGGTGAGTGGATCACTTGAGGTCAGGAGTTCGAGACCAGCCTGGCCGACATGGCAAAACCCCATCTCTACTAAAAAGAATACAAAAATTAGCTGAGTGTGGTAGTGCACACCTGTAATCCCCCAGCTACTTGGGAAGCTGAGGCAGGAGAATCACTTGAATGTAGGAGGTGGAGGTTGCAGTGAGCCAAGATCAGGCCACTAGCCTGGGTGACAGAGCAAGACCCTGTCTCTTAAAAAGCAAAAAAAAAAAAAAAAAAAAAAGTTTGAAGTATTAGGCCAGGCTTGGTGGCTCACACCTGTAATCCCAGCACTTTGGGAAGCTGAGGCAGGCGGATCACCTTAAGTCAACACAGCAAAACCCCGTCTTTACTAAAATTACAAAAAAATTAGCCACGCGTGGTGGCGGGCACTTCTAGTCCCAGCTACTTGGGAGGCTGAGGCAGGAGAATCTCCTGAACCGGGAGGCGGAGGTTGCAGTGAGCCAAAATTGCGACATTGCACTCCAGCCTGGGCAACAAGGAAAACTCTATCCCAGAAAAAAAAAAAAAAAAAGGTTAAAGTATTAAAAACAACTAATACTAAAATATGTTAATGGATACATAATATAAATAGTAGACAATTGTGACATCAATAGCATAATGTGGGAAGAGAAGAGAGAAAAGCATTCTTGCATGAGAGGGAAGTTATCAGCTTAAAGTAGACTGTGAGAACTATATTCTGTGTAAGCCCCGTGATAACCACAAAGAAAAAGGGAATCAAAACCTAGCAATGCAAAAAAAAAAAAAAAAAAAAAAAAAGAAACAAAATGACAGCAAGAAAAAAAAAGGAAATAAAATAACCACAAGACAAATAAAACAACAAAATGGCAAGAATAAATCCTTCCTTACCAAAAATTACTTTAAATTTGAATGGAATAAATGCATTAAAATCATGCTGAAGAGGTATCTGCACTCCCATGTTTATTGCAACATTATTTGCAATAGCTAGATATGAATTCAACCTAAATATTCATCAACAGATGAATGGATAAAGAAAATATGGTATATACAACAATAGAATATCATTCAGCCTTTAAAAAGAAGAAAATCCTGTCATTTGTGATACTGTGGATGAACCTGGAGGACATCAGGCTAAGTAAAATAAGGCAGGCACAGAAAGACAAATGCCACACGATCTTACTTATATGTGGAATCTAAAAAATGTCAAACTCATAGTACTAGAGTAGAAAGGTGGTTACCAGAGGCTGGGGGTTAGAAGAAGGAGAGAACAAGGAATCAGAGTGTCAAATAAATGATCTAAGAGTACAAAGTTTCCATTAGGATGAAAAATATATAAGATCTAACACACAGTAGGGCAACTATAGTCAATGATAATGCATTATGTATTTCAAAATAGCTAAGAATAAATTTTAAAGGTCTTACAACAAAAAAAATGAGGTGATAGGTATGTTAATTAGCTTAATTATTCCACATTATATAATACATCAAACCATTACATTGTGCCCCATTCATGTATACAATTATAATTTGTCAAATAAAAATATTTTTTAAAACAAAAAAATGTAAATGGAATAAACTCCACAAAAGAAAGATGTAGAGTACCTGAACAGATTTAAAATTTATATGTTGTCTACAAGAAACTCGTTTAGACTCAAGGACACACAAAGGCTGAAAGTGAAGGGAAGAAAAAAGATATTGCATGCAAATGTTAACCCAAAAAAGGCAGAAGTTGCTATAACTCATATCCAAGAAGGCAGACTTTAAGTCAAAAACTGTCACTAGACACAAAGAAGGTCATTTAACAAAAAATGGGTCAACAAGATATAACAATTAGAAATATATATACACCAAACTTAAAAGCACCTAACAAAGCAAATATTGACAGATCTAAAAGTACAAATTGACAGCAATAGTAGTAGGAGACTTCAACACTCCACTTTCAGTAACAGACAGAACGTCCAGACAGAAAATCGGTAAGGAGTGAACTTGAACACTATAACAAATGGACTTAACAGACATAAATAGAACTTTTCACTCAACAGAATACACATTCTGCTTTTCTTCCTCCTCCTCCTCCTCCCCCTCCTCCTCCCCCTCCCCCTCCTCCTCCTCTTCCTCCTCATTCTTATTCTTATTCTTCTTTTTTAAGATACAGGATTTCAATCTGCCACCCAGGCTAGACTGCAGTGGTGTGATCAGAGCTCAGTGTAATCTTGAACTGGCCTCAAGCGATCCTGTCCCTTCAGCCTCACAGTGCTGGGACTACAGGTGTGAGCCACCAAGCCTGGCCTACACATTCTTAAGCACACACAAAACATTCTCCCAGATATATTGATCACGTTAGGCCACAACAGAAGTCTTAACAAATTTAAGGTCAAAATCATATCAAGTATGTTTTCCAACTACATGGAGTGAAATTAGAAATCCGTAACAGCACACACACAAAAAAGGAACATTCACAAATAGTGAAAACTAAATAACATACTCCTAAACAGCCACTGGACTAAAAAGGAAATAAGAAAATGGACCTCACCCTCTGCCTGCCACCGCCCACCCAGCTCCGCCCACCCTGCCAGCTCCGCCCACCCTGCCAGCTCCGCCCACCCTGCCAGCTCCGCCCACCCTGCCAGCTCCGCCCACCCTGCTACCGCGATGAGCTGCTACTCCCGAAAGGCCCGGCCAGCTCCGCCTCCGCGCTCAGCCCCTTCCCCGCCTCGGGAGGGTGAGCGGGCCAGGTGCACACCAAGGGCCAGCCGCTCCGGGAGGTGCGCGCGCTCGGGGGTCCCCTGCATCCCCCGCAGCCAAGTGGATTCGTGGCTGGTGCACAGCGTGGCAGCTGAGGATGCAGACGTGGCTCACGGGCTGCTCGGCGCCACCGCCACGTTGGCCAGAGGAGTCGGCGCCAGCCAGGCTGCACAGTGGGGGCGGCGGGGATCCCCAAGCAGCTCGGAGTAGCCCCTGGGCCGGCGGGGAAGAACGAGAAAAATGAGGCACTAAGAAAAGAGCATGAAGCTGGGGCTCCCAGTTCCCAGCACGAGGAAAATGTGTCAACCCAGAAGAACTCATTACAAAGCAGAACAATGAAGATGAAAACAAACAGCAGATAAACCTGACCGGGAGGCAGAAAAGACCACTGAACCTAGAAATGAGACATCTGAATGGGACAGATACTTCTTTCTCTCTGGAAGATTGTTGTTTTCATCATAGCCTGAAAATTCACTGGAGGGATCTCATCGGGAGATATTCCTCCTTTTCCAGGCAGTATCAATGATGGCATGAATTTCTTCAGCACATTATAATGGAGACTTTACCCAGGCTGTAAGTCACGATGTCAATATTCATGAGGCCATGTTGCTGTGTCCCAACAATACATTTCGAGGAGATCCAGTAGGAAGCACTTCACAGGCACAAGAACCATTTCTACAGTTACATTCTCATACCACCAATCCTGGGCAAACCCTTCCTAGAACTAATTTGAGAGGATCTCTTCCACATGTTGACAATCAGATGACGAATCTAAAAAGCCAAGACCTACTATATGACCTTCCCGTAAATGTATTTGATAAACTTAATGTCATTAGCCACAGACAAGGACTTTGGATGTTTCTCGGCTTTCTGAAGAACCAGATTCTGATTCTGGCCTTTCTTTAGACTCGTCACAATAGCACCTCTATCACCAGGTCTAATTCTTCTCACTCTGTGAAGCTGCTATAGGGTTTTAGTATAGTCTCGTTCCCATCATGACTTAGAAGGTGCTGTAGGAGGCTGCTACCCAGAACCCAGTATGTTTTATCACATGGATCATAGTAGTGATTATGGTTTCCATGGGGATCTTGCATTTCAAGACATATTTTATAACCACACTTATCACTTACAGCCAAATGCACCAGAATCTACTTCGGAATCTTTTTCAGGCCTGGAAAGTCACAGAAAATAAGGAGTAGGTACCTCAGTGACTGATAGAAACTTGAGCTGTGATGAATGGCATGCTAAAGCTTTGCATATCCCTTTTTCTGTAGATGAAATTGTCCACATGCCTGTTTTTTGTTTTTTTGAGACCGAGTCTTGCTCTCTTGCCCAGGCTGGAGTGCAGTGGTGTGATGTCATCTCACTGCAACCTTTACCTCCTGGGTTCAAGCAGTTCTTCTGCCTCAGCCTCCCAAGTAGCTGAGAGTCCAGGCACCCGCCACCACGCCTGGCTAATTTTTGTATTTTTAGTAGAGACGGGTTTTCACCATGTTGGCCAGGCTGGTCTCGAACTCCTGACCTCAGGTGATCTGCTCAGCTCGGCCTCCCAAAGTGCTGGGATTATAGGCATGAGCCACTGTGCCCAGCCCACCTGTTGATTTTTTCAGTAGCACATTAAATAGGTACTATCTGACAGACCTACAAGTCTTGCTCATCTGTGATATCAGATGAAGAGGGAAAAGTAAAGTTGCTGCTCAGAACTGTTACAAATGCAAATTAGACATAATTTTGAATCTAGAGGATGATGTATGTAAATTGCAAGCAAAGAAGGAAACTCTTGAGAGTGAGCCCAATGTAATAAAGCTATTAACATAATGAAACAGAAACTGCATGACATTTGTGATGTTTTTAGATTAATAAGAGATGACCAAGGTAGGCCAGTCAACCCAAACCAGTATGCTCTTCAATATAGCTGTGATGGAAGAAGAGCAAACACTCAGGTAAGAAAGAAGCTGTAGCAGGAAAGAAAATAAAATAAAAAAAAGAGCAAACACTGGGGATCTAATTATTTTAATATATATTTCAGTTTTTTATGATTTAAAATGCAAAATAGCCTTATTTTCATTTAGTTTGTTAGCACTGAAGTAGTGGGCTTTTCAAACACTATTTTAGTTTAATCTTTATATTTAGCTTATAAATTTTTCTATATGGAAATAAATTTTATATGCGAATTTTAAAAAAAGAAAATTTAAAAATATCTCAAGCTGGGAATGGTGGTACACACCTGTAGTCTCAGCCGCTTGGAAGGCTGAGATGGGAGGATTGTTAGTTTGAGCTCCGCCTGGGTAAAATAGCAAGACCCTGTGTGTATATATACATACATATACATACATACATACATACACACAAATGAAGACAAAAATACTACATATCAAAACTTACGGGATGTAGCAAAAGCACTACTAAAAGGGAATTTTATAGTGATAAATGCCTACATTATAAAAGAAGAAAGATCCCAAATAACCTAAGTTTACCCCTCAAGGTACTAGAAAAAGAACAAACTAAACCCAAAGTTAACAGAAGGAAGGAAATAATAAAGATCAGGACAGAAATAAATCAAAGAGAGAATAGAAAAACTGCAGAAAATCAACAAAATCAAGTTGGTTTTTCAAAAAATATAAAAGTTGAGAAACCTTTAGCTACACTAAGAAAAAAAAGAAGACGGCCGGGCGCAGTGGCTCACGCCTGTAATCCCAGCACTTTGGGAGGCCAAGGCGGGTGGATCACGAGGTCAGGAGATCGAGACCATCCTGGCTAACATGGTGAAACGCTGTCTCCACTAAAAATACAAAAAAAAATTCTCCGGGCGTGGTGGTGGGCGCCTGTAGTCCCAGCTATTCCGGAGGCTGAGGCAGGAGAATGGCGTGAGCCCGGGAGGTGGAGCTTGCAGTGAGCCGAGATCGCGCCACTGCACTCCAGCCTGAGCGACAGAGCAAGACTCCGTCTCAAAAAAAAAAAAAAAAAGAAAAAGAAAAAAAGAAAAAAAAGAAGACTCAAAATCAGAAATGAAAGCGGAGACATTACAACTGATGTCACAGAAATAAAAAGGACCATAAGGGACTATTATTATCAATTATATGCCAACAAATTGGATAACCTAGAGAAAATGGGTATTTCTAGAAACATAGAACCTACAAAGATTGAATCAAGACTAGAAAACCTGAACATACCAATCACAAATAAAAATATTAAAGTTGTAATAAAATACTTTTCATCAAAGAAAAGCCCAGGACCAGATGGCTTCATGGTTGAATTCTACCAAATATTCAAAGAATTAATACTGACCAGGTGCAGTGACTCATGCCTGTAATCCTAGCACTTTGGGAGGCTGAGGCAGGCAGATCACCTGAGGTCAGCAGTTTAAGACCAGCCTGCCCAACATGGTGAAACCCCATCTCTTCTAAAAATACAAAAATTAGCCAGGCTTGGTGGCAGACGCCTGTAATTACAGCTACTCAGGAGGCCAAGGCAGGAGAATCACTTGAACCCAAGAGGCGGAGGGTGCATGAGCCAAGATCACACCATTGCATTCCAGCCTGGGCAACAAGAGCAAAACTCTGTCTCAAAAAAAAAAAAAAAAGAATTTATACCAATCCTTCGTAAACTCTGCCAAAAAGTACAAGTTCTGAACTCATTTTCTGAGTGCAGCATCACCCTAATACTAAAGTCAGACATCGCAATGACATAACATCCTTTTATGATAAAAGAACTCTCAACAAAATAAATATAGAAGACAAATTCCTCAATGTAATAAAGGCAATTTATGAATAGCCTACATTCTCAGCTAATATCATTAATGGGGAAAAAACGGAAAGCTTTTCCTTTAAGATCTGTGTAAGGCAAGGATGCCCACTCAATACTTCCACTGAACATAGCACTAAAGATACTAGCAAGAGCAATCAGGCAAGAAAAATAAATAAAAGGCATCATATCAGAAAGAAAGAAGTACAATTATCCATTTGTAGATGACATGATCCTCAATATAAATAACCCTAACAACTTCACAGAAAAATTATTAGAATAAATGAATTAATAAGTTGTAAGATACAAAATCAACATACAAATATCAGTTGCATTTCTTTACACCAATAACAATCTATCCAAAAAAAAAATCAAGAAAAAAATCACATTTACAATACCATCAAAAGAATAAAATATTTAGACTTTTTTTTTTTTTTGAGATGGAGTTTCGCTCTGTTGCCCAGGCTGGAGTGCAGTGGCGCGATCTCGGCTCACTGCAACCTCCACCTGCCAGGTTCAAGCAATTCTCTGCCTCAGCCTCCCGAGTAGCTAGGATTACAGGCACCCGCCACCATACCCGGATAATTTTTGTATTTTTAGTAGAGATGGGGTTTCACCATCTTGGCCAGGCTGGTCTTGAATTCCTGACCTCGTGATCCACCTGCCTCGAACTCTCATAGTGCTGGGATTATAGGCGTGAGCCACCACGCCCAGCCCAGAAATAATTTTAACTAATAAAGATCTGTACCCTGAAAACTATCAAACATTGATGAAAGAAACCAAAGACACAAAAAAAGGAAAGATATCCCATGTTCATAGATTTGAAGAATACTATTTAAACTACACATACTATCCAAAATGATACAGATTCAACACAACCCCTATCAAAATTCCAATGACATTCTTCACAGAAAAAAAAAAACTCTTAAAAAAACACAAAAGACCCCAAATAGCAAAAACAATCTTGAGAAAGGAAAACAAAGTTGGAGGCATCACAATTCATGATTTCAAACTATATTACAAAGCTAATCAAAACAGTATGGTACTAGCATAAAAACAGACACATACACCAATGAAAAAGAACAGCAAGTCCAGAAACAAACCCAATCATATATGTTCAACTAATTTTCAACAAGGCCACCAAGAAGACACAATGGAAAAAGGATAGTATCATCAACAAATGGTGTTGGGAAAACAGGCTATCCATATACAAAAGAACTAGACTGGACCCTTACCTTACACCATATACAAAAAATCAACTCAAAATGGATTAAAAAACCTAAACCTAAGACCAGAAATCATAAAATTACTAGAAGAAAACAGGTAACAAGCTAGAAAAACTCCTTGATATTGGCCTTGGCTATGATTTTTGAATATTACACCAAAAGCACAGGCAACAAAAGCAGAAACAAACAAGTGAGACTACATCAAACTAAAAAGCTTCTACACAGCAAAGGAAACAATCAAGAGTGAAGAGATAATCTGTTGAATGGGAGGAAATATTTGCAAAACATACATCTAAGGGGTTAATATCCAAAATACATAAGTAATTCAAACAACTCAATAGCAAGAAAATAACCCAATTTAAAAATGGGCAAGGGATGTGAATAGACATTTCTTAAAAAGAAGACATACAAATGGTGTACACATATAAGAAAAAGTGCTCAGCATCACTAATCATCAGGGAAATGTAAATCAAAACCATAATATCAGCTCACACCTGTCAGAATGGCTATTATTAAAAAGACAAAAAATAACAAGTGTTGGTCAGGATGTGGAGAAACAGAAAATCCTGTACACTGTTGGTGGGAATGTAAACTGGTACAGTCATTATGGAAAATGGTATGGAGGTTCATCAAAGAACTAAAAATAGAACTACCTTATGATCCAGCAATCCCATTTTTGGGTATATATCCAAGGAAATGATGTCAGTACGTTGTACGTTGAAGAGATATCTGCACTCCCATTTTCATTGTAGCATTATTCACAATAGTCAAGATATAAAATCAATGTAAGTGTTCAACAGATGAATGGATAAAGAAAATGTAGCATAGGCCAGGCGCAGTGGCTCACGCCTGTAATCCCAGCACTTTGGAAGGCCGAGGTGGGCGGATCACAAAGTCAGGAGATCAAGACCATACTGGCTAACACGGTGAAACCCCGTCTCAATTAAAAAATACAAAAAAATTAGCCGGGCATGGTGGCGGACGCCTGTAGTCCCAGCTACTCGGGAGGCTGAGGCAGGAGAATGGTGTGAACCCGGGAGGCAAACCTTGCAGTGAGCCGAGATCACGCCACTGCATTCTAGCCTGGGCAACAGAGTGAGACTCCATCTCAAAAAAAAAAAAAAAAAAAAAAAAGAAAATGTAGTACATACACACAGTAGAATACTCTTCAGCCATTAAAAAGGAAATCCTGCCATTTATGACAATATGGATAACCTGGTGAATATTAAGTGAAATAAGCCAGGCACAAAAAAACAAGTATTGTATAACCTCACTTACATGTGGAATCTAAAAAAGTCAAACTCATAGAAACAGACAGTAGAATGGTGGTTACCAGTGGTGAGGGAGGGGAGCTAGGGAGATGCTGGTCAAATGAAACAAACTTTCAGTTAGGAGGCAAAAGTTCAAGAGATCAATTATACAGCATAACGACTATAGTTAATAACATATTGTATACTTGAAAATTGCCAAGAGAATTGTTGCAGCCACAAAAAAAATGGTAAGTATACATGATAATGCATATGTTCATTATCTTTACTTTAGACATCCTACAATGTGAACATACATATTGAAACATCATGCTGCATACAATATATGATTTTGTTAACTGAAATGATTTATTAAAATAAAATAAATGAACAGAGGTTCTGAGATCTGTGAGATAATACCAAAGAGTCTAACACTTGCATCACTGGAGCCTAAGAGGGAGGAGAAAGTAGAGCAGAAAATATCTGAATGGTTTAAAACTTTACATAATCTGATGAAAGGCATAAACTTACACATTTAAGCTCAACAAATCCCAAAGAGAATAAATTCAAACACCCGGGCACATCATAATCAAACCAATAAAAACCAAAGACAAAGATTCCTGAAAATACTCAGAGAAAAATAACATGTTTCATACAGGGGAAATATTACTTTAATGGCTGCACATTTCTCATCAGAAACCATGGAGGCTGAAAGAACTGTCAACACAGTAGTTTATATCCAGCAAAAATATCTTTCATGAATTAAGGCAAAATAAAGACATTCTCAGATGAAGAAAAAATAAGAGAATTAAATGTCAACAGACCTGCACTAAAAGAAATTTTCCAGATGAAAAGGACTGATACCTATGTAAACTTGGAACATCAAGAATTAAGGAAGATTAATACAAATGATAAATATTGTGGTAAATGTGATAGACTGTTTTCCTCTTGGGTTCTTAAAAATATCTATGATAGTTGTAAGGAAAAAATACATTATCTGATGAGTCTTATTTTTTATTTTTATTTTTTGAGACACAGTGTCTAGCTCTGTCACTCAGGCTGGAGTGGAGTGGAGTGATCTTGGCTCACTGCAACCTCTGCCTCCTGGGCTCAAGTAATCCTCCCACTTCAGCCTCCTGAGTAGCTGGGACTACAGGAACATGCTACCACGCCTAGCTAATTTTGTGTATTTTTTGTAGAGTTGGGGTTTCACCACATTGTCCAGGCTGGTCTCGAACTCCTGGACTTAAGCAATCTGCTCGCCTCGGCCTCCCAGTCCTGGGATTACAGGTGAGCCACTGTGCCCAGCCAAGTCTTATGATTTATAAGAAAATTATAACATAAAGGGGAGAGGGTAAAGGAATGTAAACAGTGGTAAGATTTTTCTACATTCCACTTGAACTGGTAAAATATTGACTTCTAAGTGAACTGTAAAAAGTGAAGTATGTTTATAGTAATCCCTAGAGCAAATACTGCAAAACTATTCAAAGAACTATAATTTTAAAAAACAATAAATTACAATCAGTAACAGAAAGATAACTGAAAAAAACTCTAAATATTTGAAAATTATAGTAATACCAAGAAAAATCAGAATATTCTAAATTGAACACAAAATTACAACACAATAAAATTTGTGAGATAAAGCAAATGGGAAATTTATAGCATTAAATGCTTTTTTTAGAAAAGCACAAAAAGCCTTCTGATCAGTGTTGAATTAAATAAATAAATAAATAAATAAGTAAATTTTAAAATCAATGATCTGAGCTTCCGCCACAATAAGCTAGAAAAGGGAGCAAATAAGCCCAAAGCAAAGAAAGGAGAAAATACTAAAGATCAGAAATTAATGAAACTTAAAACAGAAAAACAGCAAAATATCAATAAACCAGAGCAGGTTCTTACAAAAGAGAAATGCAGCCGGGCACGGTGGCTCATGCCTGTAAAGGCGGGTGGATCACCGGAGCTCAGGAGTTCGAGACCAGCTTGGCCAACATGGTGAAACTCCATCTCTACTAAAAATACAAAAAGAAGCTGGGTGTAGTGGCGTGCGCCTGTAATTCCAGCTACTCAGGAGGCTAAGGCAGGAGAATCGCTTGAACTCGGGAGGCAGAGGTTGCAAGGTTGCATTGAGCCAAGATCACACCACTGCCCTCCAGCCTGGGCGACAGAGCGAGACTGTAATCCCAACACTTTGGGAGGCTGAGTCAGGAGTTGAAGACCAGCCTGGCCAACATGGTAAAAACCTATCTCTACTAAAAATTCAAAAATTAGCCGGGCATGGTGATGCACACCTGTATACCCAGGTACTTGGGAGGCTGGTGAGGGAAGCTTGAACCCAAGAGGCAGAGGGTGCAGTGAGCCAAGATCGCACCATTGCACTCCAGCCTGGGTGACAGAGTGAGACTCCGTGTCAAAAAAAAAAGAAAAGAAAAGCTATCAGTATGTTTCACCATATGAACATTCTAAAGGGGAGAAAAAAGGTCCTATCAATTATGCAGAAAAAGCATCTGACAAAATTCAACATCTGTTCCTGACAGAAAACTTCCAACAAGCAGAAATAAAAGAGTCTACCCTCAATCTACTAAAGGGTATTTTTTCAAGCCCACAACAACAACAAAGTTATTTAATGCTTAATGACTGAATGTTTCCCCCCTACAACTGGATCAAGGCAAAAAGTCCCAACCAGTGCAATAAGGCAAAGAAAAAAATATAGAAATTATCAATAAAAGAACAAAACAGATTCCTTAATAATGCAAAAGGCAAATACTTGACTGGGGTAAAAAGAATTATTCTATTCCAGACTCTGTTATATGTCTCATACTTTTAATCCTGGAGAGTCTGCTTTGTATGTTAGGATAGTTATTAGTATAGTTGTAATCTTTGAGTAGTAAGTACTACTAATATTCAAACTATAATAAATGGGTTAAGGCAGCACAAAAGAATAATTTAAAAAAATAGTTCCCTAGAAAATAGATCCTGAGAATAAAAATATATAAACATATATACATGTACTTCCAAATGTAAAAATGAAGCTTGTCATGTAGTAAAAGAAAAAACCCAGCTGCACAGAAAAAACTTTAATTAACTTAAATAAGAGATTTGTTAACAACAATATGCCTTAAAGGCTAGAAAGACAGAAAATACTAGGGAAAAAATGCTTTTAACTAGCAAGAATATAAGGCATCAAACCAAACTAGAAGGTAAAGTGGAAATAATTAAGAATGAGTTTCAAAGAATGACGGACAAAATGTTTTAGAGAAGAACACAATTTGGCAGAATGACTACCTGTATCTAGAGCATATTTTGAAAGTGGAATCAAACAAATTCAATACTTTTTTCACACAGGGTGTTTCTTGCTCTGCCTCCCAGGCTGGAGTGCAGTGGCAAGATCATCACTCACTGCAGCCTCGAACTCCTGGGCTCAAGTGATCCTTTAGCCTCAGCTGCCTAGTAGCTGGAAGCACCACACCCAGCTAATTTTACTTTTTGTAGAGACGCGGTCTCATCATGTTGCCCAGGCTGGTCTCAAACTCCTGGCTTCAAACAACTCTCCTGCCTTGGCCTCCCAAAGTGTTGGGATTACAGGTGTAAGCCACCATGCCTGGCCAATTAATACTTTATATAAAAGTAAGTAAAGAGCTTAATTTTTCTAAATTTAAGACAAACATGCAGATTGAAAGGCAAGCCAAAATTAAATATTGCCAAGTCATTTTAATGATCAGAATTAGAGAATCAAGTGCAATTACTAGAGTTAAAGAAGTCAAATACTTTTCAATTTGAAATCTTATCTGAGGGAGAACACTATCTGATTACTTTTAGGAAGCAACTCAGAGGTCATACTGACCTTTTTTTTTTTTTTCTTAAGTATTTCTGAAATTTAAAGAAATAAGAATAGACTGGCTAAATTTTCAGGTCATTTGCAATTTTAAATTTTCTCATCATAAACTGCTTCAAGCTGTTTGATCACTTCCACTGATTACTACACAAGAAATAATTTGCACAATTTCCCTTACTTTTATATCATTTACATTTAAATACAGCCAAAAAATACCCATGAAAATCTAAGAAATGTTCATTTCTAAAACTAACAAACAAAATCAAACTACAAGTATTAAAGTGCCCACAAAAACATTTTGGAATACCATGGAGTTGAGGCAGGGAGTAACAACTCTCAAACTACTTTTATTTAATCTTACTCATATTTAAGAATAAGTTATCTTCAACAGACCTAATCTAATTGTGGAATCATTTCAAGGTATTTTGAATAATCATATCATTTATAGATATCAGAGCAGAACAAATTTTGGATTAAGTAAAGAACTATAATTATACTCTTAGGACATCTGCTGATGACAGAGGTTTCTCTGACACCAGTGACAAAGTAATATTTTCTGGGACCATTACAACATGCCTAGACAAATTAAATTTTTTAGCTTTATAACAAGAAAGCTCATAGAGTACAATTTTTTGAAAAATTGGTTAAATAGGTTATGTCACAGAGGAAACCTAATTTGCCTCTCTGCCACGGAAATTTTTAAATAAGCCAATAATTTAACATTATGAGATCTGAAGTAATTACTTTTCTATACGGCAAGCTCCAGCCCAGCCACCAGTACCTCCTTTACCATATCCAATGAATATTTTAACATGACTTTCCTGTAATGGTCTTCAGCTTTAAATGGATAGACTCTGACATCGATAATTCCTTAAAGACGTGCTTATTCCACAAGCTGTTCTTGCTTTTTCTGAGGACATATATATGTATACAAGCATTTTTAGATATTAATCATTTTTAAGCTTTTTTACTTAAAATCAAAAGTTTCCTTACAGTATGTTTCAAAGATAAAATCACATTACATTATTGGGGAAACTACTAGTTAAGACTCTAAAACGCACACAAGGCTGAGTGCAGTGGCTCATGCCTGTAATCCCAGCACTTTGGGAGGCCAAGGCGGGCAGATCACCTAAGGCCAGGAATTTGAGACCAGCCTGGCCAACATGCTGAGACCCCATCTGTACTAAAAAATACAAAAAAAAAAACAGCCAGGCGTGGTGGCGCACGCCTCTAGTCACAGCTACTCAGGAGGCTGAGGCATAAGAATCACTTGAACCCAGGAGGCAGAGGTTGCAGTGAGCTGAGACAGTGCCACTGCACTCCAGCCTGGGCGACCGAGCAAGACTCTGTCTCCTAAATAAATAAATAAAATGCATACAAAATAGTTGCAGTAGTACCTGCAGATAGATACAGGGATTAAAGGAAAAGGAATCCTTAGGAAAATTCTTTATCCTATCTAGAGTACCTCTTAAGCTCCCTCTGCTGGTTACCATTTAAATAAAGTAGGAAAAAATGTTGACCTTTTTTCTTTGAGGAGGTGATGGGAGATGCAGGATGAAGTCTGAAATTGATAATGTTACGGCTAAAATTGAAAGGGAGATTCTCTTAAAAGGGGGCTAAATCTAACTGATGACTATCTTCTGTAAGAAGGCTTTAAAAGGATTTCTAAACAGATTGGGGGAAGAGCGACTGAAAATAAGGGGAGTGATTACCAAGTTTGAATATGTTAATCATTAAATTGATATGCCAAAATGCAAAAGCATTTAATATAAATCAACTATAAACGATTATGACTTAACACTAGAAAAATTAAGAATTTAAATATATTTCACAAACTTCACCAGAACAAAAAACTTTTATCACACTATTTAATCTACTTAGTTTCAATATTAAGGTTTATTTTTTCTTCCAGATTGAAAGTAACAATTTAAATAATTATCAGGATATAGAAACAAATATCCATTCAGATAAAACATTACTGCTTAAAAGTGGCTAAGAAATATTTTGCATGTAATAAATATATTTCATGTTTAGGTTAACAGGCACCATCTTGAGAGCAGTTTGTTTTTTTTTTTTAGCTAATAAATAAATTACATTCAAGAAAACAAGGTGTTTATATCTGAGTATATCATTAAATGTTTTTCTTCATATAGCACCCAAACTTCAAACTGTCTAGAAAGTATCTCCTAAAATATAACTCATACCTTAAGTAATAAAAATAAAGGCCAAGAAAAAAAATCAATTTAAGACAAAATTTACAGTTTATATTCTTAATTCCCCATTCAATAAAATATCGATTGCCAATTTAATAAAAGTAAATGAACTGTATATATGCAATCTGTTAGCACTGAAAATCTGAAATATATATTTTTAAAAATCACTCTTTCTGACAGTATTTAAAATATTGCATCTCTGGTGGCAAACCTGAAAACAATCAAGCATCTTATTACCCTAGTTTTCATACCTACCCCATACCCCATCACTTTTTATCCTTTAACATCCATCCAGCATTTTTGTTGGTTTTTTTTTGTTGTTGGCAAATACACTTACTTATATCCCAAACACAAAACACTGACAATACTCCTTGGTAAACAAGGAAATCCCAGAACAGTCCAAGCCTACACAGCTTTGCTCCCGAAGTGTGGCACAGGCTAAACGACAGGCGAGAAAGAAACAATCGATGGCCCTTATTGATGCAGTCAGAATGCTCCTGAGAGTCCATAACTGTTTGAGAATTTGCTGATGTTATCCTGACAGAAGTTTCAGCAGATTTTGCAAACAAGTATCAGAGAATAAGTCTTTGATTGATAATTTTTCTATTTATTTCTGCCAAGGCGACTGAAAACACGAAAGCCTTTTCATCAGACAGGTTAGCATAGATGTCAATTTCCTTTTCCTGTTTCTCTGTTAAAAGAAAAAGGGAAAGTTTAATATAAAGGCAGTAGATGCAGTAAATTTAAATTTTTTAAAGCTTTCAAGTATTTCTTTAAATGACAGTATTATATATAATACTACAATATACATTAAATGTTACTATGCTACTGAACTAAAAAGTTTTTTAAATTATACAAAGGAGTTACTGAAATGAAGATTAAATGAAGACAATATTTATTTCTATACACAGGCACTCTAACAGCTACATAATTTTTCTAAGAATCTCATACATTTCTATCTCCTCACTGTCTCAATCAAAATGAATTTTCTCTGCTAGACGAAATTCACTCTGAGAGATGGTCCCCTTCTGAACATCAATGGTGACTTTATGAATACATTAACATATTCATCTTCATCTTCTTATACAGGAAATGACATTTATTTTTATTTTTCCCCTCTCGATTACAAATGTAATCCAAGTTCACAGAAAATTTGAAAAAGAAAATAAAAATCACTCGTAATCTCATGAGTCAGCAAAAATCACAATTAACATCTTGGTGTATATTCTTCCAAGTTACTTTTTCAGGATCCCCTGATTCTATTTTTGTTTATTTTGTTTTGACAGTCTAATCAAAGTTAAATGCATATAATTTACAATCAAATCATTTTTATAAAACTTGTTAAAAAAAAAAAACAGAAGTCCTTTGCCCCATACACATTTTCCACTCTCCAAATGCAACTACTTTTTTTGTGACTTTTTTTTTCAGTTGTTCCTTTTTGCTTTTACAAAAACAAATCTCTAAGTAACATTTGTACAAGATGCTACTTCAGGGTTTTAGGCATTACTGATTCACTTTCCACCAGGGAAAATAAGGGTTACACTGTTTTGCATCTCTTGCCCCAATAAACACTCTGCCCATCCCTCATCTTCTCACTATAATTAAATCACAACTTTAGTAACATCAGTTTTCAGTGATTACATTATTATGCCTATGGTAAGTGATTTTTCACTTTTCCTTTACATTGTTTTCCCTGAAGTGATTCTCTTTTTACTTGCTTAGTTTTCATTTCTAACTCAACCCAATGTCTTTCCTAGTTGTATAAATTGTTTTTCAGGATGTTTACACGTATCAGGTATTTTATCATTTTTATCTTCTTGAAGAAATCGCTCCAAGTCTTCCAACCTGCTCCAGTATGAAATGATTGCTCTCTAGGCCTACTGCAAAATTATCATCTTGTGCTCTTTCATCAGCATCATGCTGGAGACTCTCATCTCTAGAGTTGGGTGGACCCACCTTTGTCTTGAATCCAAAGATCCTTTCTTGGTTTATTTCTTCATTTTGGTAGCAGGTAACTTGTAGGGGCTTCCTGAGAAAGGCAGTATTGGTAGCAAATTTTTTGAGACCCTGAATGTCAGAAAATATCTTTAGTCTACCTTCACATTAATTCATAGTTTGATTGAGTATAGACTTGTAGGTTTCCGCTTAGAACTGTGAAGGCAGTAAACTGTCTTCTGACTACTGGTGCCATTGTTGAGAAAACCAATACCTTTTTTATAGTTATTTTTAAAATCAATGATAAATTTACATATAGTGAATACACAGATCTTTTATGTGTTCAACTGGAGGAGTTCTGACAAACATATACAAACATGTAACCCATGTCACAATCAACATATAACAAATTTCCTCCAGAAATTCCTCATGCTTCTTTCCAGCCAATCCCTCTCTACACCTACAAGCAACCACTGTTCTGATTTCTATTACCACAGAATCATTCTGTCTGTTCCTAAACTTCATATAAATGGCATCATATATAGTATGTACTCTTTTGTGCCTAGCTTATTTTGCTCAACATGTTTTTGAAATTCATTGATGCTAGTCATATATCAGTAGTTTGTTCTTTGCTGGGCAATATTGCATTGTATTAGTTCCAATATCATTTTGCTTTTCTTTTTTCTGAAAACCTGAAAAATTTTATTTAACCAAAGATATGAGATATGATGACGAACTCTGGTATAATTTCTCTTTTTAACCATCATTTCTCTTTTTAGACTGGGAATTTGTAGGCCCTTTTAACAAAGAAACTCAATGTCCTTCAGGTTGGAAAAATTTTCTTGAATAAATAATTGTCATTGTTAAAGTCGTTGATGACTTCCTTCTCCTCCATCTTCCATGTTCCTTATCTGAAACTTTAATTATTTACAGATGTCAGACCTCATACTGGTCCTCTAAATTTCTTAAGGTTTCCATTCTGTTTTTTCCATCTCTTTTCAATTGTTATAGTTTCTGGAACCTTTCTTCAATTTTATCTTTAAGCCTTTTATTAAAGTTGTTCATTTCTGTGTATCATCTATGTTTTGGGGTTTTTTGGAATATTTTAAAGTTCATTTTCCAACTGGCTTTTTGACCTCTGCAATTTCCTTTTAAATATCACCTTGTTCATTTTACAATTACAATTGCTTCTTTTGCTAAAGATATTAATAGTAGTTTATAGTTTTTCTTTTCCCTGCAAAATCTTGCTTTTTTCCAAGTTATTTTTTCTCTCCTGTTGATTTGGTCTTAGCCTTTCATACTATAATAGATGCTTTCTTCCAGATATCTGGGTAATTCTTGGCAATATGCTCATATTTAGGAGAGTGACCAAAGAAGCTGATTAGAAACATACACATACGTGGAGCTTGACTGTAGTCATCAGATTAGGATGATCCAATTAGGCCACTTCTCTGTGAATCTCTAATGAGAGTATCTTTATTTGGGGCCTTTTCTCTTGGGTCCTTCGGATTCTCTAGAGAAGATATGTTCAAACTTTTTTACTTTTTTTACCTGGACGCTAATAAGCCAAACTCAAGAACTCAGCATTTACTATGTCCAATTTTCACCTAGGCTTCCTGATCTTAACATGGTATCCTGGCCGTCAACAGACACCTGGTGTTCCTGAGACCAAAGACTGTATTATTTACCTTTTTCAAAGGATAAACCTGGGGGATAAGAGGGTAAACAGTCCTGGTGGGCTACTCATAAAAAGACTTGCAAACAATCCTCTCATTTTTAGCCTCAATTTCACTTCTACTTCCAGACATAACTGATACACAAATTCCTGACTTTTAGGTAACTGTGTAATAAAAATCAGTTTCTTTCTTAGATTTCCCCAAAGGAGTTTAGAGCTAGATGTGTTTCTTCAATCCACAATCTTCAGCTTGAAGTCTACATTCATTTTTTTTTTTTTTTTTTTTTGAGACGGAGTCTCGCTCTGTCTCCAGGCTGGAGCACAGTGACGCGATCTCAGCTCACTGCAACCTCCGCCTCCTGGGCTCAACTGATTCTCCTGCCTCAGCCTCCCAAGTAGCTGGGACTAGAGGCACGCACCACCACGCCCGGCTAATTTTTTTTGTATTTTTAGTAGAGACGGGGTTTCACCATGTTGGCCAGGATGGTCTTGATCTCTTGACCTCATGATCCACCAGCCTCGGCCTCCCACAGTGCTGGGATTACAGGCGTGAGCCACCACGCCTGACCCATTCATTCTTAAGTTCATTAATATGATGTTCAGAACTGCCTAACATATTTTAATCAGTCAAAATGTCACTTCTATATTATAATATCCAGAATACCCTTATATATAAAACGAAGACTTACATTAGACTAACCAAAAATTGTTTAATGATTTGTTTTTATGACTTTATAAAGATATATTATTATGATGATGTCTAACAAGCTTTCCTTTTCCATTCTTCCTTCTTATTCTGTTTCAAAATAGAAAAGTCATTTTTCCCCCTTTGGATCTCTCATCTGACTAGATAGAAAAGTCCATTTTTAAGTTAGGTTTTTTAGACACATTGTCAGGTTTTCCTTAATTCATGGTTAAAATAAAGTTAAAGCTTGCTTCAAAATTTTCAAATGCTCTAAGAGCAAGGAATCAATAAAAACCAACTAAATAGCTATTTAGCACTAAGAAGCATATCCAAGAAATCTATCCTAAAACACAGACATTTCAAAAGTTCATGTTAGATTGGTATAAAAGTAAAACCGCAATTACTTCTGCACCAACCTAATAGTTCTTGTCCACATTATATTTAAGAGTACAATGGTTTACAACAAAGATTGGCAAACTAGGCCGAGTGCAGTGGCTCATGCATGCCTGCAATCCCAGCACTTTGGAAAGCCAAGCTGAAAGGATCCCTTGAGCCCAGGAGTTTGAGACCAGCCTGAGCAACATAGTGAGACCTCATTTATACTAAAAGTAAAAAAAGTAGCCTGGTGTGGTGGCATGCACCTGAGGCAGGAGGATCGCTTGAGCCCAGGAGTTTGAGGCTGAAGTAAGCCATGATCACTCCACTGCACTCCAGCCTGGGTAACAGAGTGAGACGCTATCTCAGAAGGAAAAAAAAAAAAGCAAGGAAAGAAAAGAAAGAAAGAGATTGGCAAACTATAGTACAAGTAACAAATGTGGCCCACCACCTGCTTTATAAAGTATTACTGGAACACAGGCATGCCCATTCATTTATGCATGATTTATGGCTGCTTTCCAGCTACAATGGCAGAGCTGAGTAGTTGTGACAGAGATAGTATGGCCCACAAAGCCTAGAACATTTACTATCTGGCTCTTTACAGAAAAAGTGTAATGACTTCATGGTCTACATAAGATTCCAGTTTGTGCTACAAAAATTAATTTAAGTAATTTCCTACAATTTGTATCAAAAACAAAAAAAAGCATATCTTACTCTAGAAATAGCTTTCTTAAAATTTTTCTGTAATAAACAGAAAATGCCTAAAAAATATTTACAGCTAAACAAATGCTTCTTTTTTCATGTAATCATGAAATAAAAGCTGAAATCCTGCATATATACAGTTCTACCACAAGTATATAGACTTCATTTCCCCAGCTAAAGATGGTCATTATCTGCTTTCTCATCTTCTCTCACCCACCACCAGAAGCATTCTCTTCTTTCAGCTGCATTCCCTCTATTTCAACTGAAAAGAATGTTGTTTTCTGAGCCAGGCAGTATTTCTCTCTTTTCCTTTTTCTCTGCTGACTTTTCTTTACCTAGTTTCCCTTCTAAAATAGGAGTCCTCGGCATAGGTTTTCTGCACCCTATTGTTAAAGAAACATACAAATTTAACAAATAACTCAAACCCTCTGGAAGAGCATAATAGAAAGAGAAAAGCAGTAAAATTACCCAAGGAATATGGAGTACCTTAGTACAGCCTTCCTAGAATACAGTCAAAACCGATATAAACCTTACTCCTTTAGCCATACAATACTAAGACACCTTTAACTTTGATAAAAGCTAGGAATGGCTATACTGGTGAAGCTGTTTTCTAGCAATAGTAACTTTATTCAAATAAAAGCACATAAAGCAGAGAGAAATAGCAAACTGGTAGAATGGTCTTATTGTCTAAAATAAGTGAAATTTACATTTATACAAAAAGCACTTGAGTATCTAAGACAGAACGTCTGAAAAGCAAAGCATAACTCACAAATAGTGTAAGAAATTAAAAATGCATTTCAGTGAAGATGAAATCATTTTGACAGAGGTTTTTAAAGAACAATAAAGAGCAACTATCCCTTTTTTAAATTAACTACCAGCTTGAAAGTCTCAATTTTAAAAAGGTATTTGTGGACATAGAGAGGTTCATTATACTATTTTCTCTACTCTTGCATATGTTGAAATTTTCTGTAAGTTTTTAAAAAGATGCATAAATCAAAGAAAAAGAGAAACTGAAGTTTTAATGTCTAAAAACAAGCTATTGGTAGATATTCGTCAGAAGAAAGAAGACCTGTAAGGAGAAAAAGAAATATACTCTGGACCAAGAAGAATTCATCTATGCAAAAGCTGCCTCAGAGTAGGAAGCACACAAATCTCCCAATGAGCAATTAAAAACTCCACCAACAACACTTTCAATAGTAAAATTTTAAAACTCACAGTATAATAGTTTGAAGTAGTCTTAACAGAACTCAGACATGTCTTTAAAAGACAAAAAAAAAAAAAAAAAAAAGAGGTCCCAACACTTTGGGAGGCCAAGGAGGGCAGATTGCTTGAGCCCAGAAGTTCAAGACTAGCCTGGGCAACATGGTGAAACCCCCCTCTACAAAAAATTAGCTAGGCATGATGGTGCACACCTGTAGTCCCAGCTACTCAGGAGGCTCAGGGGAGAATCACCGGAGCCCTGGAGTTTAAGGCTGCAGTGAGCCATGACCGCGCCACTGCACTCCAGCCTGGGTGACAGAACAACACGCTGTCTCAAAAAAAAAAAAAAGTACAATCATTTTAACAGGCTTCTTCAGGATGTCATATACAAATTATCTTTGAACTCTATTATCATCAGTTTATAGCAAGGTAAATTTTACCTAACTAAGCCTTCAGGTTTCCAATAAGAATTAAATTCCTGTGATTAAAAAAATAATAAGCATCTACCACAGAGGAAATGCTTTCAAACTAAAATATGAGTTGTGATTTTTAAGTCCAGGAGCTCAATGCCTCCACTTTCTTCACTACTACCTAATTAAGATCCCAGATCAATTTAATACTTGAAAAAAAAACTGCTTGATTTGTTCATACCTCTTTCTTCCTCATGTTTTTTGGCAGATGCACTTTTAGGTCTTCCTCTTCCTCGTCTGATATGATCTGAATGGCTGTTACTTCGAGACCTCTTTCTGTTTTCTAAATCTTTATTTACTGTAGAATTTATCTTCTCTCTCCTAACTCTCTCTGTTCGCCTCCTCTTGGCCTCATGCTTGTTTTCTGTATGGATGAATAAAAGTGATATATTTTAGGGCTTAGCAAGAACTGTTTGCCCAAGTTCTCATTGTCTTCCTTTTTCTTTCTAAATAGCACTAGAGTATGCTTCCTGGCATATTTCATAGAACTACAACCATAACATATATGTCTCCCCCACACCCTCATAAGAAAAAAAGAAATTCAATAGAATTCAGATCACAATAACACATGAAGTAGGAGGAATCTTGGAAGAGAAAACAAGTTTCTTCATTTGGCAGCTTAAATTTCAGCCTCTACAAGTTCACACAATTCCATAGCAACCTTTCTGCCTTTTTCTTCCTGTTTCCAAGCTAAAAATAGTGAAATATTAAGAAAGGAAAAAAACTGCATGCCCTTTTGCCCTCTACCTGAGTTAAAGATTAAAATATGTGAAATATGCAAAAGCAAAACTGATCTTAGAGATAACGTATTAAGGTTACAATAAAAATCAAACAGAAAGCATCCATAACAAATATAAAAACCCTAGGCAAGTGAGTAATTTTCACTTTAGCCACAGATAAGGTAATTTCTGATATAAGAGCATGTTGTTCCATAAATGGAATAGCAATAGGGAAACTTTACTAAATATGGTGATTTAATTAGTGCAAGAAGCCACCCCTCCCACTCTAAACAAATCAAAATGTTGGATAAGACAAACAATAAACTTAAAGAAAAAAACAAAACAAAAACAAAAAAGATGATACCTTGCTTTAACACATACCTGCACTCAAAAGCAAGAAAGAGAATTCCCCAAATGCCAAAAATCTCAGTGGTAAAGGGGCAAAACAAACAGAAAAATTCATATCCAAAGAACTAAAGGGAACAATGTGAAAGACTATAAAATAAGTATGCTTAATAGACTGCTGTAAAAAAATTAAAAGTAAAATAGTAATATTATCCCCAAACACCATATCCTTGGAGAATTAATCTGAAGTTTCAAATTAGACATATACCAGATAATACAAGAATATTTAATTATCCCAGATTGCAAGAAAGTTATCAAAGACAAGCAGGGTGTTGTTAAGACTTGGGCTAACATGAAGAGGCTCCCACTATTACAGGACAATTTGAGCATCAATAAAAATAGTAACTGTAACAGATTGAAATATATCAAGCATATGAGTACATTAACATTAAAAACAAAAACTACTTGGCCACCATACGAAGATACTAAAGAACCAACTCATTACTTTGAAAACTTAAATATAGGGCAAGAACAAAGCATTTCTTCTGCTTTTTCTATTTAAACTGTGCTACTCACGGGGTAACCAAAGGGCAAATGAAGAGGTTTCTCATATTAAAGCTAATAAATGAAGAAGGAATGACAGAATCAGAGTATCAACATTTTTCAACCTGCAATGAACTAAAGGTTCTAAGCACTAAACATCAGCAGGTACTAACATCACTAAAAGAGAGAAGCAGGCCAGGCGCGGTGGCTCACACCCATAATCCTAGCACTTTGGGTAGCCAAGGCGGGTGGATCACCTGAGGTCAGGAGTTCGAGACCAGCCTGACCAACATGGCAAAACCCCGTCTCTACTAAAAATACAAAATTAGCTGGGTGTGGTGGCACGTGTCTGTAATCCCAGCTACTTGGGAGGCTGAGACAGGAGAATCGTTAGAACCTAGGAGGCAGAGGTTGTGGTGAGCTGAGATAGCACCATTGTATTACAGCATGAGCAACAAAAATGAACTCCATCTCAAAAAAAAAAAAAAAGAGAGAGAGAAGCAGACTTTAAGCACCTCTGGATAGAGGTACACATCACTACCTATTAAGTAGTCTTGTAAAAAAAAAAAAATTCCAATCTCTCCAGCCCTTAGATCTAACTTACAACTAATAGGAAAAAGAGGTTATTCAAGGAATATGTTAAGTGACACCATGGGGATACAAACAGCACATACAAATGGACAGGTGATGCCATTTCTTCAACATCTAACTTGCAAGGAGAAAAAGAGAAAATAATAGATAATAAGAGGGTTAAAAAAGATATAATCTAGCCAGGCTCAGTAGCTCATGCTTGTAATCCAAAAGCACTTTAGGCATTTGGGAGGCCGAGGCAAGAGTATTGCTTGAGGCCAGGAGTTTGAGACCAGCCTGGGCCACATAGCAAGACCCTGTCTCAGCCTGGGTGACAAAGCGACACCCTGTTCTTAAACAAATGACAGGGTGTGGTGGCTCACGCCTGTAATCCCAGCACCTTGGGAGGCCAAAGGGGGCGGATCACCTGAGTTCAGGAGTTCGAGACCAGCCTAGCCAACATGATGAAACCCCATCTCTACTGAAAATATACAAATTAGCCAGGCATGGTGGTGTGCGCCTGTAGTCCCAACTACTCAGGAGGCCAAGACATGAGAATTGTTTGAACCCAGGAGGAAGAGGCTGCAGTGAGCTGAGATCGTGCCACTGCACTCCAGCCTGGGTGACAGAGCGAGACTCTGTCTCAATAAATAAATAAATAAATAAATAAATAAGATAGCACCCATATGCAATTTGTGGACCTTATTTAAAATCTGTTTTTAAAATTCTAAGACAATTTTTGAGAAAAGTGAAAATGTGAACACAAGTCGGATATTTATTAATAAGAAATTATCATTAATTTTTTATGTTATAATGGCATTGTGCTTACATTTTTTAATGTTCATCTTTTGGAAACATAATGAAATATTTATAACTGAAATTATATGGGATTTGCTTCAAAATGATGCAAAGGAAGAGGTAGACAGGATTGTGGATGGGGCAGGGTTGGTCATTTTCTACTTTTGCATATGCTTAGAATTTCTCAAAAAAATAAAGGTTAAAAGAACTAGTGATAGATGAAGCTTTAAATAGTATGCCTATTAAAGTCTAACACTGAATTTGGGTTTGTTCCCCCAGCTACCCAGTCATCTCTGCAAACTTCTTCACAGCCAAACTTCTCAAAAGAGGTACCTGTACTTTCTGCCTTCAGTTTTTCATCTCCCATTCACTCATCAAATCTATTCCAGTATAGTTCCTATCCCACTGAAACTGACTGTCAAAAACAACAAAAACCTGTTACCAAATCTTAATAGACACCTCACTTACCATCTTACACCATCTCTCAAAAATTCAACAAAGATGACTACTACTTTCCTTGAAATTATTTTGCTTGATTCTCAGGCTCCCCCAGTTTCTTCACCTCATCAGTCACTCCTCCTAATCGCCTTTGCTGTGTGCCCTTCCCCTAGGTGCTTTCCCAATCTAACGTCAAGGCCCCAGGATTCTGTCCAGAGCCCTCTTCTCTTACTTAGACTTTGCCTAGATCATCTCGTAAACCCACAGCATTAAACACTATTGTTATGATGGCTCCAAAGTTTTCACCTTCTGCTCTGATTTCTTCCCTAAACTCTAGACTGCCTACCTGACAACTTCACTTGAATGTCTCAAAGGCATTTCAAATTGTATCAAAAAATAACTCTTGGTTCTCCCTCTCCCAAATCTGTTACTCCTACTACTTTCATCATATTAGTAAATAGCATCACCTGGTTGTACTAGTCAAATAACTTGTAGTCGTTTGTGACTCATCTTGCTTCCTGTACCATCGCTAAGGTCCACAGATACTCCTTGCAAAATATACCCATAATCTCTTCATTTCTCTCCACCTCCACAGGCAACATCCCAGTCAAACCTATTCTCTACGTACCAGCCAATATTATCTTAAAAAAAAAAAAAAAAAAATCAAACTGCATAGCTTCCCTTCTAAAGCCTTTCATAAGCTTTTTTCCATATTTAAACTAAAAATTCCTTACCAAAGACAAGTCCCCAACAGATCTGGCATTTGCCTCTTTCTCCAGTCTCATGATGCTCAAGCTCACCACTTTGTTCACTACACTCCAGACGTGCCTTTCTTTTAATAAAACGAGCTCCTTCCTCCGCTGAGTCTATGTATACGCTAATCCTTCTGCCTAGAGCTCTCTTCCCACGGCTCTTCATAAGATAAGCCTTTTTTTCTCTTCAGATATCCATATACAGGTCACTTGCTCTGATTCTCCCAGCCCAAGTTACTTCCTGTAATCTACTACAGCTATAATCTGTTATTTATTTACTTATATGCTCAATGCGTCTCCTCCATCAAAATATAGGCTTTATGAAACTTGGGAATCCTTGGCCTACCTTATTTGCAGAACCCAGAACATTACTTACACAGACTGTTGAATAAATAAAATCGGATAGGACACACATTTACCTTACCACCTTCTCAAAATCCCATTGAATGAGAAGAAACATGGGAAGAGGGGAAGGAGAAAAAGGAAAATATATCTGTGGTGCTGGAAACAAGAAAAAGGTACTATTAATGACCCAAAATTACAGAATTTCAGCAAACTGGCAACCTGATGGTTCTGATAAGAAACAAGAATAAAATAAACTACAATCCAAAAATAGGAGTAAGTGATAGCTGCTATAGAACGGAGAGCTGTTCCTCCCAAAGGAGGATTCTCAAGGATAATCCCAGGGCAGGACAAAAAGTACAGTAAGGGAGAGCAGGCCACCAAGGTGATCATCAAAATAACTAGAGACTATTGCAGTACAGTTGGGCCTATGTATACAGAGCAACTGACATAAGGAAGCTCTCAGGAACAGAGCAATGTGCAAGAGAACTTCAAACCTCCATAATATAGGAAAAAGCCAGCTCCTCACAGGAATGAAATACTGTAAGAGATTTCACATTCCACCCCAGAATGAAGCCTGCCTTATTTTGGCAATAAGGGAATTCACCAGTGTACTGCCTGCTCACCTCCTGCCACTAAACTCCCAATTATACACTGAAGAGACCTTTTGTCAAAACAGACGTTTAAAACAGTGTAGGGTATTCATTAAACTTACCTACACTGATAAACCAAGTCCTTCATTTGTATCACACCAACAGTCAATTAAACATTACTAGCTATAAGAAGAAAATAATAGTCAAGAGAAGAGCCAAAATAAAACAGGAAGAACAAAGATAGTTCAACAAACAAGCAAACAAAAAATTAAAACATTCTAATGCATACCTTGAGAGATCTGAAAGGAGATTATCATTAAGAATAAGATTATTTTTGCAGAAACAGAAAAACCCATCCTAAAATTCACATGGAATCCCAAGGATTTCCAAGTAGCCAAAACAATCTTGAAAAAATTCAAAGTTAGAGGTCCCACACTTCTTGATTTCAAAACTTACTACAAAGCTATAATAATCAAAACAGTATGGTACCGACATAAAGACAAATATACAGACCAAAGGAATAAAAATAAACCTCAGACATAAACACACACATACAGTCAAAGGATTTTCAATAAGAGTCTGAGACAATTCAAGGTAAAGTACAGTATCTTCCACAAGTTGTAACAGGAAAACTGGGTATCTACACAATGTAGCATAATTCACACTAGCCAAAAAATGAAGTTAGACCCTTATCTTACTCCATACACAAAAATTAACTCAAAATGGATCAAATATCTAAATATAACCACTAAAACCATAAAACTGTTTAAAAAATCATGGAAAAGCTTCATGACATTGGATTTTGGCAATAATTTCTTGGATATGATACCAAAAGCGAAAGCAAAAGCAATGAAAGAAAAAAAAAAAACAGACAAAATGGACTTCATCAAAATTAAACTTCTGTGTATCAAAGGACACTATCAACAGACTGAAAAGGCAATACATGGAATGGGAGAAAATATATGCAAATTATTATAAGAGATTAATATTCAGAATAATATAAAGAATTTACAAGTCAACAACAACAACAAAAAAAATCCCCAATTCAAGAATGGGCAGAAGACTTGAATAGGTATTTCTCCAAAGAAGATATATAAATGGCCACTAAGCACATGCAAAGATGTTCAATATCACATCAATAAGAAAATGCAAATCAAAACCACAGCAAGATACCACTTCATACTCTTCAGATTATTATAAAAAGCAAAGCAAAACAAAACCAAAAAATAAAGTGTTGGTGAGGATGTAGAGAAACCGGAAGGAACATTTGTACACTGCTGGTAGAAATGTAAAATGGAGCTGCTATGGAAAACAGTAAATTCAGTCCTCAAAAAATTAAAATAGAATCAACATATGATCCAGCAATTCCTCTGGGCATATACCCAAAAGAAATGAAAGCAGAGATCAGGACAGATATTTGTATACCATGCAGCATTATTCACAATAGCAAAAAGGTTAAAGCAACCCAAGTGTCCACTGATGAATACATAAACAAAATATGGCATATACATACAATGGAATATTATTTAACCTTAAAAAGGAAATTGTCATGCATGTTACAACATGAATGAAACCTTGAGGACACTGTGTTAAGTAAAATAAGCCAGACATAAAAGTACAAATATTGTATGATTCCACTTACATGAGATGGCTAGAGCAGTGAAATTCACAGACAGAGAAAGCAGAATGGTGGTTGCCTGGGGTATGGGGGAGAAGGAAGTGGCTGTCATTGTTTAATGGGTACACGGTTTCAGTTTGGAAAAACAAGTTCTGGAATTGGATGGTAGTGATGGTTAAGAATACAATATGAATGCACTTAATGCCACTAAACTATACACTTATAAATGGTTAAAATAGAATATTTTGTTATATTTTCCCACAATAAAAGTATTTTCAAAATTCTATGAAAAAGAATAAATTAGAAAACAAGATACCCTGCTAAAGCGTAGGTGCTAATAAGCTAAATTTGACACGCTTGATGACAAAATTATAGATGTAGAAAGGAAAATCAACAAAATTTCCTGGAATAAAGCAAAAAGACAAAAAGAGAATGTGACAGAAAGTAAAGAAAAATAAAGGAAAGATCCAAGAAACCTAATAGATATCCCTATGACAGAACTGCTAATTATATACCCATTATTCTTTCTCCCCATCTTCTTTAAGAACAGAATCTTGTTCTGTTAAAGAGGACAATATGCCTAAAATAGGTATACATTCTCAAGACTCTCCCTGCAGGTGAGGTGGCATCTAGCTCTAGCCAATGACAGGTAAGTGAAACTGGGTAAGGTTTCCAGAAAGATTTTTTTCAAGGGAAGAAGCATAGCTGGCATGTCCCTTTGTCTCTCTGCTCTTCCCTCTTCTTCCTTCTTGAAATGTGTATAGGATGCTTAGATGTGCAATAAGAACTACCTCAGAACCATGAGGATAAGCCACGTCTTCTTAAGGTGGAAGAAAGAGAAGAGACTAAAGTCTTTGATGACATCATTGAGCCAATATCCTTGTACTGCCTATCTTTATCCTTCTTCCAATACAGTGTCAGTTTCCAAGACAGTGTAAAAGGCAATCCTAACATGATCCTATAGGCATGCCAGAATGAAAAGAAAAGGAAATGGAGGGAAAAGCAATAATGGATAGAAACCACCTTGAGTTGAAGACCTGAGCTTTCAGATGGAAAGGACCCACTGAATGCCAAGGAAGAATGAGAACAAAATTAAAGTGTGAATGCAAAACAAAGGCACTCTCCACAACAGAAGATAGGAAATGCACATTATGTCTTTTCTGGAAAAGTTTTTCCAGAAATAAAACAATTTCTGGGAAATTTATTCCAAAAGTAAAAACATATGGGTAAAAAAGAACAAAGACATAGTATGTAAGAAAGAGTGGTACCAGGTGCAGTGGCTCACCCCTGTAATTCCAGCACTTTGGGAGGCAGAGGCGGGCAGCTCCACCTGAGGTCAGAAGTTCAAGACCAGCCTTACCAACATAGAGAAACCCTGTCTCTACTAAAAATAAAAAAATTAGCTGGGCATGGTGGCACACACCTGTAATCCCAACTACTAGGGAGGCTGAGGCAGAAGAATCATTTGAACCCGGGAGGTGGAGGTTGCAGTAAGCCGATATCAGGCCACTGCACTCCAGCCTGGGTGATGGAGCAAGACTCTGTCTCAAAAAAATAAAGAAAGAAAGAAAGAGTGGGATTATCCTGGGAGTACAATGGAAAGAAATCCTAGTACAATAGCTGTACGGCAGACCTAAAAACAATCAGTCTTAATTAGAAGTCAAAGAACTCTATGAAAAGTGTTTTAAAGATGAATATAGATATCATAGACTATATGATTAAGAACCTAAAAGTACAGGCTCAGAGGTAAAGGTATGCATTTTTTTCATCAAAAAGCAAAAAAAAAAAAAAAAAAAAAAACCACAAAAATCAACTATATAAAAGCCATGTTCCATACAGGAATGTACAGCACTTTTATGCAATTAGCATGTAAGGGAAGATGCTTCCTTTTCTTTTTTTCTAATTTTTGTATTTTTAGTAGAGATGGGTTTTTACCATGTTGGCCAGGTTGATCTTGAACTCCTGACCTCAAGTGATCCATCTGCCTCAGCCTCTCAAAGTGCTGGGATTATAGGCATGAGTCACCGCCCCTGGCCAGCAAGTAAAGAACAATACTTTCTGAATAACAGAACCAAACCTCCACAGTCAAGTAATTCAGAGTTGAGGACCACTTATACTACTGAATTAATACTCAATCACTTTGGATTTATAAAAGGTACAGGTGATAATCATTTCTCCATTTTTTTCCCTTAACTAAAAGTGAACTTGTCACTTATGAACGTCTTTGCTTATCAGCCTTAGCCTATTAACTTATATTAAAGAATAACTTGAAAACTAAGTTGAGGGTTTTTTTCCCTTTTTTCTTTCTCCCAGTGAAAAAAGGAGGAGGTTATTTATTTGACTATGCTTACTCTAAACCTTTTACTCACTGAAAATTTCATAGTTAAAATACTAATAAGCAATTATAATTTCCTACTGTCTCAACTATTTTTTCTTTCCTTTACAGGAAATTCTAAATCTTAAATTTTATTAAATTTTAAATTCTAAATTTTATGAACTAGTGTCCATTTAGAAATTTACTTTTTCTTCTATAGTTTTTATAATTAAAATTTTCTTCTTTTTAAATTTGAGATAGAGTCTCACTCTGTCACTCAGGCTGGAGTGCAGTAGTGAGATCACCGCTCACTGCAACCTCTGCTTCCCAGGCTCAAGCAATCCTCCCACCTCAGCCTCCCAAGTAGCTGAGACAACAGGCACACACCACTGAGGCAGAAAAATAGGGTCTGGAGGCAGGGAACTAAGGCAATCTCACACTTCAGCTATAACAGGAAATATCCTCTTCATAGGGCATAGGCCAGGTAAATGACTTCGTAACTTTACTTCATCCTCTCCATAGGGCATAGGCCAAGTAAATGACTTTGTAACCTTACTTCATCCTCTCCTTTTACATAGGGTGTGCCCCAAAAAGAGGGTATTTAAACTCACAAAAACTCTGTAACTAACAGGGCCTTTGAGCCCCTATGCTCCAAGCCCACTCCCACGCTGTACTTTCATTTTCAATAAATCCCTTCATTCCTTCCTTGCTTTGTGTGTTTCGTCCAATTCTTTGTTCAAGACACCAAGAACCTGGACACCCTCCACAGTTAACATCACCATGCCTGGCTAATTTTTTGTTATTTTTCTTTTTTACAGACAGGGTTTCGCCATGTTGCCCAGCCTGGTCTCGAACTCTTGAGCTCAAAGTGAACTGCTCGCCTTGGCCTCCCAAAGCACTGGGATTACAGGTGTGAGACCTTGTGCCCAGCCTGTAACCTCCGCCTCACTGGTTCAAGTGATTCTCCTGCCTCAGCCTCCCGAGTATTTGAGATTACAAGTGCACACCACCACGCCCAACTAATTTTTGTATTTTTAGCAGAGACGGGATTTCACCATGTTGGCCAGGCTGGTCTCAAACTCCTGACCTCAGATGATCCGCCCGCCTCAGTCTCCTAAAGTGCTGGGATTACAGGCGTGAGCCACCGTGCCGGCTGAGCATTTCTTAACACAGTGTTACTGCTAACACGCATCTCTTTCTCTCACACAAATTAATTTTAAACTTTAAAAAACTCAATTCCACCGGGCGCAGTGGCTCATGCCTGTAATCCTAGCACTCTGGGAGGCCGAGGCGGGCGGATTACCTGAGGTCGGGAGTTTGAGACCAGCCTGACCAACATGGAGAAACCCCACCTCTACTAAAAATACAAAATTAGCCGGGTGTGGTGACACATTCTTGTAATCCTAGCTACTTGGGAGGCTGAGACAGGAGAATGGGTTGAATCCAGGAGGCAGAGGTTGCAGAGGTTGTGGTGAGCCAATATTGTGCCATTGCACTCCAGCCTGGGAAACAAGAGCGAGACTCCATCTCAAAAAAAAAAAATTTCATTAATTCCTGTAATAGATTTTATATATACATATTTTCAGCTACGCTAAGTTCTATATAGTTTTACTCTACCACCTCCCTATTTCTCTGCATGTTACGAAGGTATAAATAATTGATTGGCATATATGAAAAACATGACTTTTAAACAATTCATATCTAGCTAAATCTATTCAGCCTAACAGATTCTTTTCTTCCTGCACATCACAAACTGTGTACAATAATTGAATAAGAGCTTTCAACCTAGTGAAATTTTAAAAATATCTTTTACAGCTTTATTTTTAAAATCAATGAGCTTTAATTATAGTTTTTTTAAAAAGATGTTTACTTATGCAAACAAGTCTTCCTTGACTCTGTACTTGTTATATAGTTACCTATCTATCCATTTATGTATTTACTTATTAATACTACATGTAGAAATCATTTTGTGGGGTTTTAAAAACAAACAAGCTCATATCCAAGTATTGTTTTGCAGTTTTTCCTTAAATTAACAATGTTTTAGAGATCTTTCCATTTCAGTACATAAAATCTGTATCATTCTTTCAAACTAGCACATACTATTAACTAAAAGATAATTTAGCTACTTAATTTAACCATTCCCCTACTGATTACATCTGGCTTACTAACAACCTTCTGCTATTATAAAGTGTTGCCTTGAAAACCCTAGTAAATGCTTCATTGTGTATATAAACAATTAGGCTCTCTAGGCTACCTACCTACTGATTAAGAGCTCTGCATTCTAGGTTATGTGTATTTAAACCTTTTAACAACTACTGGTAAGACTGGTCTCCAAAATGGCTGTACCAACTAATGCTCCCACCAACAGTATGAGACTATCCATTTTGCCATACTCATGAAAGTACTTAGAAATTCTTTACATTTATGTGAACTGTGGGCAAAAAGAATGGCATTTTGTTTCAACCGCATTTCCCTGATAATTAGTGAAGTTGGTTATCTTTCAGATATATAGTGTATATTTTCATTTCTTCTATTAATTCTCCACTACTTTCCTTAAAACTGAAATGTTCTATATCTCACTGACGACATTAAGCACTTGATAAATTGTAGTGACCTTAAACTCTTCTCAATTCCCTACATACCATGGGATTATCCAAGGCAAATCTTACTTCTAAGAAATTTAATTGTAAAAACGAGAATTACTGAGTACCTAAAACTTACCATGCTTTGCAAATGTTAGACATTTTCATATGTACTTCAATCCTCTAACACTGGTACTATAAATCTATCTTATAAACAAACAACAGTTGCTCATGGAGGTTAACTAGGCTGCTTAGAAAGGGACAGAATCTGAATCTGAAGCCAGGTTTTCTGACCCCCACGTCTGTACTCTACCAAACTGTTTTTGAGGCTTTGAATACTCTTAATCCTCTCCCTAAAATCTTTTCCTCCTGTGGTTTCTATGGCACAGCCTATCCTTGATGTTTCTCCTTCCTTTCTGGTTTGGTTTTGTTGCTGGTTCTTCCTCCTCCTGCAGGGATTTCTGGGCTTCAATGTTTCATCTTCACTTCAAAGTCAAAAGACCACTCTTACTAAACAAGGAAATCTCAGGAAACTCCAAATACAAAATAATAATGAATTGCTTCTTAAAACTCATCGCCATGACTTACATAACATTGTGCTGTTGGTTTTTCTCCTACAGCTGACATTTCTTCTTAGTTGATCTGACCTGTCTGTAAAATTGGTGTCTGTCACAGTTTAGTCCCTGAATGCCTTCCTCTTCCTAACTTACAAACTCTGCACCGCGAGCTCATCCATTTTCCATGATGACAACTACCATCTAGTCACTGATGGCTCAAAAGTTTTACCTGCAGCTGAGGCTGCAGACTATATGTCCAACTGAAAAAAAAATCTACACGGATGATGTTTCTATACCCAAAATTAAATTCTTCATCTTTCCCCCACAGCTTGTTTTCCCTCTTATATTCTCTTTTAACTAGCAATCCAAGTCAGAGATCTGGGAATCTTCTAAATTCTTCCCTCTGGTTTAACTGGTTAAACTTAACAACTCATTAACACTTGTATCATCTGTTCCTCCTTTTTTTCATTTTATTTTAGACAAGGTCTCACTCTGTCACCCAGGCTAGAATACAGTGGTACAATCACAGCTCACTGCAGCCTCAACTTCCCAGGCTGATGCGATCCTCCTGCCTCGGCCTCCCAAAATGCTGGAATTATGGGCATAAGCCATCATGCCTGGCCCTGTTCCTTCTTTTATCTTTGTTGACTTTCTTAACTCATTTCTCATCTGAATCACTGGTACATAAAAGGAGCTCAAAAATACTTGAATTAAAAAAATAAGCACTTTGTCTCCCTAAGAACAAGGACCATGTCTTATTCATTTTTAGAAACTCAGCACTGAGCTGACACGCCACCCCAAAATAGCTACCGAGTGAATCATCATTTCAGGGTTCCTTTATCTAAACCAAACTCTCAGAGAGTAAGATCCAGAAATGCATTTTTAACAAGTTCTCTGCATGAATCCTATACAGCCAACCCAGCAACCGCCTTTAAGAACCAGTGAATTATGTTCATTCTCATGATGAGAAGAGAACTGAAACAGTGACAGAAATGGAACTAAACAAGTTTCCTGCCACTTCTATATAGACCTAAGATAAATAAACCTCTCAGACATAAATAAAAATTATTATTGAATCATCTGCTACTATCATCAGTCTTTGTCTAACTCAGTATTCTTAGTTAGCCTACTGCAATAATCCACTTCCATATTTGTACCCCTACAAACTATTCTCTACACAGCAGCTAGAATGATCTTTCTAAAACTCAAATCAGAGGATGCCATCTTCTCCTCTCTTCATCCCACCCCATCTCAGGGACAGTTTCTCCTCACAGTTTACAAACAAAATCCAAACTTCTTACTCTGGTTTACAAAGCCCTATACAATCTAGCCTCTGCCTAGCCCTGTGAACTCATCTTCCACTCTTCTAATCATACTGTCTACACTGCAATCGCAATGGTCTTTTTTGTTCCTAAAATATAAAAAATGTTTTCCAACCTTAGAACTTTTGCACTTGCTATTTCCATCTGTCAAGAATGTTCTTTTCCCTGATCTTATCATGGCTAGCCCCTTCTATCCACTGAGACTCCATTTAAATGTCACCTCCTCATAGGGGCCTTCTCTAACCACCCAATCAAAAGTAGCCTTCCAGTCACTTCATAGGACTATAAAGCATTTATCACAAGGTTACATTTTCTCTGTATATTTGTTCACTGTCTATCTCCCACCCACAAGAATATAAGCTCCATGACACCAGTAAATCTGCCTTAACAGTAGAATTCAGTGCTTTGTGCCCAAGGCTTGGAATAGTGTCTAGCATATAGCAGGTGCTCAGTATATATTTGTAATGAACCTACTCTTATTTCGAGGTCACCACCATATGAAGGTCTGCTTTTAGCCAAGAATAAGTAACAAAATTGTATCTTTTAATATTAATAAATATGTCTATTGAATAAATCCAATTTGTCTACGTTAATGGAAAAGCAACAAGTTCAAACAAAATCATTATTTGGATATCCTCAGTCAGGGAACTGTAAAACATAGTCAACATGTCTAAAAACGTTTTTCATACCAAAACCAAGCTATATTTTTCAACGGTCACTAGTTTAAAAAAAAAACAAAACTTAAAAGTTGCTGCAAATTTTACCACCATTATGAGAGAAAAAATTCAAATGTCCATCAACAGGAGAATGGATAAACAAATCTCCATACAAAGACTCCTACTAAGCAATAAAAAGGAATGAACTCTTATTGGTACATACAACATGGCTGAATCCTAAATAATTACACTCAGTGAAAGAAGCCAGGCAAAAAAGAGTACATACTATATGATTCCATAAATACGAACAGTAACAGAAAGCAGATCTGTGGTTACCTGGGGTGGAGGTAGCAGGAAGGAGGGATTACAAAGGGAACTAGAACACTTTTGAAATTGATGAATGTTCATAATATTGATTGTGGTGATTGATTGGTATATACATATGTCAAAACTTATCAAACTGTGCACTTCAAATACATCCAATTTACTCAATGTCAATTATTACTAAAGCTATTTTTTTAAAAAGTTTTTATATCAGATCAGGTCACTCCCTTGCTAAAACCTTTCAATGGTTCTCCACCTTCAAAAATAAAAAATTTGTTACAAGCGTTATCAGCATTGTAAGGGACTTAACATTTAAATGGAATGCACATGAAACCAACGTCGTAAACTAATTCCAATAGTTAATAAAAGCCAAAAACACTTGAATAGATTTAAACTTTTAACTTCAACAAAAAATGTAAATAGAAACTTCACAAAAATTAACTTTACATTTCTACATCAAAAAGCTAAAAATGTATTAAACTCACAGTTACCTGTAGAAGGTGGTGATTTCTCTGAGTGTTTTGCATTTAAAAGTTTTCTGCTAATAAATATGTAACCACAAGGACATGATTTACATGCAACAGGAACCTGTAGGAAAAAAAGAAAAATATATATTATTACTATTTTTCTATTGTTAAATTTCTCAGTGTCTATGTGGTCTCCTCAAATGAATGATAAATTACTTGAAGGAGGAATCATGTATTTATTTAAACCTCAACTCCTTACAACAAATTATCTGAGATGAGTATCATATCACATAGATATTCACATTCTTTTTTTTTTTTTTTTGAGACGGAGTCTCACTCTGTCACCCAGGCTGGAGTGCAGTGGCATGATCTAGGCTCACTGCAACCTCCACCTCCTGAGTTCAAGTGATTCTTCTGCCTCAGCCTCCCAAGTAGCTGGGACTACAGGCACACGCTACCATGCCCAGCTAATTTTTGTATTTTTAGTAGAGATGGGGTTTTACTATATTGGCCAGGTTGGTCTTGAACTCCTCACCTCGTGATCCGCCCACCTCAGCCTCTCAAAGTGCTAGGATAACAGAAGTGAGCCACCACACCCGGCCTGATACTCATATTCTTCTACTGCTTAACAAAACCATGAAGACTATACCATACCAATACCATAAAAAATAAATATGTATTAAATATGCACTGATGTGAGTGACCAATAGAAAACTGTAATAGGGTCAGAGCAAGGGGAAGTATGTGGAAAAAAAGGTAGCATTTCCTAAAATGTTAGTTTGACAGCTTTTTACGGTATAGAACAAATTTGAAAAGGGTGAGTGGGTAGGAAGTCATTAAAGTAATCCTGGTAAAAGATTATGAAGGACCAAGTGGAATAGTGAGAACGGAAATGGAAAAAGGTAGATCTGCCAGAGTTTCCAAGGCAAGAAAAACAGACAAAGGCCCAAACTGATGACTGGTGATAAAGTGGGAAGAAGTGAAAATAACTCAGGATTCTAACATGAGAGGAGAAGATATCAACTACCACTGACAAAGAATAAAGAATAGTTTATAGCAACCAGATTTTTCTTAAATTCTTAAATTGTTGTGGGTAGATAGTAGGTGTACATGTTTATGGGGTACACTAATATAGACATGCAATGCGTAACAATCACATCATGGAAAATTGGGTATTCAACCCCTCAAGCATTCTTCCTTTTTGTTACAAACAATCTATACTCTTTTAGTTATTTTTAAATGTACAATTAAATTATTATTGACTATAGGACTGGGCGCAGTGGCTCACACCTGTAATCCCAGCACTTTGGGAGGCCGAAGCAGGTGGATCACTTGAGGTCAGGAGTTTGAGACCAGCCTGACCAACATGGTGAAACCCCGTCCCTACTAAAAAAAATACAAAATTAGCCAGGCGTCATGGCACATGCCTGTAATCCCAGCTACTTGGGTGGCTGAGGCAGGAGAATCGCTTGAACCTGGAAGGCAGAGGTTGCAGTGAGCCAAGAGTGCACTATTGCACTCTAGCCTGGGCAACATGAGCAAGACTCTGTCTCAAAAAAAAAAAAAAAAAAAATTATTATTAACTATAGTCCCCCTGTTGTGCTATCAAATATTAGGTCTTATTCTTTCTAACAACAACCAGTTTGAGGGGCAAAAGTATGCTGACATAAAAAAAGAGAATGTAGGAGAAGGTAGGAATTTAGATCCAGAATCTTATATCTTAGTTCCAGGAATGACTCCGGACAAGATATTTAAGATCTTCAAGCTTCTGTTTCCAAATCTGCAAAATACGTAAATTTCCTTTCTCTACTCCAAACTTATAACTGTTTTTTAAGCCAAGTGCTACTGAAAATCATTGAAAAAATTTTTTAGTTTTCCCCATAATCATTTCACCCATATCAAAGTTAATGATCCTTGGAATCAAGACATGTTCACCAAAAGTCTGAAACTAATCTCAACGAAAAAGTATTTACAGAATAATTACAGTAAGAAAACTGCAATTCCCTTTGTAAGATAAATTCCCCCATTTGGCAGTTGTTCTGCTATGTAAAAACTGAGTTAAAATTATGAAGCTTTTTATCTATGTATGTACAGAATGCCTCATGTTATAGAATCTAAACACTTGATCTAATTGAGCTAAATTGAAATTTTGGCAGAATAATTCCTTTTCTTTGTATAAAAACATTGAACAAAGGATCTCCAATTTGTATTTAAGAAAAATAACAAAGAAATCAATAAAAATAATCAAACTCCAGATTTGTCTAACAGCTTGCTTTGTTAAGAATGTAATGAGATCCCTTCAAATCACGACAAAAAAAATGCTACATTTTTTAAATAGTGTAAAATCTGTCTAAAATAGATGTCTGACATTTTTTCAAATTTCGTATCTTCATAGAAACCAAGCTCAAAGGCACTGACTCATTTCCTTTACACCTAAACATATTATTAAGGGCATCCACAGTAATGTAAATTGTTTTAAATTAATGCTATCCAAAATACGCAAATGCATGTTCTTACTCAACAGCTCCTTTCCTAATCAGCAAGCATTTTCTTCCAGCTACTGAAACTCAATAAATTTGAATTTGGGTTTCAGTCTTATACAAAAGAACTTCATATCAATCCATCTCCAGAATTAACAGTGTTGCAGTTAGATGAGAAGTATACATTTGGCTTTGGGACCCAGAATGCACAAACACTGACTAACTGAATTAACAGGTTGATTTTCATCCACAAATGAAAGTGTTTTATGCTCAATAAACCCTCATGTGCCTGAGTTAATTCATTCTATAGTTTGAGTTAATTCATTCTATAGTCTGAGTTAATTCATTCTATAGTCCTATTTAAAATAAAAAGTTCCTTCCCCACAACCTCTGCCCTGGAAAACAAAAAACAAAAAACACACCACCACCACCATCACCACCCTAGATCCTGTAAAAAGAATTATCAAATAGGTTGGACAACTTCAGTAATATTAACCTCATTTCATTAATTATAGTATAATTTAGATTTTAAACAAACACACTAAAGTTTCTTTAAATTTCAGTTGATAATACTAAACCTAACAGTACTGAAATTCTAATATTACACTTTCAGGATTTTAAAAAAAAGAAAATATTCAAAGTATTGTTTACTGATAGTTTACTGGGCATTAATTCACTTTTTTAAAAAAAGATTTAGGTTGTTTGTATGTTTTACAAGTAAAACAGATTTTTTATTTATTTATTTATCTTTTTTTTTTGAGACGAAGTCTCACTCTTGTCCCCCAGGCTGGAGTGCAATGGCGCGATCTTGGCTCACTGCAACCTCTGCCTCCCAGATTCAAGTGATTCTCCTTCCTTAGCCTCCTGTGTAGCTGGGATTACAGGTGCCTGTCACCACGCCCGGATAATTTTTGTATTTTTAGTAGAGATGGGGTTTCACCATGTTGGCCAGGCTGGTCTCGAACTCCTGACCTCAGGTGATCCACCCACCTCGGCCTTCCAAAGTGCTGGGATTACAGGTGTGAGCCACCATGCCCAGCCTGGATTTTTTAAATCTGAAAAAAAAAAAAATCTGGTCCTATAGTGTTTCACTGATTTTTTTACTTTTTTTTTTTGAGACGGAGTCTCTGTCGCCCAGGCTGGAGTACAGTGGTGCGATCTCGGCTCACTGCAACCTCTGCCTCCCGGGTTCAATCACTTCTCCTGCCTCAGCCTCCCGAGTAGCTGGAACTACAGAGGTGCATGCCACCACACCCAGCTAATTTTTTAGTAGAGACAGGGTTTCACCGTGTTAGCCAGGATGGTCTGGAACTTCTGACCTCGTGATCCACCTGCCTCGGCCTCCCAAAGTACTGGGATTACAGGTGTGAGCCACTGCACACAGCCATTTAACTGATTTTTTAAAAGCTCCAAAATAATTACATTACAGAAAACTCATTTATATTCTTTACTACTGAAAGAACCAAAGGAACTTATACCAGACATATTTTATATACATCACATAAAATGTCCTTTAAATTAAAAAAAAGCTGCTCTATTTTTTTTAAAAATGAAGGCAAAAACAGAAGCATACACAAAAGATACCAGAAAACTGACAAGAATCTTGAGCACTGATGCACACAAAATGGCTCAGTAATTTTGAGTGATTGATGGATATGAAACCCCTTGAAAATGAAAAGGACTGTGGTTTAAGATGTTTTAGAATGATATGTTCAATAGAAGCCTGCAAAGGAGATGTTACAAAGCAGTTGAAAATCTAGCTTTTTCTTCTTTGCTGATCTCTGTACCCATTTTTCAAACTTACACACCCACATAAGTAAATCTAGTCAACTGGGAAATCTCAAATTTAAAGATTTTACATTTATGTTTATAAACTATACCTAAATTCGAATTTAATTTTTTTTAGGCAACTTAGAATCATAGCAGTATTCTAATGTTTAGAAAATGGCTTTCTGGATTATAATCATATTCTGGCTTATAACTAAAAGAAGCTAGTACTTTTAAATAATGAGAAAGCTAAAATTCATCCATTATTTTTTCACATCAGGTTCATATCACCAAAAGTTTTAATTAGTCCTTATGTATGTTACATTCACTTAAGTATTTGGAATAAAGGACAAAACAAACCAACTCATTAAATTATGTACTAGTTTGCTCTGGGTGGAATTATGCACCCCTCGACATCCAAATTCATATATTGAAGCCTTAACCGCAATGTGATGGTATTTGGAGATGGGCCATTTGAGAGAGAATTAGGTTTAAATTAAGTCATGAGGGTGGGGCCCTCATGATGTGATTAGGGACCTTTTAAGAAAAGGGAGAGAGCTTGACCCTCTTTCTGCCATGTGAGGACACCAAGAAGACAGCCATCTGCAAGCCAAGAAGAGAGCCCTCACCAGAACATAATCATGCTTTTGTTATGGCAGCCAAAGCTGGGTAAGCTGATTTTATATGAAAGAATAAATATGGGGGAGGGGGTGTATAACAAAATGAATGTGATCTTTCCAAATAAAACGCTGATCTTGTTTTGTTGAACAGTTTTTCAGAAACTCCTATAAGTTTATTATCCTTTGCTCTTTTATATAAAAATAGCCATAAAAAGTGGCTATTTTTCCCAAAAGGTTGCTTTATGCCAATTAGAACAAAGTCAGGATTTGCAAATACTTGTGCCTTACAGAAATTGGAATGCATAACGCATACCATGTAAACCTTACACTTCTACACAATTAACTGGAATAATTGGAAATGATTTAAACACTGAAATAATCTCCCGCAAAGAGTCATATTGCAAAGTCCAGTTTTGTCAAAATTTAACAAATTTAGTTCAGTAGTAAGAATGAAAGTAACTCTTTGGAAAACATGACTAAACTGTTTTTATACTGCATACTGGTATAGCTCCTACACTGTATTTCTTGCACAACCTTTTTCTGATAAGCATTTTTACTACAGCCCATAAAGGATACTTAATAAAACATGTAACATGTTTTCTGTTAAAAGATTTGAAAAACCTACAAGAATTCTCCTTGAAAAATGCACTAAAATCAGCTTATTAAAAAGTCTCCAGCCATTTCAAATTACTCTTGATTTAAAAAAAAAAAAAGGCGGTGGGGGGAGGGGAGGAGAGAAAGGTAGTCATTTTGAAAAAATCCACTCAGTGGAAAAGGAAAAAACACACCCAGATCTACATGTTGGTAACAAACGAGGGCCTTACGAATGGTTTTAACTGAAGTAGTTTTAACTCATTAGATGTTAAGGCTTAAAGGAATGTCTATTATTCCAGTAAAGAATTGAGACACGCTTCAACACAGCGATCACTGAAATGAGATGTTTTAAATTACAACTATTACACCATGAACTCAATGTAGAAAGGAATCGTTTCAAATTCAAGAAACGAGATAGAGAGATAGAGAGATAGAGAGAGACAGACAGAGAGAGAGAGAGAGAGAGAGAGAGAGAGAGAGAGAGAGACACACAGAGACATTCAGACAGACAGGGATACAGATCTGGAAGCAGACAGGCCAAATTTGTAACAGTGGATACTGCGAGGGGTGGGGAAGTTAGGAGCGCCCAAAAAGGAGGAAGGGCTTAAACAGGGGCTTTATTCAATCATGACCCATTAAAAACGATGTAAAGGCAGGATTCGCGATTGCACAGCAAAAATATAATAAATAGATGAGGAAGGGGAAAAAATCTCCAAATTCGCCGAAACTCAAAATCATTACACGCGGCCCCCTTTGTCCCACTCAGGCGCCCGCCCCGGTCGCGGAGGGGCCGTTTTGGGGAAGCCCCGCACCCGTCGGAACCGGGAACAAAGCCGCCCCGGCCGCAGGAGGGGTTCTCGGAGCTAGGGCCTGGCCTCGGAGGCGGGCGTGCGGCACACTCTCGCCGGGGCTGCGGCCCGCAGGCTCCCACCGCTGTCACCGCCGCCGGCGAGGAGAGTCTGGGGCTCCAGACAGCCGCCCGGTGAGCCCACCAAAGGCGCGCTCCTCCAGTGGCCGGGACACAGCAAGAAGGGGCTTGGCCGTCTGGCCGCCGCCAGGTGGACGCTGGCGGGCCACGGCCCCGGGCTTTTCCCGGGAAACCCCTCGGTGCAGCCCGACCGGCCCCGGATCCCCGCCGCCGCCGGCGGGCCCCAGGATCTGCCCACCGCTCGGCCTCCGGGAGCCCGGCGAGGCCCCCCTCCACAGACAACGGCCGCCAAGCCACTGCCGCCCGCCCGCGCGCCCGGCCCCCGGCACCCACCTGTTGGTCGCACTCGGGGCATGATTTGGTGGCCATCTTCACTTTCTTGGCTCGAGTTGCAGACATGCTCCTCTCCCTTAGCGGCGGCAGCAGCGACGGCTCGGGCTCCTCCCCTCACACTTCGGCAGCCCGGCCTCCGCCCGCCCAGTCCCCGCGGGCCTCAAACAAGCCTCTGGCGGGTGCGCGCGCGCGCGTGCGCGAGCTCGCGCGGGACCTGGGCGCCAAGGGGGCGGGGCGGAGCGTCGGCCGGCGGCTCCTGGGGACCGCGACACGCGCTCCCACGGCGGCTCGCGACCCACAGCCCGCCCGCGAGCTCGCCCAGAGTATCACGAGACGAGGGGAGACCTCCCCCCCCTCCGCCAGACCGCCCCGGCGCGGCAGTGGCCACGCCTCCTCTCGGCCTGGCCGACTACGAGGGGGCAAGGCCTGGGCGGGACTCGGCAGTAACGGGCGTCGAGTTCGACCAACGAATGCATAGGTAGGGCGGGCCGTAGTGCTGGGCACGCCCCATCCCCACAGAGACCGTGGGAGCGAAGGCTGGGGAATGAATGGTGAAGGGCGTAGCGTGGATCCTGGCATTTAATAAACTTAAGTAGATGTTACCAAGGCTAATCATTGAGAAATTATGATAGACATTTTATGAGACCACTGGACCCAGCAGCAGAGTGAAAATTCATTTATTTATTCAATATATAATTGCCTAAGTCCCACTGTCAGGAAAATTTGAATAAAATGCAGTGTCAGCCTTCAAGGAGCAGCCTAGCTGTGTAAACCAGTGCTACTCACTATCAAGATGAGGGATCAGATGTTTTTCTTTTTCCAATCTGTCCGTGACTGATACTTACTAAATTAACATTAAAATTAAATTATTCGAGGCTGGGCGCAATGGCTCACGCCTGTAATCCCAGCACTTTGGGAAGCCGAGGAGGGCGGATCTCTTGAGCCCAGGAGTTCCAGACCACCCTGGGCAACATAGCGAGACCCCCATCTCTACAAAAAGTAAAAGATTTTTAAAAATTAGCTGAGCGTGGTGGCCCATGCCTGGAGTCCTAGCTAGTAGAGAGGCTGAGGTGGGAGGATCGCTTGAGCCTATGAGATTGAGGCTTCAGTGAGCCGAGATTGTGGCCACTGCACTCCAGCCTGGGCGACAGAGCGAGACTCCGTCTCAAAAAAAAGAAAAAGAAAGAAAAAGTGAAATTTAAAAACAACTATGCAAAACGTAAGCTTACTTTTAAATATTTAATTTGACAGACCCAAAGTTATACTTAATAAACAATCAGAACAAACATAACAGAAAGAAAATTTACAAACTGTACACTTGGCTCAGAGAAAATTTACCAATATGCATTTATTACAGAGACTGGCTATTCCACTGATAACTTTTTATTCAACAATTGTTAACTAAAGCAAAGTTATGAGTTACAATTTTACATAGTAAATGCCTGTAAGCACACTTTGTATAAATAACAGTTATATAAATGTTTAAAGCTTTTAATATGAAACCCACGAAATTGCTTCCTGTTTGGTCCATTTACAGGCATACCTTGGAGGGACTGGGGGTTCAGTTCCAGGCCATTGCAAAAAAGAGAGCCACACTCAATTTTTTGTTGTTGTTTCCCAGTGTATATAATAAACATGTTTCCACTATACTGTAATATATTAAAAGTACAATAGCATTATGTCTAAAAAACAGTGTACACACGTTGATGTTAAAATTGGGCTAAAAATCCTGGGCAAAATGGTGAAACCCGTCTCCACAAAAAATTAAAAAATAGCCATGTGGTGACAGCGTATGCCTGTAGTCCCAGCTACTCAAGAGGTTGAGTTGGAGGATCCACTGAGCCCAGGAGGTCAAGGCTGCAGTGAACCATGATTGCGCCATTGCACTTCAGCCTGGGTGACAGAGAAAATCCCTGTCTCAAAAAAAAAAAAAAAAAAAAAAAGGAGTTAATCTTCACAAACCCTGCCACTGCTTTATCAACTAATATTTATGTAATATTCTAAATCCTTTGTTGCCATTCCACTATGTTCACAGAATCTTCCCCAGGAGATTCCATCTCAAAAAACCACTTTCTTTGCTCCTTCGTAAGAAGTAACTCCTCATCTGTTCAAGTTTTATCATGAGATTGCAACATTAATCCCAGCACTTTGGGAGGCTGAGACAGGAGGATTGCTTGAGCTCAAGAGTTCAAGACCAACCTGGGCAACATAGTGAAACCTCATCTTCACAAAAAAATACAAATCTTAGCTGGGCATGATGTGCACCTGTAGTTCCAGCTACTTGGGAGGCTGAGGTGGGAGGAATGCTTGAGCCCAGCAGGTCGAGGCTGTAGTGAACCACAATCGTGCCACTGCACTCCAGCCTGGACAACAGAGTGAGACCCTGCTGTGTGTCCCGCATTTGCAATTACATCCTCCACTGAAGTCTTGAACCCCTCAAAGTCATCCATGAGGATTGTAATCAACTCCTCCCAAGCTCCTGTTAATGTTTATATTTTGACTTGCTTCCATGAGTCATGAATGTTCTTAGTACTATCTAAAATGGTAAATCATTTCCAGAAGGTTTTCAATTGACTTTGCCCAGATCCATCAGAGGAATTGCTATCTATGGCAGCAATAGCCTTACAAAATGTATTTCTGAAATAATAAGACTTGAAAGTCGAAATTACTCCTTAATCCATAGGTTACAGAATGGATTAGCAGGCATGAAAATAACATTAATTTCTTAAACCTCCATCAGAGCCCTTAGGTAACCAGGTGCATTGTCAATGAGTAATAATATTTTGAAAAGAATCTTTTTTTCCAAGCAGTAGGTCTCAACAGGGGGCTTGAAATATTTAGTAGACCATGACAGATTTGCTGTCATCCAGACTTTGTTATTCCATTTATAGAGTATAGGGAGAGTAGGTTTAATATGTTCCTTAAGGGCCCTAGGATTTGGGGAATGGTATATGAGCACTGACTTCAACTTAAAGTCATCAGCTGCACTTGCCCCCTAACAAGACAGTGAGCCTCTCCATTGAAGGTTTGAAGCCAGGCCTTGATTGCCTTCTTCTCTCTAGCTATGAAAGTCTTAGGTAGCATATTCTTCCAGTAAAAGGCTGTTTTGCCTACAATGAAAATTTGTTCTTCAATGTAGAATTAGCTAGATCTTTTGGATAACTTGCTGCAGCTTCTACATCAGCACTTGCTTCCCACCTTGTACTTTTACATTATGGAAATGGCTTCTTTCTTTTTTTTCTTTTTCTTTTTTTTCTTTATGACGGAGTCTCGCTCTTTCACCCAGGCTGGAGTGAAGTGGCATGATCTCAGCTCACTGCAACCTCCACCCACCTCCCGGACGAGTTCAAGCAATTCTCCTGCCTCAGCCTCCCCAGTAGCTGGGATTACAGGCACCCACCACCATGCCTGGCTAATTTTTGTGTTTTTAGTAGAGATGGGGTTTCACCATATTGGCCAGGCTGGTCTCAAACTCCTGACCTCAGGTGATCTGCCCTCCTTGGCCTCCCAAAGTGCTAGGATTACAGGTGTGAGCCACTGCACCTGGCCGAGTTGCCTTCTTTCTTTAAACCTCAAGAACCAACCTCTGCTAGCTTCAAACTTTTCTCCTGTAGTCTTCTGTAGAATTGAAGAGAGTTAGGGACTTGATCTGGATTAGGCTTTGACTTAAGGGATTGTTGTGGCTATTATGATCTTTTATCCAGACTACTAAAACTTTCTTCATATCAGTAGTACTGCTGTTTTTCATTCTCATCATTTGCATGTTCACTGGAGTGGCACATTTAATTTCCTTCAAGACTTTTTCTTTGCATTCATAACTTGGTTAACTATTTAGCCCATAGTGTAATAGTTAAAATTTAAACTATCTTCAGTGGAAAAATGGATTTCAGATCTCTGATTTTTCTATGCAGGAATTTTCTTTTCAGGGAAAATAAACTTCCAACTGTTCTATCACATTTGTAAAATGTTTAATTATACCATTCACAGAGGTGCAATGTCAGGTTCATTGCCTTTTTAATAATTACTGTGAAAACATGGAACATATTATAATAATATGTAAAATCTCTGTTCTTTCAAGTTTCTAACTTAAATTTGCATCCCTCAATCATAATTACCAGGGAAAAATATGCTGCCTTCCTTACTTGCACTAAAATTTTAAGATCCAAAAATCCTGCACAGAATACTAGCAAACCATCTTCAGCACAGTTTAAAGGGATTATACATCATGATCAAGGAGGATTTATTTCTGTAATTCAGGAATGATTAAACATACAAAAATCGATCAATGTAATATACCACATTAATAGAATGAAAGGGAAAACGACATGACCTTTTTGAGACAGGGTCTCACTCTGTCACCCATGCTGGAGTGCAGTGGCTCGATCTCGGTTCACTGCAACCTCTGCCTCTCGGGCTCAAGTGATCCTCCTTCCTCAGACTCCCAAGTAGCTGGGATTACAGCTGTGCACTACCACGACCAGCTAATGACATGACTATTTTAATTGATGCAGAAAAAGCATTTGACAAAATTCAACACCCTTTCATAATAAAAACACTCAATAGCAGAAAACAAGTGTTGATATGGATATGGATATGGAGAAAATGCAACCCTTGTGAGAATGTAAAATGGTGCAGTTGTTGTGGAAATGCAGCCTGGAGGTTCCTAAAAAAAGTAAACATAGAATTACTATTTGAGGCCTGGTGTGGTGGCTCATGCCTGTAATCCCAACACTTTGGGAGGCTGAGGCGGGCGGATCACGAGGTCAGGAGATCGAGACCATCCCGGCTAAAACGGTGAAACCCCATCTCTACTAAAAATACAAAAAATTAGCCGGGCGTAGTGGCGGGCGTCTGTAGTCCCAGCTACTTGGGAGGCTGAGGCAGGAGAATGGCGTGAACCCGGGAGGCGGAGCTTGCAGTGAGCCGAGATCCCGCCACTGCACTCCAGCCTGGGCGACAGAGCGAGACTCTGTCTCAAAAAAAAAAAAAAAAAAAAAAAAGAAGCCTGGCCAACACGGTGAAACCCCGTCTCTACTAAAAATACAAAAATTAGCCAGGCATGGTGGCATATGCCTGTAATCCCAGCTACTTGGGAGGCTGAGGCATGAGAATCACTTTAACCGGGAGGCAGAGGTTGCAGTGAGCCAAGATCGTGCCACTGCACTCCAGCTTGGGTGACACAGCAAGACTCCATCTCAAAAAAAAAAAAAAAAAAGAATTACCATTTGATCTAGCAATTCCACTTCTAGGCATATACACAAAAGCATTGAAAGCCAATACTCAAGCAAATATTTGTATGCCAATGTTTGCAGCAGCATTATTCACAATAGCCAAAAGGTAGAAACAACCCAAATGCCCATTCACAGATGAGTGAATAAACAAAATATGTTACGTACAGTCATGCACCATATAACATCATTCCAGACTACACATTCGACAGTGGTCCCATGAGATTATAATACCATATTTTTACTGTATTTAGATACACAAATACCATTGTGTTACAATCACCTACAATATTTAATATAGTAACATGCTATGCAGGTTTGTAGCCTAGGAGCAATAGGCTACACCACATAGCCTAGGTGTATAGTAGGCCATACCATCCAGGCTTGTGTAAGTACACTCTACGATGCTCACACAATGATGAACTCACCTAATGACACCTTTCTCAGAACATTTCCCCATCGTTAAGTGACTCATGACTGTGCATACAACAAAATATTATTTAGCCATAAAAAGGAAATTCTGACACCACAACATGGATGAACCTCAAAGACAGGATGCTAAGTGAAATAATTCAGACACAAAATACCAAATATTGTATGATTCTACTTAGATGAGAGACCTAGCGTCATGAAATTCATAGAAACTGAAAGTAGAACAGTGGTTGTCAGGGCCTAGAGGAAGGAGGGAAGGGGACATTATTGTTTAATGGGTATGGAGTTTCAGTATGGGATGATGAAAATGTTCTGGCAATGGATGCTGGTGATGATTGCACAACAATGCCAACGTACTTAATGACACTAAACTATACATTTTTAAATGGCTAAAATGGTAAATTTTATGTTATGTATATTTTATCACAATCAAAAAGAAAAAATATTCAATCAACTAGGAATACAAGGAAACTTCCTCAACATGTTAAAGGCCATATATGAAAGACCCACAGCCAACATCATATTCAATAGTGAAAGGCTGAAAGCTTTTCCCTTAAGATCAGGAACAAGACAAGGTTGCCTGGTTTCACTTCTATTCCACATAGTATTAGAAGTTCTAGCCAGAGGAAATTAGGCAAGAAAAAGAAATCAGAGGCATCCAAATTAGAAAAGAAGTAGGCTGGGTGCAGTGGCTCACGCCTATAATCCCAACACTTTGGGAGGCCAAGGTGGGCAGGAGTTCAAGAACAGCCTAGCCAACATGGTGAAACTCCGTCTCTACTAAAAATACGAAAATTAGCCAGGTGTGGTGGCACATGCCTGTAATCCCAGCTACTCAGGAGGCTGAGGCAGGATAATCACTTGAACCTGGGAAACAGAGGTTGCAGTGAGCCGAGATCACACCATTGCACTCTAGCCTGGGTGACAGAGCAATGCTCAGTCTCAGGAAAAAAAAAAAAAGTAAAATATTAGGATCATTAAAATACTGAAGATATTAGAAAAATTAGCACATCTGATTGACCAATCCTTGTCTTTAAAAGTTGGCACTTGGCCAGGCACGGTGGCTCACACCTGTAATCCCAGCCCTTTAGGAGGCTGAGGCAGGCGGATCATGAGGTCAAGAGATCAAGACCAGCCTGGCCAACATGGTGAAACCCTGTCTCTACCAAAAATACAAAAATTAGCTGGGAATGGTGGCACGTGCCTGTAGTCCCATCTACTTGGGAGACTGAGGCAGGAGAATCGCTTAAACTTGGGAGACGGAGGTTGCAGTGAGCCAAGATCACGCCCCTGCACCCCAGCCTGGCGACAGAGCGAGATTCCATCTAAAAAAAAAAAAAAAAAAGTTGGCACTAAGCTGGGTACATGCTCATAATTCCAGCTACTCAGGAGGCTGAGGCAGGAGGATCGCTTGAGCCCAGGAGTTTCCGACCAGCCTGCACAATGCAGCGAGACCCCATTTCAGAAAAAAAAAAAAAAAAAGTTGATCTCTCAAAATTGTACTGGAAGTTCTGGCCAGGGCAGTTAGACAAGAAAATGAAATAAGGCATCTAGATTGAAAAGGAAGAAGCAAAACTATCTCTATTTGCAGATGACATTGTCTTATATGTAGAAAATCCTAAGAAGTCAACCTATTATTAGAATGAATAAATGAGTTCAGCAAAGTTGTAGGACACAATATATAAATATCAAATCTATTTCTATACACTTGGACTCAACAATATGATAATGAAATTAATTCCATTTATAATATCATCAAAAAGAATAAAATACTTAGGAGTAAAACAAAAACGTGTAAAACTTATACTCTGAAAACTACAAGACACTGTTGAAAGGAATTAAAGGTCTAAATACATGAAAAGATATCCTGGCTGGGTGTGGTGGCTCACGCCTGTAATCCCAGCACTTTGGGAGGCTAAGGTGGGCAGACTGCTTGAGCCCAGAAGGTTGAGACCAGCCTGGGCAACATAGCTAGACTCTGTCTCTAGTTTTGTTTTGTTTTGTTTTTTTAATGTATTAAAAAAATAAGATATCCCATGTTCCTGGATTGGAGGTCTTAATATTAAAATGGCAATATTCCCCAAATTGATCTGCTGATGAACACAATCCCTATAAAAATCCAGCTGGTTTCTCTGCAGAAATTGACAAAACGATCCTAAAATTCATATAGAAATTACAGGGACTCTGAATTTTTTCCCCAAACAAGCTTGAAAAAGAATAATGAAACAATCTTGAAAAAGAAGAGCAAACCTGAAAGACTCACACTTCCAGATTTTAAACCTAAAAACCTACATAACAAGCAAGTGCAATACTAGCAGAAGGATAGACATACAGATCAGTGGAATAGAGTTGAGTGTCCAGAAACAAACCGCATGCATGGAGGAAGGCAGCCTCTGATCTCCTGGCCAGACTGACTTCACTCACATACCCAATATCTTGGCAGACTGGAATCAACTGGGCTCCTCTCCCTCTCCACATAGACTTAGAGCCTTGCCGTATGGTCTCTCCTTTTACACAGTCAAACCTCTTATGTGGCAGTTTAGGGCTCTAATAACAAGTATTCCAGAGACCAAGGTGGAAGCTGCAAGGCTTTTATGGGCTCAGAAGTCATGGAGAATCGGCCAGGTGTGGTGGCTCACACCTGTAATCCCAGCACTTCGGGAGGCCGGGAGGCTGAGACCAGCCTGGCCAACATGGCAAAACCCCGTCTTTACTAAAAATACAAAAAATTAACCAGGCATGGTGGTGCGTGCCTGTAATCCCAGCTACTTGGGAGGCTGAGGCAGGAGAATTGCTTGAACTCAGGAGGTGGAGGTTGCAGTGAGCCAAGATCACACCACTGCACTTCAGCCTGGGCAACAAGAGCAAAACTCCACCTCAAAAAAAAAAAAAGTCATGGAGAATTGCTCCCACTGAGTTCTATTAGTAACACAGGGTTAGGCCATATTCACTGGCCTGGTGGAAGAGAGCTACACAAAGACATGCAGTTGATTCTTGTTATTTGCAGTAGTTATGTTCTAGAAAGTCACTGCAAACACCGAATTAGCAAATTCTGACCATTGCTCCCAGGGAATATGCAGGATTCGTTTCCTGCAAGCCTCTGGTCACGTTTTTCTCAAGAGATTAATCCAGAACCTTAGTCTATGTGTACTTCTGTTTAAAAACACGATAGTTAATACATATTGTTCATTCATTAACATTGAACTCATGGCCAGCAGCACAACAATTTGTGCCTGAAGCTTCTCCAACACATGTATTTTTTCTGTAAAGCACATCAGACTTCTCGCACTTTGGAACACGAGGCAGCACTTCAGCATTGTGCTTGGAGGGGTTTTTTGTTTGTTTTTGAAATGGAGTCTTGCTCTTGTTCCCCAGGCTGGAGTGCAACGGTGCCATCTCTGCTCACTGCAACCTCCGCCTCTGGGGTTATCGCGATTACTTGGAGGCCATTTTAAACAGCAAAATCACTAACAACACCCCCCCACCCAAAGTGTCACTAAATAGACCACAAAATGGGACGTTTGTTTACAGTATGAGAGCCAAAACAAGAAGCAAAGCGTCGACTTTGACCACTGCTGGGAATGGGAGTGTCAGTCAACTCAATGTTTTTACTACTCTGAACATGTCCACGAATGACCGCAAAAGCACTTCAAGTATTGATTTTGGGATTACAAATAAATTTTAGTGAGTAGGCTAATTTGCAAATACAGCATCCATGAATAACGATTCATAAATAATAAAGATATCAGGACTTGCTACAAGCTACTATGGCATGCAATAACAATTGTTTATGATCACCTTCCATATTATCACCTAACAAAAAGAATAATCTCAAATTTAATGCATTCACTTTTACATAATTCACAATTTTTACTATATGCCTAACTGCACTGTTTATTTCAGCTGACTTTTTTTTCATAGCATGACTTTCTTAAGGAAAGAATCATTGTTTTCACTCTCATTTTGATCTTTGCTCCTTAAACTGGCTACCTACTCCAGGGTATTTTTTTGTTGCAGCTCTGCCATCCAACGTACTTCTCCACAGTTCTAAAGCTCCACACCACATTTGTTGACAATATCAGAGCTAGCTGTGTTTGTGACCAAAGAAGCAGGAAAACAATTTTTTTCTTTGTATCACCTTCATGTTCAAAATGCACATCTTAGCAATATCTCAGCATGTATTATGTTGCAATGAAAAATACTTTGCTAGCTTCCATTTTTCTATTATTATTATTATTTTTTTTTTTTTTTGAGACGAAATCTTGCTCTGTCACCCAGGCTGGAGTGCAGCGGCACAATCTCGGCTCACTACAACCTCTGCCTCCTGGGTTCAAGCGATTCTCTTGCCTCAGCCTCTGGAGTAGCTGGGACTACAGGCGTGCACCACCAGGCCCGGCTAATTTTTTTGATTTTTTAGTAGAGATGGGATTTCACCATGTTGGCCAGGCTGGTTTCGAACTCCTGACTTTAAGTGATCCGCCCGCCTCGGCCTCCCAAAGTTCTAGGATTACAGGCTTGAGCCACCACGACCAGCCCTTGTTCTATTATTCTTGCCATAGATTCACACAATATTGTGTGACCGGAGGATCACTTGAACCCAGGAGGTTGAGGCCGCAGTGAGCTGTGGTTGTGCCACTGCACTCCAGCCTGGGTGACAGAGCGAGAGCCTGTCCCCCTCTCCCAGCCCCACTCCCCACCAAAAAAAGAGAGACTGAGGTTGCAATTACTTTCATGACCAAGTCTCAAAAGTCACAAACCATCATATGTGCTATATTCTATTTATTAGAAGTAACTCAAGTCTGGCCCACATTCCAAGTAAATATCTTTGTCATCTTATGGTTTTATTTATTTATTTTATTTTATTTTATTTTATTTTTTATTTTGAGATGAAGTTTCACTCTTATTGCCCAGGCTAGAGTGCAGTGGTGCAATCTTGGCTCACTGTAACCTCCTTCTCCGGGTTCAAGCGATTCTCCTATCTCAACCTCCTGAGTAGCTGGGATTATAGGTGCCTGCCACCACGCCTGGCTAATTGTTGTATTTTTAGTAGAGACGGGGTTTCACCATGTTGGCCAGGCTGGTCTCGAACTTCTGACCTCAGGTGATCCACCCGCCTCGGCCTCCCAAAGTGTTGGGATTACAGGTGTGAGCCACCTCGCCCAGCCTATCTTATGGTTTTAGTGCACCTTTATAAGAAGCCAAAAAGCAGTAATGTTTATGTGGGAAGTATTGAATGTCTGCTTCTGCTGGCTTTAACAGTAGCTTTATAGAGATATAATTCACATACCACTTAAAGTGTGCAATTCAGTTTTTAGTATATTCACAGATGTTATGTAACTATCACCACAATTTAATTCCCAGATATTGTCATCCCTACAAAATGAAACCTTATACCCAATAGCAGCCACTTCCCATTCTCTGTTCTCAGCCCCTGACAACCACTAATCTATTAATACTTTCTGTCTCTTTGGATCTGCCTATTTTGGTCATTTCCTATAAATGGAATTCTACAGTATATTCCTTTTGTGTTTGGTTTCTTTCATTTAGCATAATGTTTTCAAGGTTTACTATGTTATAGCATCTATCAGTACTTGATTCCTTTTTATGGCTGAATAATATTCCATTGTATGGATATACCACATTTTATTATCCATTCATCAGTTGATGTACATTTGGATTGTTTCTACTTTTTTTTTTTTTAGGCCAAAATTCTAGTTTATTTCAGCGTCAGCAATATCTTACCATTAAAAAAAAAAAATGCTAGCAAGGTGACGGAAGTCTCTACAGCGAGGCTAAGGGCTTGCCAGGTGGCCGACATCAGGGGTGCATGGCAGGCACTGGCCGGGCGATAAGTTAGGAAGCAGCAAGGGCTGGTGGTGGGTGCGGGCTGGGCAAGCATTAGGCCATAGGTGGCCTGGCCCTGGTGATGCCACTGCTCCATCTCAATGAGCAGCTTTATGACGCCCACCCGCATCTGCACCAGCACCACCTCTGAGAAGCCCCGGAGGTCAGCGTTGGAGACGTCAAAGACCCCACCCACCGCGGCCACGTCCACACCGTCTGTCCCTCACTTCTGAAGTCACAGCCTCTTTTTTTTTTTCCTTTTCTTGAGACGGAGTCTCTCTCTGTCGCCAGGCTGGAGTGCAGTGGCACTATCTCGGCTCACTGCAACCTCCGCCTCCTGGGTTCAAGCTATTCTTCTGCCTCAGCCTCTGGTGTAGCTGGGAGTACAGGCGCGTGCCACCACGCCCAGCTAATTTTTGTGTTTTTAGTAGAGATGGAGTTTCACCATGTTGGCCAGGATCGTCTTGATCTCTTAACCTCGTGATCTGCCCGCCTCGGCCTCCCAAAGTTTTGAGATTACAGGCGTGAGCCACCACGCCTGACTGTTTTTTGTTTTTTGTTTTTGAGACGGAGTTACGCTCTGGTCGCCCAGGATGGAATACAATGGCGCGATCTCCAGTCACCACAACCTCCACCTCCCAGGTTCAAGCCGTTCTTCTGCCTCAGCCTCCCGAGTAGCTGGGATTACAGGCATGTGCCACCATGCCCAGCTAATTTTTGGTATCTTTAGTAGAGATAGGGGTTTCTCCACGTTGGTCAGGTTGGTCTCGAACTCCTGACCTCAGGTGATCCGCCTGCCTCAGCCTCCCAAAGTGCTGGGATTACAGGCGTGAGCCACCGCGCCCAGCCACAGACTCTTTTTTTTTTTTTTTTGAGACTGAATCTCGCACTATCGCCCAGGCTGGAGTGTAGTGGCGTGATCTTGGCTCACTGCAACCTCTGCCTCCCAGGTTCAAGCGATTCTCGTGTCTCACCCTCCCAAGTAGCTGGGATTACAGGCATCCACCACCACGCCCGGCTAATTTTTGTATTTTTAGTACAGACGGTGGTTTCACCATGTTGGCCAGGCTGGTCTCGAACTCCTTGACCTCAAGTGATCCGCCCGCCTTGGCCTCCCAAAGTGCTGGGATTACAGGCATGAGCCACCGCGCCCAGCCTGAAGCCACAGCCTCTTAAGCACCTCCGAGAACTCGTGCTTGCCCAGGTGGGGCAGCCTGATGTGCACACTTGCCCCTGCAGCCCTGTGCCCAGGTTGGGAGGGCAGGTGAGGATGGAGCCCAGGTGAGGATTCCACATGAACTCGTCGTTCCTAGACTTGAAGAGTTTCAAACCGGGAGAGGCCGAGGCAGAAGCAGTAAATGCCTCCTTCGTTTGCCCCCCTGTTGCACGGAGATGGCCCGCAGGTGGTCCTCGTCGCCGCCCCACACCAGGAAGGTCTATACTGTCCTTGTGCCAGATGCCGCGGGCGTTGGGCCATGCCCGAGGCCAGGAGCAGGGGCGGTACAGGCTCGTGGAAGAGGAAGTGGCTGTCGAGGAGCTGCTGTTGCTGTTCCGCGTCGGTCCTGCTCCTGCGCGCGTCGTCCAGGCCCGCCAGGTCGCCGACCAGTCTCTAGGGCGTCCATCGCGGGACCCACGGGAGGCAGAAGTGGAGGCCGTGCGCACCGCGAGCTCAACACAGTTGGGGGCCAGGTGGCCGCCTCCCAGCAGGTTGTCGGGGTTGAGCTGGGTCTTGTGCTCATCGCTGGGCTTGTAGTGCGGTGCCGGTCCTCAAGGATGGGGCCGAAGAGATCCTTGAACACGTCGTAGGACTCCTCGTCGGCCGCCACGCGGCCCACGGCCCTGAGTACGGGTGGCCCGGGCTGTCCACGCGGGTCTGGATGGCGCCTCCAGCGCGAAGCCACCCCTGGCGCGCAGCTCCGCGTTCAGCTGGGGCAGCGCCTCGGCCACTGGGTCTTGGTGGCCGCTCAGGTCGGGAAACTCGTCCTGCGCCGGGAGGCGAGCTTCAGCGCCCCGCGGCTGTCGGAGAAGGGCATGTGCGGGCGCTCGGTGGGTCCGCAGCTCTGAGCGTGGCCACTTTTTAACTGTTATAAATAATTCTGCTATCAACATTCATATGTACACTTTTCTTATGAGCATATTCTTAGTATTGAAATTGTGGGATCATATGGTAACACTATGTTTTTGTTTTTGTTTTTTTCCAGACTGGAGTGCAGTGGCCCTATCTCGGCTCACTGCAAACTACCCCTCCCGGGTTCAAGCGATTCTCCTGCCTCAGCCTCTCGAGTAGCTGGGATTACAGGAGCCCGCCACAACACCCGGCTAATGTTTGTGTTATTTTGGCAGAGACGAAGTTTTACCATGTTTGTCAGGCTAGTCACTGACCTCAAGTGATCCACCCGCCTCGGCCTAACAAAGTGCTGGGATTACAGGCGTGAGCCACCCAGGTTCTATGTTTAAATTTGTAAAGAACTGCCTGTTTTCCAAAGGAGCTGCCCTATGTTTCTGTTTTCTCTATAGCAATCTTTGTTTTAAAATATTATTTTGGTTTTGAATTTATTTCTTTGGGTTTTTTTTTTCTTTTTGAGACGGAGTCTGGCTCTGTCACCCAGACTGGAGTGCAGTGGCGCAATCCCGGCTCACTGCAAGCTCCGCCTCCCGGGTTCAAGCCATTCTCCTGCCTCAGCCTCCCGAGTAGCTGGGACTACAGGCACCCGCCACCACACCCGGCTAATTTCTGTATTTTTAGTAGAGACAGGGTTTCGCCATGTTAGCCAGGCTGGTCTCGAACTCCTGACCTTAGGTGATCCACCCGCCTTGGCCTCCCAAAGTGCTGGGATTACAGACATGAGCCACCGCGCCCGGCCCTGAGCTCTTGGCTGTACCTTTTGGCTTTCTCGAAAAAACAAAAATGTGGCCAGGCACGGTGGCTCATGCCTGTAATCCCAGCACTTTGGGAGACCGAGGTGGGCAGATTGAGCTCAGGAGCTCAAGACCAGCCTGAGCAACGTGAGGAAATCCCGTCTCAACAAAAATTAGCCAGGCATGATGGCACACACCTGTAGTCCCAGCTACTCAGGAGGCTGAAGTGGGAGAATCGCCTGAGCCAGGGAGGTCGAGGCTACAGTGAGCTGTGACTGTGCCACGGCACTCCAGCCTTGATGACAGAGTGAGACCCTGTCTTAATCAAAACAACACAACAACAAAATACTGAAAAAAAAACAAAAATGATAAAGTTTGTTTTGCCACACTTGGGTGAAAAATAAATGAAACAAATTTTAATTCCTTAATTTAGCTAATGAGATTAAACCATATACACATATTTTAAAGGCCTAATTAAAAAAATTAAATGATTATTAGGAGCATCTTAATTCGGTGGTTCTGGCCCAGAGTCTCTCAGAAGGGAGTTGTAATCGCGCTGTTGGCCAGGGCTGAGCATCTGAAGGCTTGACAGGAACTAGGGGATGTGCTTCCAAGATGGCGCCAGCCCCTGGCTATTGGCAAGTGGCCTCATCCCTTGCCTCATGGACCTATCTATAGGGATGCCATAATGTCCTTGTGACATGTCAGCTGACTTCCCTGCCAACTGAAGTGATTCAAGAGAGAGGCCCACTTTGGGAGGCCCAGGAAGGTGGATCGTTTCAGTCCAGGAGTTGAAGACCACCCTGGGCAACACAGTGAAAACCTTTCTCTGCAAAAAAAAAAAAAAAAAAAGAAAAGAAAAGACAAGAAAAATTAGCTGGGCATGGTAGGGCATGCCTGTAGCCCCAGCTACTTGCGAGGCTGAGACAGGAGGATCACTTGAACCTGGGAGGTTGAGGCTGCAGTGAGATGTGATCGTGCCACTCACTCCAGCCTGGGTGACAGAGCAAGAGCCTGTCCCAGTCCGCAGGCCCCCCCAACCAAACAACAACAACAAAAAGGCTGAGAGTAAGGTTGCAATACTTTCATAACCAAGTCTCAAAAGTCACAAACCATCATGTCTGCTATATTCTATTTATTAGAAGTGAGTCAACAAGTTCGGTCCACATTGAAGGAAAGGAGAAAATTAAACTCCACTTTTTTTTTTTTTTTTTTTTTTGAGACGGAGTCTTGCTCTTTCGCCCAGGCTGGAGTGCAATGGCACGGTCTCAGCTCACTGCAACCTCTGCCTCACAGGTTCAAGTGATTCTCCTGTCTCAACCTCCTGAGTAACTGGGATTACAGGTGCCTGCCACCACACCTGGATAATTATTGTATTTTTAGTAGAGACGGGGTTTCACCATGTTGGCCAGGCTGGTCTCGAACTCTTGACCTCAGGTGATCCACACCCCCCCCCGCCCCCGCCCCACGGCCTCTGGGATTACAGGCGTGAGCCGCCATGCCCGGCTTTTTTTTTTTTTTTTTTTTTGAGACTGGATTTCACTCTGTTGCCATGGCTGGAGTGCAGTGACATGATCTCAGCTCACTGCAGCCTTAATCTCCCAGGCTCAAGTGATCCTCCCACCTCAGCCCCCGCCCCAACCCCATCCCTCCAGCTGAGACCACAGGCCCGAGACACCATGCCCAGCTGATTTTTGTTTTTTGTTTGGTTGGCTGGGTTTTGGTAGAGATGGGCTCTCGCCATGTTGCCCAGACTGGTCTCGAACTCAAGCTCAAGCAATCCACGTGCCTAAGCCTCCCAAAGTGCTGGGATTACAGGCGCGTGGTTTAAACTACACTTCTTAAAGGGAGACACGTCAAAGAATGTGTGGACATCTTTTAAAACCACTACACTGGCTGAGGTCAGGTGGCCTCAGTTACTTAGAGCGTGGGCTTCCCCATAGGACTGCTTAAGTATCCTTTTAACATAGCAACTGTTCTTCTACAGGGCACATTTTCCATCAGAGAACGGGAGGGAATCCACAACATCTTTTATAACTGAACTTCAAAACTCACACTCTGTCATTTTTGCAATATCCTATTAGTTACACAGGTCACCCCAGTCAGTGTGGGAGGGGACTAAATAAGGGCATGTATCCCAGGAAGTAGGGATCGTCTTGGATGCCGGCTTTCATGGGTACTCAAATGAAACAATAATTCCATCAGTGCATGCTGGGGAGAGGTCCATAGAGGAAGTGACAGAGAGATGGGCCTTTGGGGTCCCACTGACCTGGAGAAAAATGAGAAGGATCTGTGTAGGTCATCTGTCCTTGACCTGAAGACAGAAAGAAAGAACCAGGTTGGGTGCCAAAGAGTCCACTTTTCACTGGTTTTTGATCCTGTTTCTAACTTTGCTCAAGATCTTTCATGCTTGCTATTAAAGTGACTGCAGGTGCTTCTAATCTCACACTATGCAATTAGACCTAGCAGGAGGTTCTTTAATAATAAGTACTTGATGAATGAACCAAAATGGATATTCAAAGCCACTTTTTGTTCTCTCTTGTAATTAGGACCTGAGCTTCCCCCAGAGATTGGGAGAAATGAGATGTAGCCTCCACCTCTACACCTGTCACTGTTAACATTCAGGACACAAAGCCCCTATCAATGAGCCTTTTAAGGCTTTTACATTTTTAGTGGGAGGAGAGGAACAGTAGGAGCCTTAGCAATCTTTAAAATATAAACATAACCACTTATCTTACAAAATAGATCCTAGGCCGGGTGTGGTGGCTCACACCTGTAATCCCAGCACTTTGGGAGGCCGAGGCAGGTGGATCACCTGAGGTCAGGAGTTTGAGACCAGCCTGGCCAACATGGTGAAACCCCGTCTCTACTAAAAATACAAAAATTAGCCAGGCATGCTGGTGCATGCCTGTAATCCCAGCTACTCGGGAGGCTGAGGCAGGAGAATCACTTGAACCTGGGAGGCAGAGGTTGCAGTGAGCCGAGATTGCGCCACTGCATGCCAGCCTGGGCGACAGAGCAAGACTCCATCTCAAAAAAAAAAAAGAAAAAGAAAATAGATCCTGAGTTATAAATTATATAAATTAGAGGGGTTTGTGTTCTTTCTTGTTTGTTTTTTCACCAGAAGCTTTGGGAATCATCACAATGCTACAAATGTGGTCATCGCTTGTTTATTCTTTTAATTTTTTTTCTACAAATTTTATATATTTGCACAAAGGAATCATCTTTAAATAACAACAGTAACAAAAATGAATACAAATAATTGTCCAGCTGGGAGCAGTGGGCTCACATCTGTAATCCTAACAGTTTGTGAGGCCAAGGCAGGAGAATTGCTTGAGCCCAGGAATTTGAGACCAGCCTGGGAAACATAATGAGACTTTGTCTCTACAAAATATAATAAAATTAGTCGGGCATGCACATCGAGGCTGCAGTGAGCTATGATCATGCCACTGCACTCCATTCTGGGCAACAGAGCAAGACTTCATCTCGAAAAAAAATAAAATAAATAAATAAATAAATAAATAAATAAATAAATAAATAAAACAAAACCCCCAAAACTGTCCAGATGAAGATAAAGAGTATGAGAAGCCTTATTTTTGGCTAGAAAGAGTGCTTTTCTTCTCCTCCTACAGAGCTAATAACACACTGGGTGGGCACATTCATTGTTGAAAAGCCACAGGCTCAAAGCAGCTCAGGAGGCAGCCTCCTTTGTAGCTGGGTAACTCTAGACAGCCCAAGCCAGCCACCACCCTCGCTGAGCACTGAACTCAGCCTGCTGCCTGCCCTGGGCACAGAGGAGTCTCCAGGAGTCCCACACCTTGCTTTGCCTCCTTTGCTTTTCCCTTTCATGCTATTTACTATTTATTGGGCATCTACTTTGCAGCTTGTCCTTTATATTACTTGTCGTTCTTTCTCTCAAACCCTGCAAAGTGGAATCATGAGCCCCATCTTACAGTTAAGGAACATGAAACTCAGAGAGTATATAAATCAGGAATCAGAAATTTTGTGAAATAAAAACTCAACTCAAAATGGCTTAAGCAAAAAGAGTATTTCCTGGCTCACATAACCAAAAGAGCCAAGAATCTGATGGGCTTCAGGCACAGCTGGATCTATGCACTCATGTGAGCCATCAGGGCCCCATTTCTCTCTCTGCCCCTTGTTTCTGTACCCCTTGCAGGTAGGGTCTTCCTTATTGGTGTTGGAGGGATGGCTGGAATAGCCAAATACACTACATTTCATTAAGTGTGGCAGCCATGAAAATGCTCCACTTGGATTTCTTTTCAAAAATAACTTGCAGGCTGGTATGGTGACTCACACCTTTCATCCCAGCACTTTGGGAGGCTGAGGAGGAAGAATCACTTTGTTACTGGAAGGGGGTCCTGATCAAGACCCCAATAGAAGGTTCTTGGATCTCACGCAAGAAAGAATTCAGAGCAAGTCTATAAGGTAAAAGCAAGTTTATTAGGAAAGTAAAGGAATAAAAGAATGGCTACTCCATAGGCAAAGCAGCCCCGAGGGCTGCTGGTTGCCCATTTTTATGGTTATTTATTGATTATATACTAAGCAAGGAGTGGATTATTCATGCCTCCCACTTTTAGACCATATAGGGTGGCTTCCTGATGTTGCCATGGCATTTGTAAACTGTCATGGCACTGGTGGGAGTGTAGCAGTGAAGATGACCAGAGGTCACTCTGGTGGCTATCTCAGTTTTGGTGGGTTTTAGCCGGCTTCTTTACTGCAACCTGTTTTATCAGCAAGGTCCTTATGACCTGTATCTTGTGCTGACCTCCTATTCCATCCTGTGACTTAGAATGCCTTACCATCTGGGAATGCAGCCCAGTAGGTTTCAGCCTTATTTTACTGAGCCCCTATTCAAGATGGAGTTGCTCCAGTTCAAACGGCTCTGACAACTTGATGCCAGGAGTTTGAGAAGAGCCTGAACAACATAGCAAGATGCCATCCCTGTAAAAAAAAAAAAATAATGAGCAGGCATGATGTTGCACACCTATAATCCCACCTACTTGGGAGGCTGAGGCAGGAGGATCACTTGAGCCTGGGAGTTTGAGGCTGCAGTGAGCTGTTTGTGCCACTGCACCTGAGCCTATGCAACAGAGAAAGACCCTGTCTCAAAAAACAAAACAAAACCAAAAACACAAACACTTGCCATTCAGCTGCAAGGAGCGTAGTTAGTTACCAGCCTCCAGCTGTACCACCTTTAGGATTCATGCCTGGCTCAGTCAGCCACCAGCCAATGACCAGACATAGCAAAGTGTACCAGGGCCTGGTCATTTTTGCCTAATGCATGACTGTTGTAATAGGTAATCTTTGCTCCAGAGCTCGGCAGATAATGTAAGATCTGATTGTGTTCTGAGCCTCTCCCTGCCCAACCCTACTTCCTCCTCCTTTATCCTTCACAGCTCTTGCCCTTTCCCCCAAACACACCTCTGATACTTCAAACTCCATCTCTGCATCTTCCTTCCAGACACACTACACCTCACTGGTCCCCCATCCCCACTCACAGCAGCTTTCCTGGCTTTACCCATATTCCTTTGGATCTCTGTATGCTTTTCAGTTGCTCTGTAGAGTATAGCAGGCTAGTCAACCTTGTGGGCTGGTCAGAGGCATCTGCAACAGTTGTGACAGCTGCGGAAAAAAATGGATGCAAATTCTACAGCCTCAGAAGAAATGAGTGAAATTTTCCATGCTTGGTTTATTAGAGCTATTTCTGAAGTAAGACTTTTAGGACTTATAAAACCTACCAAATAGAAGACTGACCATTTGGCAAGGCTAACATGGGGCGGCTGCTAGAAAGCAAATGAGTGAAGCCAGAATATCATGTTGAGTTTAAGAGAAAAAGGAGGCCCGTCATATTTACATACCACTTACAGGAGCAGTTTTGGTGAGAAGAGAAATGTGTAATCCCTTGTGATGTTTAACCAGAAAGTATGTTGCTAACCCCAAACAGGTGTCTATCAAAACACCTGTGGAGTACTTTAGAATTCAACAAATAACATACATTATAATTAAAACCTCTCACACATTATTGCTGTACTTCTCACAAAGTCATTATTAAATTATGAGTAAAAATTTTTTTTTTCTTTGAGATGGAGTCTTGCTCTGTCATCCAGGCCAGAGTGCAGTGGCATGATCGCAACTCACTGCAACCTCTGCCTCCCAGGTTCAAGTGATTCTCCTGCCTCAGCTTCCCCAGTAGCTGGGATTACAGGTGCCCACCACCACACCCTGCTAATTTGTGTATTTTTAGTAGAGTTGGGGTTTCACCATGTTGGGCAGGCTGGTCTCGAACTCCTAGCCTCAACTGATCCGCCCATCTCAGCCTCCCAAAGTGCTGGGGTTACAGGCATGAGCCACCACGCCCAGCCTATAAGTAAATCATTCTTGAAGATACTTGGTTCAACCCAACATGCAAAAAGTCAAAGTGCCTGGGATGACTCCCCCACTTCTCCTCCTGCCCTCCCATTTGATCAATGACTGATAGGTCAGGAGTTCGATGCCAAGCTCTTGGCCTGCAGTCAGACCTCCTGAAACAACTTCCCCTTCAGAGTTGCCCTGCAGGTCAAGCTGGAGCTACCTCCACAGGTATGCCTGCGGTCACACCTGCTGGCTTCCTCTCCTCTGCCCTGCTCCCTGCTACTCCATTTTCCCTCTCCCCTGGGAGCACTCCTTAACGAGTCAGTCTCACCTGAATCCACATCTTAGGGAGTACTTCTCCAAACCCAACCAAGAACCAGCCCCTGGGGTTGGTGCCTGTGCAGGAGCTCTGGCCTACGGAGCCATCCTGCTGAGCTCCTGCCCTCTTCCTGTCCCATCAGTTCTGGAGGGTGGAAGCAGCTTCCTCCAATCACTGACCCTGGCCTGCTTCCCTGGACTTTGATTGTTTCCTTTGGTCCCTTCTCACACCTTTGTTAGTAGCCTATCATTAAACTCTCCCCAGGCATCCCTTTGTAGTGTACTACTGAAACCGCCTTTGCAAAATTTATAACTGAGGAAATTATGACAGTGAAAGAGATCAGACTTAATCCACTCTATCTTGCTTCTAACCTTTAAGCTCTCCTTTTTTTTTTTTTTTTTGAGATGGAGTCTCACTCTGTTGCCCAGGCTAGAGTGCAGTGGCACAATCTCAGCTCACTGCAACCTCTGCCTCCCAGGTTCAAGCAATTCTCCTGCCTCAGCCTCCCGAGAAGCTGGGATCACAGGTGCCCACCACCATGCCCGGTTAATTTTTGTATTTTTAGTAGAGACTGGGTTTCACCATGTTGCCCAGGCTGGTCTCGAACTCCTGACCTCAGGTGATCTGCCCATCTTGGCCTCCCAAAGTGCTAGGATTACAGGCGTGAGCCACCTCGCCCAGCCTAAGCTGTTCTTACTCATTCCTGGGTGTAGGCCGAACTAACCTTGGGAAGGAATTCAGTTTCATGGTTTGACTCTGAAACAAAATTGATAATAGCCCTTTCCTGAAAAGACCCCTTTTTGCCTGGGGCCCAGTCTGCCTTTGCCAGACTAACAAATTAGCTACAATATTAGAAATTGTGGTTTAGGGGTCATGCAGACTCTGGCTCCAAAGAGTCTGAACCTCTCCAAATTGCTCCTGGGGATAACATCACCATGTAAAACCTAAGATCAGTGCTTGAGATATTTTGCAGACCCTGCACTTGATGGATCAGCTGACACCACCAAGACCCGTAATCTGGCTCAACCAGTTCTGCCATCCCACCCAGGAACAGAAGACAGAAAGAAAACCTCACTTCGACCCCCTGCGATTCTATCTCCAACCTCAACCATCAGCACTCCCCACTTCCCAAGCCCCTATCTCCCAAATTATCTTCAAAAACTTCGATCCCTGAATGCTCTGATTTGAGTAATCATAAAACTTCAGTCCCCTGCACAGCCGGTTCTGCATGAATTACTCTTTCTCCATTGCAATTCCCCTGTCTAGGCAGGTCTAGGCAGTGGGAAAGGTGAACCCACTGGGCAGTTACACTACCTGCCTATTTTCTGCCAGAAACCTGAATCATAAATAGGACCATTACAGGATTTATTTTTAAAATATCCATCTATCCATCTTTTAAAAAAATCCATCTTTTTTTTTTTTTAAAGAGACAGGTCTCACTCTGTGGCCCAGGCTGGAGTGTGCAGTGGTGCTATCATAGCTCACTGCAGCCTCAAACTCCAGGGTTCAAGCAACTCAGCCTCACGAGTAGCTGGGACCACAGGGATGCACCACCATCTTTTGTAGAGACGAGCTTGCTATATTGCCCAGGCTGGCCTCAAACTCCTGGACTCAAGTGATCTCCGGGTCTCAGCCCCCAAGGTGCTGGGATTACAGACATGAGCCACCATGCCTGCCCTTAAATGTCTGTCTGTCTATCTATCTATCTAATCAATCTATCATAACACTCTAGAGATTTGGAATGAAACAGAAATTAATGTTGTGCAATGATTGCCCATTTTTGTCATCTAGTCAATTTGGCTCTGGGACTATATGTATAATAATCTGATTTAGAGATAATACTGAAAGTCTGATTTGAAGGTTCTTCCTGAATATGAAGGTAGAGGTACTGACCTACCCATTTCCCCCCAGATTGGCCCTCAGAAAGGCCTTTCAGCTGGAAACAGCCAGTAAACAATTTGCAAAAGCCGGCATCCGGCGCTAGATGGCAGCTGTGACCCACTGGTGTTGTTGCTCACTGAGGCCCATTAACAATTCCAGCTTGCCTGGCCCAGCAGGTTCACCATTTGCAGTCCAGCAAAAGCCAGCTCTCCTGCTGGCTCTCCACTCTCAAATCAGGGTTAGTCCACATTCCTCCAATGCAGAGGCAGTTCGTGATTTTCCAGCACTTTGGGTACCTGGAACTCCCTGCCCTGTCAGGGCCTGGGAAGGTTCCTATTGGTATCTCTCTCCAACCACCCTCCCTCAGTGCACCTGTTGCTAGACACTCAAACAAATGGAAACCCAAGGGTCAGGGTCTCTGAGGAGAAGACCAGAATACAGACACTTAGGGGGAACTCTCCTGGTGCAGGAAAGATTGCTGTGTTTGGGCTCTCCCTGGCTGGATGACCTCCATAATCGCTTTAGCTGGCCTCCCTTACCCTCTTTGGACTTAGCAAATGAGTGCCATTGGTCTTGCAAGTACCTGAAGCCCTGTGCAAACTAGCCTAAGCCATATAAAAAGATGGGATAGTTATTTAGTTAATAGCTTTTTTTTTTTTTTTGAGACATCCAGGCTAGAGTGCAGTGGTACTATCATGGCTCACTGCAGCCTCAACTTCCTAGGCTCAAGTAATCCTCCCACATCAGCCTCCTGAGTAGCTGGGACTACAGGTGCTCACCATGTTTTTGTTTTGTTTTGTTTTGTTTTGTTTTTGTTTTTGTTTTTTGTTTTTTGTTTTTGGTAGAGACGAGGTCTTCCTATGTTGCCTAGGCTGGAAACTCCTGGGCTCAAGCAATCCTCTGACCTCAGCCTCACAAAGTGCTGGGATTACAGGCATGAGCTACTTCACCCAGCCTAGTTAATAGCTTTAAAAGTCATAGGTGTGTTAATTTAGACACAACTGTAGCCACACGAGTTTCAGGTATGGCTGGATCCAGGTGCTCAAAAAAAATCAGAAATCAATTTGTCTTCATCTATCTCTACCCTTCTCTTTCAAGCACAATATCCAAAGTGCTGAAAGAAATGCAGGTCTTTCTTCCTAGTTATGCCAAGAATCCCAGACTTGACTTAAATTCAAACTCATTCCTAAATTAATCACATGGGAGGAGCCCTGGTAGATGACATACTCAATTTGGCTAGGTCAAGTGCCCATTATTAGAAAGAGGGGTAGGTCAGGATGAGAATGAGGGAGGCTTGGATCCTCCAAAAATCAGGGTCCTGCCACCTGGAGAAGACACAAGACAAACCAATTCATCGATGCCCACGATGACCAGAGAGCGAGTTTCCATCCCCCTCCCACTCACTTTCATCAGTTTACTCATTCGGTACACTTCAGGACGTCCTGAAAGCACTTCCAGCCCTCCCTCTCCCTTCTTCCCAGATAAAAGTCCTGCTTATCCAATCTCTGGGCGCTCCTATCAGACAGTCTCCTAACATTCTGTTTTTTTCCTTCAAAGCATTCTGTTTTTTCCCTTTATCAGTTCAAGATAATATTGTGATATGTGTGATTATTAACCTAGTGTGTAACTTTCCACTAGACCATAAACTTCAAAGGGACAAGGTCTTGGTGTCCCCAGACCCTCATACAGTAACTGGCACATAGAGGGTATTCAGGAAATGTACATTTGTTCATTCATTTGATAATTGTCTATTAGAAACTGAGGAAAATAAGTTCAATCTGACATAGTCCCTTTCTGGCCTCTACCTTAATGATGGAGGCAGACTAGTAAATCAATGATCACTGTCCAGTTGCAATGCTTTCTCCAAGAATGGTGAACTCAAGGGAGCCTGGGGAAGGAATATCAAAATCAGAGGGCTCCAACAGTGTTTCCCAGCAGAGTCATGACATTGGCCTAACTTTAGAAAAATGAGAAGGCATTAGAGAGATGAAGGAGAGGAAGAAGATTCCCTCTGAAGCGTATTCGAAAACATGGACATGTAACATAGCCTGATGTATTCTGGTGGGACTTGATGACCTTAGTCTCATTGTATTAACTCTCTAGAACAGGAAGTAACTATCTAGGAACTAGGTCCTTTAGATAAGCCAATGCCTTTTTTAAAACAGTAGAAAATAAAGGGGCAGACTGGGCTTGGTGGCTCACACCTGTAATCCCAGCACTTTGGGAGGCTGAGGTGTGAGCATTCCTTGAGGCCAGGAGATTGAGACCAGCCTGGGCAACACAGCAAGACCCCATCTCTTTAAATTTTTTTTTTAATTAGCTGGACATGTTGGCATGTGCCTGTAGTCCCAGCTACTTCAAAGGCTGAAGCAGGAGGACTACTTGAGCCTAAGAGTTTGAGGCTGCAGTGAGCTATGATCACATGGCTGCACTTCAGCCTGGTGACAGAGTGAGGCCCTGCCTAAAAAAACAACAGTAACAACAACAGAAAGGAGATTTATCAAAAGTAGTTTTTTTTTTCTTCTTTTCTTTTCTTTTTTTTTTTTTTTTAAGATAGAGTCTCACTCTGTCACCCAGGCTGGAGCACAATGGCACGATCTCGGCTCACTGCAACCTCCACCTCCCAGGTTCAAGTGATTCTCCTGCCTCAGCCTCCTGAGTAGCTGGGACTACAGGCGCACGACACCACACCTGGCTAATTTTTGTATTTTTAGTAGAGACAGGGTTTCACTATGTTGGCCAGGCTGGTCTCGAACTCCTGACCTTGTGATCCGCCCACCTCGGCCTCCCAAAGTGCTGGGATTACAGACGTGAGCCACTGCGCCCGGCCAAAAGTAGAATGTTTGTGGAAAAAGACTGGATACATAGCTGGGCGCGGTGGCTCACGCCTGTAATCCCAGCACTTTGGGAGGCTGAAGCGGGTGGATAACCTGAAGTCGGGAGTTCGAGACCAGCCTGACCAATATGGTGAAACCCCGTCTCTATTAAAAATACAAAAATTAGCCGTGCATGGTGGCCGGCGCCTGTAGTCCCAGCTACTCTCAGGAGGCTGAGGCAGGAGAATTGCTTGAACCTGGGAGGCGGAGGTTGCAGTGAGCCGAGATCGTGCCACTGCGCTCCAGCCTGGGAGACAGAGCGAGACTCCGTCTCAAAAAAAAAAAAAAAGACTGGATACAAAGAATATGGAGACAGTCTCTGATGATATCAGTGCCTGGTAGTAGGACCTTAGTAAACATGCAAATGCCTGGATAAAAGTAATTGGCATCGATATGGTTTGCTTTAAGCAGAGAACAAGCCAGCCAGGGATCTAGCCCATTAAGAATTCAAGCAGACTCCTAAAGGCACACAAAAGAAATAAAGGGTAAAAGAAATCACTTTAAAACAGGAAGATTTATATAACCCTGTCTGTGTAGAAGAAAAATGTTCCCAGTTTCGCATGCCATTCGCTGCCAGGATCTGAGATTGTTACTAAGAAAGAGATGGGAGGAGGGTGTTGAGGGAAATAAGATGCCAGGCCAGGACACAGGCACAGAGAATTTGACATTTAGGGTTTGAAAAGACCTGGAACAGAAGCCTCTTTTGCTTTTAAGGCTTCTCTTAATTGCCACATTTGAGGCCTGGGATTTATGAAGAAAGCACTTTTCAAAAGGACAATTTACACTTCATTATAGAGAAAGTTCAAGTGCAGTCCCCAATTTCCCCTCTAGTTGCAATCCTGAGCCATTTGTGGAGCAGCTGTGTCAAGTGGGGAGGAGAGCTATAAATGGTTTATAAATCAGTGCACGACGTCACAGATGGAAGCAGTTGCTGCTGCACCGGCTGGCAGCGAAATTGTGAATCAGTCTAAAGTTCTAGAACAATGTGAATCAAACCTCACAGTGAAATGCCCTTAATGGTATTCAACAGCTATGCCCTCACCCCCAGACCAGCCTCAAGGCAAACCACAACAGCCATGCCCTCACCCCCAGACCAGCCTCAAAGCAAACTACACCCCAGTGTGTGTGGGGGCCAAGGAGACTTTTACTTCACCCTTGGAAGGTTCACTGAAAAATCAGCTCACAAAAGGTAGGTTAATTGGAGAAGAAGCATGACATGTATACACAGGAGACTTCCAAATGAAGACCCAAAGATGCAGGGGAAGTTGTCCATTTTTGCGCTTAGATTCGACAAAGTCTGGACAGCCATGTAGAAATAGGATTGGGCAAAAAGGGTCTGCGCTAACGCTCGCTAATAGACAGAGTGGGGAAACCCAGCAAGATCTGTCGGTCTGGATTCTTCTTGGCCTCTCCAAGCAGCATTCCTTCCCTCTAGGTATGGGGCAGGATCCTCTTTCCAATAGGGATCTTATGACCTACAGTCAAACAGGGTAGGCCAGTTTTTTCACAGAATATTTTTAGGTTTTATGGCTGGCTTGGGGGAAAAAGGGTTTTGGTGTCTATGATCTGCCTTGAGGAAGAGGGATTCTAGTTTCTATAACTAGTTCCTGGGGAGAATGGGCCTAAAAGACAGGAGGGCAGAAGGTCAGTGAAAACCTTTAGCCTCTGAGGCTGCTTCTGCAGCCTTCGTCTTGGGGTATCATTTTCTGAGCTCCAACACATGCAAAGGGGTGATATCTGGAAGTTGCTCATTGCAGACTAAGATGGGTAAACTGATGAAAGGAGTCACTTCAAGCCACAGCATCACTGTCCTAGGCCAAAGGAACACTGCCCTTTGTTGAAAACTTGCTGCATTAGGAATTTCCCCTATTCTCTCCTAAGGATCATGAAATCTCAATAATGGCAAAGATATCTAGATCTTGTTGCATGCCAGTCAGAGTTCTAAGTATTTTATATATATTAAATCAATTTTATGTCAATAATTTTATGAAGGTGAGGCCATTATCTCCCATTGTACAGGTGAGGAAACTGAGGCACAGAGATTGGTAACTTACCCAAGGTCACATACCCTAAATGGTAAAGCCATTGTTAGAACCAAGGTGGTTTGGCACCACAGTACACACCCTCAACCACTGTGACATGCTGCCTCTTGGCACCGCAGTACACACTTTCAACCACTGTGACATGCTGCCTCTTTTTGTTATTGTCGTTAATTCAATTTTTTAAAAAATTGAGGCGGGGGCTAGAAGCGGTGGCTTATGCCTGTAATCCCAGCACTTCGGGAGGCCAAGGTGGGCATATCACTTGAGGTCAGGAGTTCAAGACCAGCCTGGCCAACATGGCAAAACCCCATCTCTACTAAAAAATACAAAAATTAGCTGGGTGCGGTGGTGGGTGCCTGTAATCCCAGCTACTCAGGAGGCTGAGGCAGGAGAATCGCTTGAACTGGGAGATGGAGGTTGCAGTGAGCTGAGATCGCGCCACTGCACTCCAGCCTGGGCGAAAGAACGACACTCTCCCTTAAAAAAAAAAAAAATGAGATGGGGTCTTGCTACATTGCCTAGGCTGGTCTCAACTCCTGGGCTCAAGAAATCCTCCCACTTCTACCTTCCAAAGTGCTGGGATTACAGGTGTGAACCACCATGCCTGGCCCTGTGTGTGTGTGTGAGACAGGGTCTCACTGTCGCCCAGGCTGGAGTACAGTGGTGCAATCTCGGCTCACTGAAACCTCTCCCTCCTGGGTTCAAGTAATTCTTGTGCCTCAGCCTCCCGAGTAGCTGGGATTACAGGTTCCTGCCACCACGCCCAGCTGATTTTTGTATTTTTAGTACAGACGGGGTTTCACCTTGTTGGCCAGGCTGGTCTTGAACTCCTGACCTCAGATGATCCGCAAGCCTTGGCCTCCCAAAGTGCTGGGATTATAGGTGTGAGTCACTGTGCCCTGCCCTTTTTTTTTTTTTTCAAATTGAGGCTGCTGCCTTTCAGAGGGGGTGCCATCTGAGCTATGCTGAGCTATCCCTTGTCACATCCCCCCTCCCTTCCTCTTCATTCAAGGAATTCTGATGAGGCTGCCATCTTCATTGGTAACCAGCAGTGGAGACTTTGACTAGGTATGAGCCAGTCGGACATCAGCCTTGCCCTGACCTCAGTGATGTGGGCGGGACCCAGGCTGGGGCTGTGATGCAGTGAGAACCAGTGAGTCACGATGAGACTTTTCCTGAGGCCTCTGAAGTTCTCTGTTCTCTGCTGATTTTGGATGGCAGGGAGTTCAGCAAGGATCTACTGGAGCCCTTTCACTACATGAGGGGAAGCTGCCTGAAGGGAAGTCGACAAAAACAGAGAAAATAGCAAAAAGGGGACCTGGGCTGCAGACCAGGACCCACAGCAGTGACTGGGGCATCACCAAGAGCACATAGTGTTGGACTCATGTCACATAATATAAATGGGCCCTGAGACTGGGAAGGGCAATATTGCCATCACCTCATTTGAATCCTGAATCCAGCCACTCCTGAAGTGTCAAATACCTCCACACTCCATGAGCCAATGTATATGTTTTTAAAAGGCAATATGAGTGGGGTTTTCTGCCACTTGAATAATAATGCATCCTAATCAAAACAATCTCAATGAGCCTAGCAAAAACCGAGCCAGAAAGCCCATTAGTTACCAATGCTGGGATGGAACAGTAAGTCTGTCAGTCAAAAATGAAACTGTGAATCAAGGTCCTCACCATGCTAAACAACAGAGAAAGAGCCAGGAACATGTTTCTAAAATCCTCAACCATTCTCAAGCTTTACATTTTTGTACAAATGGAGAATGGCAACAGCACAGATAATCCCTCACAACTGCATTAAAGGATTCACTTTCATGATTGCATTTCACTCTGGTTAATGTTAAAATGACTATGTCCCATCCTCAGCAGACTCCGGTGCATGGTCCTCAGCCCTGCTGAGATGGCATTTAAGTCAGCCAGGCATCCAAAGGGAACCCAGAGACAAGGGGACTTTAGCCTCATCTATGTGTTCATCTCTTATGAAGGAAGGTCATATAATTGAAAGTTATCTTTAAAAAGTTGAAGTCAGGGGCTGGGCATGGTGGCTCACGCTTGTAAATCCCAGCACTTTTGGGAGACCGAGATGGGAAGATCACTTGAGCTCCGGAGTTCAAGACCAGAGGCTTGGCAAAATAATGAGACCACATCTCTACAAACATGAAAAATAAAAAAATTATCCAGGTGTGGTGGCGTGTGCCTGTAATCCCAGCTACTCAGGAGGCTGAGGCAGGAGGATCACTTGAACCCAGAGGTCAAGGCTGCAGTGAGTTGTGATCACACCACTGCACTCTAGCCTGGACAACACAATGAGACCCTGTCTCAAAATTAAAAATAAAAATAGGCCAAGCATGCTGGCTCACACCTGTAATCCCAGCACTTTGGGAGGCCGAGACAGGCGGATCATCCGAGGTCAGCAGTTCAAGACCAGCCTGACCAACACAGAGAAACCCCGTCTCTACTAAAAACAAAAAAAATTAGCCAGGCATGATGACATATGCCTATAATCCCAGCTACTCAAGAGGCTGAGGTAGGGGAATCACTTGAACCCAGGAGGCAGAGGTTGCGGTGAGCCAAGATCACACCATTGCGCTCCAGCCTGGGCAACAAGAGCTAAACTCCATCTCAAAAATAAATAAATAAATAAATAATAAAAATAAAAATAAAAAGTTTGAGTTAAAGAACAAGTCATATAATTACACTATCTTAGATGAATGTTTTTATACTTTTTTTTAAAGTAGTGGAACCCTCAAATAAAACCTGATATGAAACACTGTAATAAACATGTGTTATGTTTTGCCTTCTTTGGGTGTAGAATCTAATATAAGGTAGCTTGCTTCCTGGGAACCACATCCTATTCACATCTGAGTGTGGTTCCAGCACATGGTCCTGGCCTGGCCATGGGGGCAAATATAATAATTTGCTTCCTGAGCTCTCATGGTTCTTTTTCCCTTCATAATTCTGGAAAGACACAGCAGTGGTATAGTTTTTTGATCTCCTAGAATCCACCTTGCAGGAAAAAAAAAAAAAAAAAAAAAGGCAGAGCAACTAGATGGTAAAACCAAAAACCTATGAAGAGCATTTTCAACAAAGCCAGATTATAAGGTATCCCCATGAACTGTAAAAGGTAAGAGCATGACGACAACAATTCCCACCACTATAAGATCTATATGATATTCGCATTTATATAGAATAATGCAGAGGGAAGAGATAGGGCACCTCAGGGGCCAGCAAACAGGTCTTCGCAGGAGGGCAGAGTGAGCCAAACTGAGAAAAGCAGCTAAAGTGGGAGGTGTTCTGCATGCTTCAATATGGGTGAGTACAAGGAGTCTCTGATAAGACTGGAGGGGTTGGAGCAATTGAGGCAACATCAACTTTTTTTTTTTTTTTTTTTTTGAGACGGAGTATTACTCTGTCACCCAGGCTGGAGTGCAGTGGCGCAGTCTCGGCTCACTGCAAGCTCCGCCTCCCTGGTTCACCATTCTCCTGCCTCAGCCTCCCGAGTAGCTGGGACTACAGGTGCCCGCCAACATGCCCGGCTAATTTTTTTAATTATTATTATTTTTAGTAGAGATGGGGTTTCACCGTGTTAGCCAGGATGGTCTCAATCTCCTGACCTTGTGATCCACCCGCCTCAGCCTCCCAAAGTACTGGGATTACAGGCATGAGCCACCGCGCCCGGCCGCAACATCAACTTTTAAAGCAATTGTCTTAGTCCTTTTGTGTTGCTATGAAGAAAGACCTGAGGCTGAGTAATTTATTAAGAAAAGAGGTTTATTTGGCTCACAGCTCTGCAGACTGTATAAGAAGCATGACGCCAGCATCTGCTTCTGGTGAGGCCTTAGGAAGCTTCCACTCATGGCTGAAGGGGAAGGGCAGCCAGCATGGGCAGAGATCACATGATGAGAGAGAGCAGCAAGAAGAGAGAGGAGGAGGCACCAGGCTCTTTATAACAACCTACTTTCTTGGGAACTAGTAGAGTAAGAACTTACTCATTACCACAAAGAGGTCACCAAGACATTCATGAGGGATCCACCCCCATAACCCAAACACCTCCTGTTAGGCCTTGCTGCCAACGCTGGGGATCAGATATCTTTTTTTTTTTTTTGAGACGGAGTCTCGCTCTTTTGCCCAGGCAGGAGTACACGGCACAATCTCGGCTCAAGTGATTCTCCTCCCTCGGCTTACTGAGTAGGTGGGATTACAAGTGTGAGCCACCACGCCCAGCTAACTTTTGTATTTTTAGTAGAGACAGGGTTTCACCATGTTGGCCAGGCTGGTCTCAAACTCCTGGCCTCAAGTGGCCTCCTAAAGTGTTAAGATTACAGGCGTGAGCCACTGCCCGGCTGGGGATCAAATTTCAACATGAAGTTTGGAGGTTTAAATATTCAAGCTACAGCACTAATCAACCAAGCTCCCTTCCACAAAACAGATAAACAGTATAAACTAGTATTTTGAAACTAGCTAAAAGACATTTTGAAAGATACAAAGAACAACATACATACGTAAATCAGAACTAGAAAAATATAGCAATTAGGTGATAAAACTCAAGGAAAAAATAGTAATAAATAAAAAATTTATTTCAGAAATGAAACTAAACCAGAAGGAAAACAAAAGTAAATAAATAAGCTGGGCACAGTGGCTCACACCTGTAATCCCAGCACTTTGGGAGGCTGAGGCAGGAAGATTGCTTGAGCTCAGGAGTTTGAGCAACATAGTGAAACCCCATCTCTACCAAACATTAAAAAAAATTAGCCCGGCATGATGGTGTGTGCCAATAATCCCAGCTATTCCGGTGGCTTAGGTGGGAGGATCACTTAAGCACAGACTTCAGTGAGCTGTGATTGTGCCACTGTACTACAGACATAGTGAGGCCCTGTCTCAACAACAACAACAAAAAAGTAGATAAATGCTACAAGTATTGCCTGATAAGAAATAGAAGGTGAAAAAAATTAAAATTGAAAATAAGGAAAAAAGAAAACAAAAAGTATGTGCAAAAAAGTGACAAATATTGAAGCCATGCAAATAAGATCTCTGAAAATAATTAAAAATCTAAGCTATTGGAACTCTAAATTATTTTGAGCCTTAGAGGAATGTTACCTGACAGGCAACTGTAACTTAGGCAGCTGTAACCCTTTGCTTCTGATTATAGATTAGTCTTATTACTTACCTACATTGTTTTGTAAAATGTTTCAAATGACTAAAGGGCATCAGGAAAGACTCTTCACTGTTGATCTTCATTATAGATTGACTTCCCTCTTACCTTTCTCACATAGACTTTTTGGCCATCACATTGTCATAAAATGGAATGCTAAATACCTTAAATTGGAAAGGAGGGCCAGGAGGTGGCTCACACCTGTAATTTCAGCACCTTGGGAAGCCTAGGTGAGAGGATTTTTTGAGGCCAGGAGTTTGAGACCAGCCTGCTCAACAGTGAGATCCTATTTCTTCTTATTATTTTTTTAAAAATTAACCAGACATGGCGGCAAGCACCTGTAGTCCCAGCTACTCAGGAAGCTCAGGTGGGAGGATCCCTTGAACCTGGGAGGTCAAGGCTGCAATGAGTCATGTTTGCACCATTGTACTCCACCCTGGACGAAAGAGGAACATCCTGTCTCAAAAATAAATAACTATGTAGGAAAGGAAATGAAAACCAGTTGTAAAGAAAAGAAACCAAGCCATATAGAAAAGGAAAGAAGCTGTAACTAAATGGTTGTTAACTCATGAACCAGCCTCATATAGAAAATGATCCTACTTCTTTGTTTTCTGCCTACTTAAGCAAGAACTTAACTCTCAACTTCAGAACACTGACCCCATTTCCCTACACGCTGTGTCTCCCAGATAGTCATTCCCAACATTTTGCTTTAATAAACTCTTTAAAACTGGATTCTGGGCGGGGCACGGTGGCTCACGCCTGTAATCCCAGCACTTTGGGAGGCCGAGGCAGGCGGATCACGAGGTCAGGAGATTGAGACCATCCTGGCTAACATGGTGAAACCCCATCTCTACTAAAAATACAAAAAAATTAGCTGGGCGTGGTGGTGGGCGCCTGTAGTTCCTGCTACTCGGGAGGCTAAGGCAGGAGAATGGCGTGATCCTGGGAGGCGGAGTTTGCAGTGAGCTGAGATAGTGCCACTGCACTCCAGCCTGGGTGATAGAGTGAGACCCGTCTCAAAAAAAAAAAAAAAAAAAAACTGGATTCTGATCCTTTTGATTATTTCAGATTGGCAGTTCCAACATATTATAAATAGAAGTAACTGCAAAAGAAAACCAGATTAAAGGAACAATGTGGCAAATACCAAAAACTATAATTGGTTTTGTTTGTTTGTTTGTTTTTTGAGACACAGTCTCACTGTATTGCCCAGGCTGGAGTGCAGTGGTGTGATCTTGGCTCACTGCAACCTCCACCTCCCAGGTTCAAGCGATTTTCCTGCCTCAGCCTCCCAAGTAGCTGAGATTACAGGTGTGTCCCACCACACCCAGCTAATTTTTATATTTTTAGTAGAGACAGGGTTTCACTATGTTGGCCAGGCTGGTCTTGAACTCCTGATTTAAGTGATGCCCCAGCCTCAGCCTCCCAAAGTGCCAAGATTACAGGCATGAGCCACCATACCCAGCTCAAAACCTATAATTCAAGACAACTTTCTTAAAGATTACATATTGGCTGGGCATGGTGGCTCATGCCTGTAATCCCAGCACTTTGGGAAGCCAAGGCAGGTGGATCACTTGAGCTCAGGAGTTGGAGACCAGCCTGGGCAACATGGTGAAAACCCATCTCTACAAAAAATACAAAAAGTAGGTGGGTGTTGGGGCACACACCTGTAGTCCCAGCTACTCAGGAGGCTGAGGCAGGAGGATTGCTTGATCCTGGGAGGTTGAGGCTGCAGTGAGCTTATTGCACCATTCCCTCCAGCCTAGGTGACAGAGTAAGACCCTGTCTCCAAAGAAAGGAAAGTGTGAGCCAAGATTTTGTATCTGAGTATAAGGGACACAAACACTAACAACCTCTCAACGTGCAAAAACTCAGGCATCTTGCTTATAATCATGGTCACTTTGAGGGAGGGATGGTTATGATTGGGATGTGGTATGTGGATAGTTTCAGAGGTAGCTGGAAGTTCTATCTCTAGTCCTGAGTTGTAGCTGTAAGGGTGTTCATTTTTAATAATTTACCATATGTATGTTTGGTGTTTTTTAAATATCTGTGTTATGTTATATAATAAAAAGTTTAAAAAATAATGATGAAATAAAATATATAATAATTACATTAGGGAAACTTGAATATGGACTGGGGTAGTATTATGAAACTATTGTTAAATGTGTACATATAATATAATGGTATTGTAGTTATGGAGTAGAATGTTCTTATTTTTGGAGATACATATTGAAGAATTTACTATAATTTATTTTAAAGGCTGGGCATGGTGACACATGCCTATAATCCCAACTACTCAGGATGCTGAGGCTAGAGGATGGCTGGAGCTCAGAAGGTTGAGGCTGCAGTGACCCCTGATTGCATCACTGCACTCCAGTCTGGGCAACAGAGCGAGACTCTGCCTCAAACAAACAAACAAAGAAACAAGCTTGGAGTGTCACCAGCAAGATGGTGGACTAGAAAGCTTCAGGTCCTTGTTTCCACTATGGAAACATTAAATGAACAACTAGAAACTGGCTAAAATAACTTAATAGGGACTGTGGAAATCAATAAAAAGACCAGCAACTGAGTGAATGCACATCTAAGAAAAAGCCACATTAAAAATGGAAGGAGCCTGGCATGATGGCTCAGGTCTGTAATCCCAGCACTTTGGGAAGCCGAGGTGGGCGGCTGACTTGAGCCTATGAGTTTGAGACCAGCCTGGCCAATATAGTGAAACTCCATCTCTACTAAAAATACAAAAACTAGCCAGGCATGGTGGCACATGCCTGTAGTCCCAGTTACTCAGGAGGCTGAGGCAGGAGAATGCTCAAGCCTGGGAGGTAAGAGGTTGCAGTGAGCTGAGATCACACCACTGTGCTCCAGCCTGGGCAACACAGCTAGACTCTGTCTCAAAAAAAAAAAAAAAAAAAAAGGAAGGAAGTTTCATGTTTTGTTTACTGTATTAGTTTGTTTACACATTGCTAATAGAGACATACCCAAGACTAGGTAATTTATAAAGAAAGGAGGTTTAATAGACTCATAGTTCAGCATGGCTGGGGAAGCCTCAGGAAATTTACAATCATGGCAGAAGGGGAAACAAACACATCCTTCTTCACATAGCAGCAGCAAGGAGAAGTGTAGAGCAAAGGGGGCGGAAAGCCCCCTGTAACACCATCAGATCTCGGCCGGGCACAGTGGCTCACACCTGTAATCCCAGCACTTTGGGAGGCCAAGGTGGGTGAATCATGAGGTCAGGAGCTCAAGACCAGCCTGGCCAACATGGTGAAACCCCATCTCTCCTAAAAATACAAAAAATTAGCTGGGCGTAGTGGCGGGCGCCTGTAATCCCAGCTACTCAGGAGGCTGAGGCAGGAGAATCACTTGAACCTGGGAGGTGGAGGTTGCAGTGAGCCAAGATTGCGCCACTGCACTCCAGTCCAGGCAACAGGGTGAGACTCCATCTCAAAATAAATAGACAAGTAAATAAATAAATAAATAAATCCATTAGATCTTGTGATAACTCACTCACTATCATGAGAACAGCATGGAGGTAACCACCCCCATGATTTAATTACCTCCCACTGAGTTCCTCCTACGACACATGGGGATTATGGGAACTACAGTTCAAGATGAGATGTGGGTGGGGACAAAGTCAAACCATATCATTCTGCCCCTGGCCCCTCCCAAATTTCATGTCCTCACTTTCAAAATGCAATCATGCCTTCCCAACAGTCCCTCAAAGTCTTGACCCATTCCAGCATTAACTCAAAAGTCCAAGTCCAAAGCCTCATCTGAGACAAGGCAAGTCCTTTCTGCCTATGAGCCTGTAAAACCAAAAGCAAGTTAGTTACTTCCTAGATACAATGGAGGTAGAGGCATTGGGTAAATACACCCATTCCAAATGGGAGAAATTAGCCAAAACAAAGGGACTACAGGCCCCATGCAAGTCCAAAATCCAACAGGGCAGTCACTAAACCTTAAAGTTCCAAAAGATCTCCTTTAGCTCCATGTCTCACATCCAGGTTATGCTGATGCAAGGGGTGAGTTCCTACCACCTTGGGCAGCTCCACTTTTTTGGCTTTGCAGGGCACAGCCCCCTCCCGGCTACTTTCATGGGCTGGTGTTGAGTGTCTGCAGCTTTTCCAGGTGCATGGTGTAAGCTGTCGGTGGATCTACCATTCTGGGGTCTGGAGGATGGTGGCCCTATTCTCACAGCTCCATTAGGCAGTGCCCCAGTGGAGACTCTGTGTGGGGGCTCCAACCCCACATTTCCCTTCCACACTGCCCTAGCCGAGGGTCTCCATGAGGGCTCTACCCCTGCAGCAAAATTCTGCCTGGACATTCAGGTGTTTCCATACATTCTCTGAAATCTAGGCAGAGGTTCCCAAACCTCAATTCTTGACTTCTGTGCACCCACAGACTCAACACCATGCAGAAGCTGCCAAGGCTTTGGCTTGCACCCTCTGAAGCCATGGCCCAAGCTGTACCTTAACCCCTTTTAGCCATAGCTAGAGTGACTGGGATGCTGGGCACCAAGTCTTGAGGCTGCACGCAGTAGGGGGGCTCTGGACCCAGCCTAGGAAACCATTTTTTTCTCCTAGGCCTCCTTCCAGGCCTGTGATGGAAGGAGCTGCCATGAAGGTCTCCGACATGCCCTGGAGACATTTTCCCCATTGTCTTGGTCATTAACATTTGGCTCCTTGTTACTTATGCAAATTTCTGCAGCAGGCTTGAATTTCTCCTCAGAAAATGGGTTTTTCTTTTCTACTGCATCCTCAGGCTGGAAAATTTTCAAACTTTTATGCTCTGCTTCCTCTTGAACACTTTGCTGCTTAGAAATTTCTTCCACCAGATACACTAAATCATCTCTCAAGTTCAAAGTTCCACAGATCTCTAGGGCAGAGGCAAAATGCTGCCGGTCTCTTTGCATAGTAACAGTGACCTTTGCTCCAGTTCCCAACAAGTTCCTCATCTCCATCTGATCACACCTCAGCCTGGACTTCATGGTCCATATCACTATCAGCATGTTGATCAAAGCCACTCAACAAGTCTCTAGGAAGTTCCAAACTTTCCTACATCTTCCTGTCTTCTGAGCCTTCCAAGTCTCTATGAAGTTCCAAACTTTCCCACATTTTTCTGTCTTCTTCTGAGCCCTCCAAACTGTTCCAACTTCTGCCTGTTACCCAGTTCCAAAGTCGCTTCCACATTTTTGGGTATCTTTACAGCAGCGCCCCACTCTCTGTGGTACCAATTTATTGTATTAGTCTGCTCTCATGCTGCTAATAAAGACATACCTAAGACTGAGTAATTTATAAAGAAAAGAGGTTTAGAGGCTAGGTGCAGTGGCTTCATGCCTGTAATCCCAACACTTTGGGAGGCTGAGGCGGGTGTATCATGAGGTCAGGAGTTCAAGACCAACCTGACCAACATGGCAAAACCTTGTCTCTACTAAAAATACAAAATTAGCCAGGCTTAGTGGTGGACACCTGTAATCCCAGCTACTCAGGAGACTGAGGCAGGACAATCGCTTGAACCCAGGAGGTGGAGGTTGCAGTGAGCGGAGATCATGCCATTGCACTCCACCCTGGGCAACAAGAGCAAGACTCCATCGGCAAGGCAAAGCGTTTAGGTCAGGCACGGTGGCTCACGACTGTAATCTTAGCACTTTGGGAGGCTGAGGCAGGCAGATCACAAGGTCAGGAGATCGAGATCACACTGGCCAACATGGTGAAACCCCCGTCTCTACTAAAAATACAAAAAAAATTAGCTGGGTGTGGTGGTACATGGCTGTAGTCCCAGCTACTCAGGAGGCTGAGGCAGGAGAATTGCTTGAACCCGGGAGGCAGGAGAATTGCTTGAACCCGGGAGGCAGAAGTTGCAGTGAGCCTAGATCGTGCCATTGCACTCCAGCATGGCGATGGAGCAAGACTCCATCTCAAAAAAAAAAAAAAAAAAAAAGAGGTTTAATTGACTCACTGTTCAGCATGTCTGGAGAAGCCCCTCAGGAAACATACAAGCATGGTGGAAGGGGAAGCAAACACGTCCTTCTTCACATGGTGGCAGCAAGGAGAACTACAGAGCAGAGCAGGGGAAAAGCCCCTTATAAAACCATCAAATCTCGTGAGAACTCACTTACTATCATTAGAACGGCATGGAGATAACCACCCCCATGATTCAATTACCTCCCACTGGGTCCCTCCCATAACATGTGGGGATTATGGGAGCTACAGTTCAAGATAAGATTTGGGTGGGGACACAGCCAAACCATATCACTTGCCCTACCTGTGTTTATGCCACCGAACTCCAGCTTGGGTGACAGAGTGAGACCCTGTCTCAAAAAAAAAAAAAAAAAAAACCAAGAGCAACAACAACAAACCCTCAAACAATGGAATTGGCTGGAGCATTTCTTCATCTCTGAGAGGCTCTGACCATAATAGGGTTCTGGATACTCTAGACTAGTACAAGATTGTCAGGTCTTTGTAAAATTTGTATTTTTCTCATATTTTTTGGTATACTCTGTTTCCCCAAACTGTTCAAAAGCTGAGATCCTCTGCTCTCTGTGTCCCGAGGCAACAAGAAAGGAGAGCTCTGCATTGGTGGCCAAACTGTCTAACCAAGTATCTAATCCAGCAAGCTGAGTACCTGAGTCTAAGGCAAAAAAGAAAAGCTAAGGCTGGGTGTGGTGGCTCACACCTGTAATCCCAACACTTTGGGAGGGTGAGGCAGACAGATCACGTGAGGTCAGGAGTTTGCAACCAGCCTAGTCAACATGATGAAGCCTCATCTCTACTAAAACTACAAAAAATTAGCTGGGCATGGTGGCACGTACCTGTAGTCCCAGCTACTCGGGAGGCTGAGGTGGGAGAATGGCGTGAACCAGGGAGGCGGAGCTTGCAGTGAGCCGAGATCATGCCACTGCATTCCAGCCTGGGTGACACAGGGAGACTCCATCAAAAAAGAAAGAAAGAAAGAAAGAAAGAAAGAAAGAAAGGAAGGAAGGAAGGAAGGAAGGAAGGAAGGAAGGAAGGAAGGAAGGAAGGAAGGAAGGAAGGGAAAGAAAGAAAAGCTGGGAGCTGGAACCAGAGCCTTGCAGCTAGATGAACACATCCAGCTCATCCCCAGCTTATGAGCTGGCACTTTTCTTTGCACTTGTAGGGAAGGAGCCTGTGGCCAGCAGCCCCTGGCCTCATCTGTCTGGGGCTTGCTTGCATCACTGCCGTATCATCTATCACAAACAGTCCTCAAAAGCCTATCCTTGGCTGGGTGTGGTGGCTCATGCCTGTAACCCCAGCACTTTGGGAGGGTGAGGCAGGCCAATTACCTAAGGTCGGGAGATCAAGACCAGTCTGACCAACATGGAGAAACCCCGTCTCTACTAAAAATACAAAATTAGCCAGGTGTGGTGGCTCATGCCTGTAATCCCGGTTACTCAGGAGGCTGAGGCAGGAGAATTGCTTGGACCAGGGAGGTAGAGGTTGCAATGAGCCGAGAAAACACCATTGCACTCCAGCCTGGGCAACAAGAGCGAAACTCTGTCTCAAAAAAAAAAAAGCCTATCCTCCTCTCCTGTCCTGGAATCTGGCTCTATGTTGGCCCCTTTCAGCCACGCTGGGACGCAGGGCACCAAGTCCCTAGTCTGCACACAGCACGGGGACCCTGGGCCTGGCCCACCAAACCATTTTCTCCTAGCCCTCCGGGCCTGTGATGGGAGGGGCTTCCATGAAGGCCTCTGACATGCCCTGGAGACATGTTCCGCATTGTCTTGGGGGTTAACGTTTGGCTCCTACTTACTTATGCAAATTTCTGCAGCCGGCTTGAATTTCTCCTTGGAAAATGGGTTTTTCTTTTCTATTACATGGTCACTGCAAATTTTCCAAACTTGAATGCTCTGCTTCCACTATAAAACTGAATGCCTTTAACAGAACCCATCTCACTTCTTGAATGCTTTGCTGCTTAGAAAATTCTTCTGCCAGATACCCTAAATCATCTCTCTTTGGAGTTCAAAGTTCCACAAATCTCTAGGGCAGGGGCAAAATGCCGCCAGTCTCTTTGCTAAAACATAACGAGAGTCACCTTTGCTCCAGTTCCCAACAAGTTTCTCATCTCCATCTGAGACCACCTCAGCCTGGACCTTATTGTCCATATTGCTATCAGGCTTTTGGTCAAAGCCATTCAACAAGTTTCTAGGAAGCTCCAAACTTTCCCACATTTTCCTTTCTTCTTCTGAGCCCTCCAAACTGTTCCAACCTCTGCCTGTTACCCAGTTCCGAAGTTGCTTTCACATTTTCGGGTATCTTTTCAGCAACGCCCCACTCTACTGGTACCAATTTACTGTATTAGTCCATTTTCATGCTGCTGATAAAGACATACCTGAGACTGGGAAGAAAAGTAAGTTGTTTTTTTTTTTTGAGACGGAGTGTTTCTCTTTTGCAAAGTAAAAATATGGTATTATAATCTTATGAGATCACCATTGTATACATGCTCTGTCATTGAAACGTTGTTATATGGCACACAATTGTATGTAAGGTGCTGAAAGAGAAAACCTGTCACTGATAATTCTACACCCAGCAAAACTGTTCTTCAAAAACAAAGAAGAGACTGGGCACAGTAACTCACACGTGTAATCCCAGCATTTTGGGAGACTGAGGCAGGTGGATTACTTGAGCCCAGGAGTTCAAGACCAGCTTGGACAACATGGTGAGACACCGTCTCTAAAAAATAATAATAATAATTGGCCGGATACAGTGGCTCACGCCTGTAATCCCAGCACTTTGGGAGGCCAAGGTGGGCGGATCACCTGAGGTCAGGACGAGACCAGCCTGGACAACATGATGAAACCCTGTCTCTGCTGAAAATACAAAAAATTAGCCAGGCGTGGTAGCAGATGCCTGTAATCCCAGCTAATCGGGAGGCTGAAGCAGGAGAATCGCTTGAATTTGGGAGAGCCGAGATCGCACCACTGGGCGACAGAGTGAGACTTTGTCTCAAAAATAAATAAATAAATAAATAAATAATAATATTAAAAATGAAACACAAAGGAGAAAATAGACATTTCTAAATAAACAAAAGCTGAGGAAATTTGTTATCACTAGACTCACCCTACAAGAAATGCTAAAGGGAATCCTTCAAGTTGAAATGCGATGACACCAGACAGTAACTCAAAGCCACATGAAAATATAAATTTCCATAGCAAAGGTAAATAGACAAATATGAAAACCAGTATTACTGTAATTTCTGTTTGTAACTATACTTAGGGGATGCTGAACACATCAATGTAGTGGGAGGGTGGCATGCTCAAGAGAGGGCATGGAAGCTCTGTGCCCCTCCCAGCCTCCCACGCCTTGTTCTTTGGCTGTTCTTGTTTTATTCTTTAAAACAAAACTGTAATAATGATTATAGCACTTTCCTGAGTTGTGTGAGTAATTCTAGTGAATTATTGAATACAGGGGGTAAGTCATGGGAACTCCCGAATTTTTAACCAGCTGGGCAGAAGTGTGGGTGCCCTGGGGACCCCACTTGTGGCTGGTGTCTGAAGTGGGGGCAGTCTTGTGAGACTGAGCACTGAACCCATGGAGTCCTAAGTTCAAGTCTTAGCTTTGCCACCCTAGCTATGTGATTTTTTTTTTTTTTTTTTTTTTTTTTTGCTCTGTTGCCCAGGCTGAAGTACAGTGGCATGATCACAGCTCACTGCAGCTTCGGCCTCCCAGGCTCAAGGGTATCCTCCCACCTCAGGCCCCTAAGAAGCTGGGACCACAAGTGTATGCCATCATGTCGGCTAATTTTTTTATGTTTTGGTAGAGATGAGGTCTTGCTATGTTGCCCATGCTGGTCTCGAACTCCTGGGCTCAAGCCTCCCAAAGTGCTGGGATTACAGACATGAGCCACTGTGCCCAGTCTAGCTATGTAATCTTGATAAGTAGCCCAACCTCTCTGAACATCAGTTTTCCTATCTGTATAATGGCGATAACGGTGGTATGTCATAGGGTTCTTCTAAGGCATCTATGAGATGATGCATTAAAGCACTTGGGGCAGTATCCAGCACATTAAAAATATCCAATAAGGCTGGGTGTGGTGGCTCAATGCCTGTATATAATCCCAGCACTTTGGGAGGCCGAGGAGGGTGGACCACTTGAGGTCAGGAGTTTGAGACCAGCCTGGCCAACATGGCGAGACTCCATCTCTGCTAAAAATACCAAAATTAGCCAGGCATGGTGTCAGGGCACCTGTAATCCCAGCTACTTGGGAGGCTGAGACACAAGAATCGCTTCAGGCCGGGCGCGGTGGCTCACGCCTGTAATCCCAGCACTTTGGGAGGCCGAGACGGGCGGATCACGAGGTCAGGAGATGGAGACCATCCTGGCAAACAAGGTGAAACCCCATCTCTACTAAAAATACAAAAAAATTAGCCAGGCGTCGTGGCAGGCGCCTGTAGTCCTAGCTACTCGGGAGGCTGAGGCAGGAGAATGGCGTGAACCCGGGAGGCGGAGCCTTCAGTGAGCCCAGATTGCGTCACTGCACTCCATCCTGGGCGACAGAGCCAGACTCCATCTCAAACACAAACAAACAAACAAAAGAATCGCTTCAACTGGGGAGGTGGAGGCTGCAGTGAACCAAGATCATGCCATTGCACTCCAGCCTGGGCAACAGAGCACGACTGTCTCAAAAAAAAAAAAAAAAAAGTCCAAAAGTCCAGGTGCAGTGGCTCAATGCCTGTATGTAATCCCAGCACTTTGGGAGGCCAAGGCAGGAGGATGGCTTAAAGCTCAGGAGTTTGAGACCAGCCTGGGCAACATGGCAAAACCCCATTTCTATTAAGAAAATATATTTTAAAAGTCTAATAAATATTACCTATAAATGTTATATAATATTATTATTAATAAAGCTGGGGGTGGGATGGAAAGAGAGCATAAGGAGGAATAGCTAATGGATGCTGGGCTTAACACCTAGGTGATGGGTTGATCTGTGCAGCAAACAACCATGGCACATGTTTACCTATATAACAAACCTGCACGTCCTGCACATGTACCCCAGAACTTAAAATAAAAGTTGAAGGAAAAAAAAAAAAAAGAAAGCTTTGTGCCAGGCCTACCTGGTGCTAAACCCAAATCATAGATAATACTCTAGGTAAATAGTTCTGCCCGTTTCTTCTGAAGAATGAATAAGAACTAGAATTCACACTTTAGGAGACTGAGGCGGGAGTATCACTTGAGCCTAGGAGTTTGAAACCAACCTGGGCAACATGGCAAGACCCTGTCTCTAAAAATTAAACATAAAAAATCAGCCAGGTATGGTGGCAAACTCCTATAGTGCCAGCTACTCAGGAGGCTGAGATAGGAGAATTGCTTGGGCCCAGGAGTTCGAGGCTGCAGGGAGCCAGGATCATGTCACTGCTCCAGCCTGGGCAACAGAGCAAGACCCTACCTCTAAAAAAAAACAAAAAATAGAGGCCGGGTGCAGTGGTTCACGCCTGTAATCCCAGCACTTCGGGCAGCCGAGGCGGGTGGATCACGAGGTCAGGAATTCAAGACCAGCCTGGCCAACATGGTGAAACCCTGTCTCTACTAAAAATACAAAAATTAGCTGGATGTGGTGGTGCGTGCCTATAATCCCAGCTACTCAAGAGGCTGAGGCAGGAGAATTGCTTGACCCGGGAGGCGGAGGTTGCAGTGAGCCGAGATCATGCCACTGCACTCCAGCCTAGGCAACAGAGCAAGACTCCATCTAAAACAAAAAGAAAAAGAAAAAAAGAAAGCAAAGAAAAGAAAAGATACCAAAAAAACTAGAATTCAAAAAAATAAAAGTATAGGCCGGGCGCAGTGGCTCACGCCTATAATCCCAGCACTTTGGGAGGCCGAGGTGGGTGGATCACTTAAGGTCAGGAGTTCGAGACCAGCCTGGCCAACATGGTGAAACCCCGTCTCTATTGAAAGAACACAAAAATTAGCTGGGCATGGTGGTGGGCACCTGTAATCCCAACTACTCAGGAGGCTGAGGCAGGAGAATCACCTGACTCCAGGAGGCAGAGGTTGCAATGAGCCGAGATCGCACCATCGCATTCCAACCTGAGCGACACAGTGAGACTGTGTCTCAAAAATAACAAAAACAAAAAGAATAAATGAGAACTACAAAGCATAGGGCTTATGGTATTGTATGATTATTTTTTTCTCCTGTTTCTAGGTCCCAAAACTATTTTGTGAGCTTCTCTAGTTGAAAAATTCTGTGGCTTTATGAAAATATCTAGGAAAACTAGATAAGTAAACCTTTTGGAAATACTGATTTGAGCCATTGCTTAATATTTTGTCTGTGTTTTAGCACATTCAACAGCTGAAATCACTTGAGTTTGCAGATAAGGATTCTATTAGTCCCTTGGGGTGTTTCTGAAATTGTTTCCATATGTCTTCCATGGCGCAAATAAGAGTCCTCAGATCCCTAAAGATCAGGAAGCAAGAAATCAAGGAATATGGAACAACAAACACCCTCTGAATGAAAGGTTTTATTTGCTCATGAAGCTTATACAATTGTTCATTCGCTACAGCTCTTCCAGCCTCTCCTCATTCTCCGAAACCACCTGGATTTGGTTGAGTGCACTGCCAAGACCGAAACGTGCCTGCCAGTGCTTTGAAATGTTATCAATGCAGTACTGAATTGTAAACACCACTTTTGTAAAATGTCTTTACTCAGTTTTAACCTCTGTAAGTTACATAAGAATGTGTCCCTTGTTTGTGTATAGCTTAGCTTAGTATCATAAGTTTATCTTTAATCCACTTTGAACGTCATGGTGAGAGCATTGGGATACATGTGTCCCGGCTATTAGCTCACCTAAACTAATATTTGCTTGTTAGAGGCAATGATTTGCTTCAAGGAGACTCAGAGCAAGTAGGATCTCAACGAAATTTCCCTGACCATCCCCTAAAAACTTGAGCCTGACTTAAATTAAAAAAAAAAAAAAAGAAGGCCGGGCACAGTGGCTCACACCTGTAATCCCAGCACTTTGGGAGGCAAAGGCGGGCGGATCCCTTGAGTCCAGGAGTTCAAGACCAGCCTGGGCAACATGGCAAAAACTTGTCTCTATGTAAAAACAAACAAACAAAAAAAAATGAGGCCTTCATTTAGAAAGAAAAACATGGGCCAGGCGTGGTGGCTCATGCCTGTCATCCCAGCACTTTGGGAGGCTGAGGCGGGCAGATCATGAGGTCAGGAGATCAAGACCATCCTGGCTAACACGATGAAACCCCATCTCTACTAAAAATACAAAAAATTAGCTGGGTGTGTTGGCGGCACCTGTAGTCCCAGCTACTTGGGAGGCTAAGGCAGGAGAATGGCGTGAACCGGGGAGGCGGAGCTTGCAGTAAGCCAAGATTGGGCCACTGCACTCCAGCCTGGGCGACAGAGCGAGACTCCATCTCAAAAAAAAGAAAAACACGAAGGACAAGGATTAAAGCTAACTAAAATGTAGGAGTTGGAGGGAGATTCCAAGCAAATACCCAAATACCTTCTAACACCCCCAGAAACTGCTCAGTCGCCATCTCTGAAAAAGGCCACAAACACTCTAAGATTTACACTCTTTCTCTTTTTAAATTATCTTCCATCACACAGGAAATCCTTATTCATATTATAATATGGTAAGATGTACATAAAATTTTCTATTTTAACTATTTGGGGGTGTACAGTTCAGTGACATTATATACATCCACATTATGCAACCATAACCACTGTTCATCTCCAGAACGTTTTCATGTTGCAAACTGAAACTATGTACTCATTAAACAGTAACTCCCAGCAGGGTGCGGTGGCTCATGCCTGTGATACCAGCACTTTGGGAGGCTGAGGCAGGCGGATCACAAGTTCAGGAGATGGAGACCATCCTGGCTAACATGGTGAAACCCCGTCTCCACTAAAAATACAAAAAATTACCCAGGCATGGTGGCATGCACCTGTAGTCCCATTTACTTCGGACGGAGGAGAATCACTTGAACCCAGGAGGCGGAGGTTGCAGTGAGCCCAGATTGTGCCACTGCACTCCAGCCTGGGCGACAGAGCGAGACTCTGTCTCAAAAAAAAAAACAAAAAAACAAAAAAAAAACACAAGAAACAGTAACTCCCCATTCCGCCTCCCCCCAGCCCTTGGTAACCTCTATTTTAATTTATTATTTATTTACTTTATTTTTGGTAGAGATAGGTTCTTACTATTTTGCCCAGGCTGATATCAAACTCCTGGGCTCAAGGGATCTGTCTGCTGTGGCCTCCCTAAGTGCTGGGATTACAGGTGTGAGTCACCACACCTGGCTGGTAACCTATATTTAAATTTCTGTCTCTATGTATTTGCCTATTCTGGGTACCTCAAATAAGTGGAATCATACATACTTATCCTTTTATATCTGGTGTATTTCACTTTACATAATGTCTTTAAGTTTCATCTGTGTTGTGGTATGTGTCACAATTTCCTTCCTTTTTAAGGCTGATTAATATTTCTTTTTTTTTTTTTTTTTTGAGACAGAGTCTTGCTCTGTCGCCCAGGCTGGAGTGCAGTGGCACAATCTTGGCTCACTGCAACCTCCACCTCCCGAGTTCAAGCAATTCTCCTGCCTCAGCCTCCCGAGTAGCTGGGATTACAGGCATGCGCTACCATGCCTGGCTAATTTTTGTATTTTTAGTAGAGACGAGGTTTCACCATGTTGGCCAGGCTGGTCTTGAACTTCTGACCTCGTGATCCGCCTGCCTCAGCCTCCCAAAGTACTGGTATTACAGGTGTGAGCCACCACATCAGGCCTGACTAATATTTCTTGTGTATATATACCACATTTTGTTCACCCATTCATCTGTCAATGGACATTTGGGTTGTTTCCACCTTTTAGCAGTTGCCATAATGCCATAATGAGCATTAGTTTATAATTATCTGTTCAAGTCTCAGCTTTCAATTCTTTCGTGATATACCCAGAAATGGAATTGCTAGATCATATGACCATTCTAGGTTTCTTTTTTAAAATTTATTTATTATTTTAAAAATTTCTTAAAACGTTGAAAGTACATTAAACAAAAAGAAAAATTAGTTACCAATAATCCCACCACTCAAAGATAACCACCATTAACAACAGTCAGGCATGGTGTCATGCAGCTGTAGACCCAGCTACTTGGGAGGCTGAGGAGGGTTAATGGCTTGAGTCCAGGAGTTTGAGGATCTAGTAAGATGATCATGCCACTGCACTTTAGCCTGGATGATAGAGGGAGACCCCATCTCAAAACACACACACAAACACACACACACAACAATAGAGTGTTGATGCTTTCAGACTTCCTAATCTACCCAAACATCCATAAGAAAAATAAAAAGTTAAAATATCATCTCTAATTTTCTCAGCAACACTTTGAGGCAGGTACTGTGGTCACTCTCACTGGCAGGTGAGGAAACAGAGGCTCAATGAATACAGGCAGGGGCTGTGACTCGAGGAGTCAGTTGAGTTGGAAGGGGAGGCTGTAACATCTTCAAGCTTCCTCAGAAGAGCAAGTGACTAGAAGTCGGGCAGAAGTGTAGGCAGTGCTGCAGAAGAAGCAAAGGCTACAAGGTGAGGATAGAACTGGCTCCAGGTCATACCGGAGATTATTAACAAATTTGGAATCAGAATTCAGACCTCCCTGATCTGGATTTTTCCCAAAGAAACACACCCTGCACCTGGTCCTGCACCTGGATTTCTCAAACTTTAGTGCATATCAGAATCCTAATTACAGGAAAATTCCTGGGCCAACCCACCCCTGGAATTTCAGAATCAGCAAGTCTGGGGCAAGACTCTGGAATCCACATTTTAAGCAAATACTCAGGTGATCCTTGGACACTTTAGAATCACTACCCTGGACCATAAGCCAAGGCATTTGATTAATTACACACTAATTTTTTTTTTTTTTTTGGAGACAAGTTCTTGCTCTGTTACTCAGGCTAAAGTGCAGTGGCACAATCATGCCCACTGCAGCCTAGAACTTCTGGGTAGAAGCGATTCCCCTGCCTCAGCCTCCTGTATAGCTAGAACTATAGGTGCACACCACCACGCCCAGCTAATTTTTTAATTTGTAGAGATGGGTCTCGTTATGTTGCCCAGGCTGATCTCCAACTCCAGGCTTCAGTGATCCTCCTGCCTGGGCATCCCAAAGCACTGGGATTACAGGTGTGAGCCACCACAACTGGCTGAGAGCACTAACTTCCATCAGGCTCCCTCGAGAGCAAGAGACTAAGAGTTACCTTTGAAAGAGTTCCCCAAGCCTCCAGACCAGGCATGATCTGGCATTCTGGGAGATTAGCTGTCCCTCCTTGCAGCCCCACAGTGCCCACCTGATCTTCTCCAAAGATTCTCTCACTTTCTGTTCTGCTCTGTGGTTATTTATGAACAGCCCTCACTGCCTCCAAGGATGGGGTAGCCTGCATTCTTGGGGGCTGCCCTTAGCATACTTACCTACGCCACTCAGCTCCTGCTGGACTGCAGATATCTGGAGAGCATGGACCGTACAGAATCTACTTCAACATCCATTCAACATTTTACTGAAGACCTGTGTGTCAGGTAATATGCTGGGTGTTGGGGATACAGAAGAACCTAGCCACTTCCCATCCCCCACACCCTGGTCCAGGCCAACGTTGGACCTTGTTGGAGCCACAATTAATCCTCCTGCAACCTCCCTTGCACACCTCCAATCCATCCTCCATGCAACAGAATTTAAAATAGAAATCTGATCATGTCACTCCCCTGCTTTAAGCCTTCCAGAGGCTTCCATTTTTTCTTAGGATGAAGACCAAAATTCTTACATTCAGGACCTGGCCTGCCTGTCTTGACACAGCTCACCTCACTGATTCCCATTTTGCTTAATTGTTTGCCCTGCAGTCACTATGGCCTTCTTAGAGTTCCTCAGGGTCTTCAGTGGTCCCAGACCGGGAAGCTGTCCATCTCACCACTGACACTGAGATGGGGTGTAAGGAGCAAGATGGGTATTAGGGATCAACTCTTGCAAGAGGAAGTGGGAGAAAGTAGGAATGGGCAGGGAATGAAAAATAGGCCTGACAAAGCCTCAGGTAACCTGCTGGGGAAGCCCTGGAGCTATGGAAACGGCTGGATTCTTATATGCTGAGTACCTGCCTCTTCACTTAGGGTGCCACAGCAATCCCAGGCTAGGCGCATCTCCACACTGGCCAGGAGTAATGTCTCTTATCAACCTTCCAGGGCTGGGGTGGGAGCAGCTCATGGGACACCTCATTTGGGAAATCTTTGTGCAGACCTCTGAACTCTCAGAAAACTCCATCCTTTTTATCCCGAGGAGTTATCACAGTTTGTAATCACGTGTGATGACCTCCGCCTTCCCTAAGAAACTGTATGTTCTACACAGGTAGGAACAGTCAGCTTGACTCTTTGTAGTCCCAGAACTCAGCCTCATGCCTGGCACAGGGTAAGTGCCCAAGAAGAATTTGTTAAATTATGGAATAAAGACGGGTATTATGTCTTGCAAACATATGACTCTCCAGCTATGTGGGTTGATAGGAGGTTGCTGTGTATTTGAAGCTCTCATTTAGCTTATAGGGAGGGCTTTAATGATCATTTCAATCAGGTTTTAGCTTTAATATTTAGGAGCCAGATCCTATCCATCCCCACCTGGTCTAGAGGGCAAAATAAAAGCAAATCACTAGTCCGGGTGAGGTGACTCACCCCTGTAATCCCAGCATTTTGGGAGGCTAAGGTGTGTGGATCACTTGAGGTCAGGAGTTTGAGACCAGCCTGGCCAATATCGGGACACCTTCTCTCTACTAAAAATACACCCCCCTCTACCCTCAAAAAAAATTAGCTAGGCATGGTGATGCATGCCTGTAGTCTCAGCTACTCAGGAGGCTGAGGCAGAAGAATCGCTTGAACCCAGGAGGCAGAGGTTGCAATGAGATGAGATCATGCCACTGCATTCCAGCCTTGGTGACAGAAACAAGACTCTGTCTCAAAAAATAAAAATAAAAATAAAATAAAAAAATCAGATGAGAACAACAAAACAAAATGAACACACACACACGCAAGCTTTTGGACTGGGTTAGCTGTGTACAAAAATAAAAAATAAAAGCAAAGTTCATGCTATTGCCACCATCGTCATCACAACCACCACCCAGAAATTTTTCAAAGGCTCTGTGCATTGTAACAGCAAGCTTGAATTTCCAAACCCAGCGAGCTACACATGAATGGTCCCTGCATGCGTGGGCTGTAGCACTGGGTTAGAAATCACAATTCCTGCTCTCCTTTTAGCTGTACCACCTGAACAAGTCACCTAACCTCTCTGAGCCTCATCTATAAAGTGGGAATAATACTGCCTGTGCTTTTGGGTAAGAAAGTGCTTTGCAAATTGTACAGTGGTTCACAAGAAATCAATGAAGCTTTTTTCCTCATGCAATCTCAGAGAGACGGGTTGGCAGAGGGCATATTAGGCACTCGACTTGTTTTTCACAGTGATGACGTGGGAGCACACATAAGAAGGCTGTGTGCTTGTTGTTCTCAGTTGTGGAAATAGATTTGTGATCACCTCTCTAAGCCCCTCCTCCCCTGTCCCTACTGATCAGAGACAGAGATAACAGAAGAGCATAGTACACTGACACGTGGGTGGACAGCAAGGGACTGCATGGACATTACATGCAAGTCAAGGTCAAGCGTGTTTTGGAGGTGGAGGGTTATGTTTGTGTCTCAACTGGGCAGTTGATAACGACGACACTGAAGGAGGAGCTAAGCTCACTGGGGAAGACTTTTACCTAGAGACTGAATACCTGGCCATCAAGACCTAGTGTAGACAAAGGTGCGGGGGTGGAACCAGTACATGAGAGCCCAAATAACTTTCCAGCGCCTTTGGTGGACCAAGCCAGTTTGCAGACATAGGAATACTCAAAGATATCTTCGGTTTCTGTTGTTCTCCCCACCTACTTTCCTCTTTTATTGGCAACCAATGTATTTAATCACAGTATGAGGTAGGTGTTACCCTGACTTTACGCATGGGGAAACTAGGCTTTACGAAGACGAGGTAGTACAAACTCAGTTAAGCAGTGCACGGCTGTATGCAACTGTGGATATTCCGACTCAGGTCTACCTTCTCCCCTACACTGCTGCCCCAACTTTCATAAACCTAATGTGAGTGTGTGTGTGTTGGGATGTGGGAGCTCTGGGCTGTTTTTCTGGTTGAAAACACCCAGACTCACAGAATTTCCAAGGGGAAGGACCTTAGAGGGTATTTAACTCATTTTGCACATGGAGAATCTGGGACCTAGACGGGATTTTGTAGATTCTGTATTTGTATTTTTGATTTTGTAGATTTTGGTGTCTCCATTAGACCCCGAGTCTTCCAGAACTCCCTTTGCGCCACCCTACGCCACCTCCTAGTCTTGCCCTGCTCTTGCTCTGGGCAAGCCAGGGAGCCTTTCGCCAGCAGACACCGTTACCAAACATAATAGCCCCCTTGTGCTGGGCATTCATTCTTCAACAAATATTTACTGAGTGGCTCCTCTGTGGCGGGAACTGTTAGAGGTGCTGCGAATGCCATGAACAAGAAAGACACTGCCTCTGCCCCTCTGGAGCTCGCACGGTTAGTCGGGGGAGGTAAACCATAAGCCAGTAAAAAGTAACCGAAGATAATTTCAGATGGTAGGCAGAAAATAAAACGGAAGTGATGGAGGTCTGAGGTCAGATGGAGTGGTCGGGAAAACCTGACCACTTGGCAGATGGTCCTTGAAGTCTCACAACAACCCTCAGAGGCCGTGGGCAGATCCCCGTTTTGCTGAGAAGGAAGCTGGCGTTCGGTAGTCAGGGCGGCGTGGCCAAGTCCCAGACTCCTCACCCGCCTTCCTGCCAGCTCTGGTGGGCAGCCGCAGGCACCGTGTGGCCTTGGATGATGAAACTCGGGGCGATGACTGCACCATCCAGCAGCCTGCGTCCTCGCAGGTGCGGGCAGTGAGGGCGGTAGGGGGGCGGACGCGCCACTGGGGACAGGCTGCCAACAGCTCTAGCTTCGCAGACGCGACAGAGAGCACGGCCCCTGCCCCGCCCCTCCAGGCTCTCCAGCCCCTCAACTGGGACAAAGAGCCCGCCCAGCCCCGGCCACGTTCGGACGAACGCTCCCGCCTACTGTCCGGTCCCGGTCCGGCCCGGCGCGGGGCGCTGTGGGACTTGTAGTTCGCGTCACTCTCCGCAGCCGCTCCGGAGCAGCCAGGGGAACTACAGGGCCCAGGAGGCAGCGCACAGGCCCGGGGCGGCCCCGACGGTGGTGGGTGTGCGAGCGCAGGGGCCGGGCGGCGCGGGCGCCGGGCGCGGGGATGCGGCTGTGGGCGCCGGGGCCGGGTAGCTGCTCCAGGCGCGCGAGCTAACCGAGTGCGGCGAGGGCCTACCAGGGGCGACAGGCACGTTGCATGCATGCCTTGGGCGCAGCCTTTGCGAAAGCCGGTTGGGTGTGCGTTGGTGCTTCAGCGGCGCCGTGGAGGGTCCGGGTCGCCGGGGGATGGGCACCAGCGCCGAAGCCAGGCTGGCACCGCTCGCTGAAAGAGCCCTTGGCTGGGCTTGTGTGGGGGAGTGCTGCACGCCTGGGCAGTGCGCGACGTGTTTGTTCTTTTTCTCTTTTTGTGCCAGGGTTTCTCTCCGCAAGCGCGCGATGCAGCGGGCGGCGGCGCTGGTCCGGCGGGGCTGTGGTCCCCGGACCCCCAGCTCCTGGGGCCGCAGCCAGAGCAGCGCGGCCGCCGAGGCCTCGGCGGTGCTCAAGGTGCGGCCCGAGCGCAGCCGGCGCGAGCGCATCCTCACGCTGGAGTCCATGAACCCGCAGGTGAAGGCGGTGGAGTACGCCGTGCGGGGACCCATCGTGCTCAAGGCCGGCGAGATCGAGCTCGAGCTGCAGCGGGTGAGCGCGCGCTGGGCCCCGGGGAGGCTGGGGCCGCTGAGCAAGGGAAAAACCGCAGCAGCCCCAGCTGGGGTCCTTCCCACGACGTCCACCCCCATGGCCAGCTCCTCAGTCAGCCAAGCCTGGCTAAAACGAGAGAATGCCCCCTCCCGCCCGTTCACTTACTGGTGCCCAGCACCGGGCACTCAGTGAGGCCTTGCAATACGGTTCACTTGTTGAATTGAATTCGTCAATTGTTGAGCGGGCCGTGCTGCCAGGCACCGCACGTTGTGTGTCTGCCCTACTCTCGTGGAACCAAGGTCCAGTGGAGAGAGGAACATAAGCGAATGAAGAAAGAAGCAATAGAGTCTCAGTGATAAGTTCTTGGAAAAAAGTAAAACGGAAGAGGGTTGGGATGGGGGCGGTGGGAGGGAAACCATTTTAGGTAGGAGGGGAGACGGGGTGGGGGGGGCTCTGCGGAAAGTTGGTTCTGTTCCCCAGTCTCTTTCTCCGTGTCTTTGGCCTTTAGGGTCTTTGCCAATCCTGATTCCCGGAAGAGAGTCGGCAGAATTCCTTCCTTTAGGCCCCTCTGGAGCCTTGGCCGACCAGCCACTTCTGTGGTCTGGGGACAGTCACCGAGGTGGGGAACCAGAGAGTTGGGCCTGTCGGGCTTTGGTAAGGGGGCCCTGGGACTTTCTTCATCTTGGTGGTCGGCCGGCTGGCTAGGATCTTGGCTTGAGTTTATAGCTTCATGTAAGGTGAGCCCACAGCCAGGAAGGATTTCTGCCTCCCCACAACCAGGATGTCTGGGGTGGGTGATAGAGGGGTCCCTAGGACCTAGGAGAGAGTTATAGCCTGGGTGGAATTCAGGAGGCAGAGCCAGGAGGGGTTATCTTAAAAAGTAAATACTCCTAAGATTTGTAAGAAGCTAATAATCACCTAGCTGCTTGCTAGAGAGAGTCTGACTGAGAATAGAAGTGGGAAGGAGGGTTCCTTGATCTTGCCCTCACCCGGGTCACTAGTGTCCCATGAATGCATGGCAGTAAGCTTCAGGGGGATCATGACACTTGGTCCCATTCCAGTGGGGACTTGGGGGTTTTAATGAGCTCCTGGGCCTCCTGAGACCTTGTTGAGACACTCAGTTCTGCTGACTCAAAACAGTGAGCTGGACAAGTCAGAGTCCAGTCTCCTGCGGACTCCTTGCAGGGCTAAGTTTAAAGCTGGCCGGGAGGAGGCTGGCTTTGTTTCTGTGCCTCCCTGGCCCAGAGGTGGGCCGGGCAGAGAACACAGGCTGTTGATGTCTGGCAGGCTGGAGCTGGCCCTCCTTGACGCAACAGCCTCCCTGCTAAAACACAGCTGGGATTAACGCGTTCCTGGTTTATCACGTTACAGCTGATTTCTCTGGTTCCTGAGCTGGCAGGGGTTCCAGGAATTACCTCTGCCTTTTGCTAAATAGCAACTCCTGTGCTGGCTCCATGAGGCTTGAGGATGATGAGGACAGAAGGGCACTGTCTTTGCCTTGAGGAATCTGACTGCCACGTTGTTCTCTGAGCCTGAGTCCCCTTCCCCGGATTCTTTAAGAATGTGTTGGGATTTTTTAGCAGGCAGAATACGTGAGAGCCTTCCAAGTGGGAGCAGTGCTGTGAGCAACCGCAGGAAGTTGGGGAGTTCTGGGCATTTGGGGAAGGGGGCTGGTGCTGTAGTGGAACACTAACAGAGGGATGTGGGAGGTGAATGAGACAGAAAAGGTGGACTGGAGTCTTGTGTGCTGGGATTAGGATGTCATGGTGCGTTTTGGCTGGAGTTGGGAACCAGGAAGGGTTTCCAGCAGGGGTGTGTATTGATGATTGCAGGTGGGCAAATTTCTTGGTCACTGGGCCAGGGACATCTCTGATTTCTGAGACAGAAGCTCCACACCCCCATATCCTACTCCTGAGTTAGTTGAGTTTTTTTGGCCACCTACATTCTGTGGTAGTTTCATTCAAGCGCATCCCTTCTCATTCTCTTCTCACTGTGAGTCTCAGTTCCCCGGCTGTGGGTGCTGGCCAGACCAGCTTAGATAGCCTCATTGAAACCCTTCCTTCTTGGGAGACAGCCTTGCTTCCCCTTGCCAGCTTAAACAGTGCCCTTCTTGCGAGAGCCACATTTCCCCAGTCCTTTCTTTTTATTTCTGGCTTGCCTTCTCCTTGTGCAGCTTTGGTTTTTCTGCTTCTGTTTTGAACTGTCGTGATCAAAACTGGTTGGTTAGAGGCCGGCCACGGTGGCTCACGCCTGTAATCTCAGCACTTTGGGAAGCCAAAGTGGGTGGATCACCTGAGGCAGGAGTTCGAGACCAGCCTGGCCAACATGGGGAAACCCTGTCTCTACTAAAAGCACAAAAATTAGCCGGGCATGGTGGTACACGCTTGTAACTCCAGCTACTCGGCAGGCTAAGGCAGGAGAATCGCTTGAACCCGGAAGGTGGAGGTGGCAGTGAGCCGAGATGCACTCCAGCCTCGGCAACAGAGCTCAGAGCGAGACTCCATCTCAAAAAACAAACAAAAACTGATTGGTTAGAGATGGGATGGGCTAGGATTTGTAGGGAGTAGGGTGACTTGGGGTGAATCCTGGGCCTCAGGTTCCCTAGAGTATAAACAGATGTGGCCTGGCTGGGCCTGGCTGGGCCAGGGTTTCCCCTGCCCTCAGTTTTATACCTCCTTGTCCATTCAAAACTGTCCTTGGGGACTCAGGGTGACTCGTGACTCTTGGTGGTACCAAGGCCTTCATGCTGTCTATGGAATTCTTTCACCAGGTGTTCTGCAAACAATGTGGGCCGTTTGGCTGGACATGTGGCTCTGGTGTTTGACTTTGGGTGGCTGGCCAAGCTGAGTCCCTATCCTTTTTGCTTCTCTGGTAGTGGAGCCTGAAGGAGGTGGGGAGGTCGGCTAAGGGCTGTGAAAGGGGCCATTCTCCTGCAGCCCCAGCTCTGTGCTCTTAGAGGGGCCTTGCTTCTCCCTGACAGCAGCTCCAAAGGGGAGAACCTATCTTAGCTTTTCAGATCCTGGTGTTCACTGCGAGCAGCACTTAAAAATAAGCTGCAATTAAAAGGAGTTTTGAAAAGATCTGACAGTTCTTCCTCAACCTACTTTTTCCCTTGCTTTATTGGGGGATGGGGGTTGGGGATTGGTACAAGTGGAGACAGGAATGGCTTTGCTTCTGGTTGTAAGGCAACAGTCAGGGCAGACATTCAGAACTGAGGGGAAGACTGACAATTACTGGTTACATCAGTGTGTGTTGCATCCAAACAAAGGTAAAAGCAGAGGGTGCTAAGGCACATGGCTATAGTTAGCTAAGAACTAAGATTGGAAACCCTGTGTGTGCCAAGCACATGTGTTGAATCTCAGTCATTGTTTTCTGTGGCATTTAGATGCTACTTTATTTATTTATTGAGACTGCGTCTAATTCTGTCACCCAGGCTGGAGTGCAGTGATGCGATCTCATCTCACTGCAACCTCCGCCTCCCGGGTTGAAGTGATCCTCCTTCCTCAGCCTCCCGAGTAGCTGGGATTACAGGTGCCCGCCGCCACACCCAGCTAAATTTTTTGTATTTTTAGTAGAGATTGGGTTTCACTGTGTTGGCCAGGCTGGTCTTGAACTCCTGACTTTGTGATCTGTCTGCCTCAGCCTCCCAAAGTGCTGGGATTACAAGCGTGAGCCACCGCACCCGGCCAGATGCTACTTTATTTTTTTAAAGACAGGGTCTCGCTCTATTGCCTAGGCTGGAATGCAGTGGCACAATCATGACTCACTGCAGCCTTGAACTCCTGGGCTCAAGCCATCCTCCTACCTCAGTCTCCTGAGCAGCTTGGACTACAGGTGTGCACCACCATGCCCGGCTAATTTTTAAATTTTTTATAGAGACTAGGTCTTCTTATGTTGCCCAGGGTGGTCTCAAACTTCTGGCTTCAAGTAATCCTCCCACCTTGGCCTCCCAAAGTGCTGGGTGGGTAGGTATGAGCCACCACACCCAGCTACTTTTTCCTTTGTAATTATTATTAAATAATAATACTAATTGTTAATTATAGCTGTTCAGCCAAACAGCCCATACTGTTTGCAGAGCACCTGGCGAAAGGATTCCATAGCTCTGTCACCCAGGCAGGAGTGCAGTGGCGCAATCTCAGCTCACTGCAGCCTCAACTTCCTGGGCTCAAGCGATCCTTACACTTCAGCCTCTTGAGTAGCTGGGACCACAAGGCGTATGCCACCACGTCTGGCTAATTTTTGCATTTTTTTGTAGAGACAGGGTTTGCCATGTTGCCCAGGCTGTTAATTTTTTTTTTTTTTTTTTTTTTTTTTAAAGAGACAGAGCCTTGTTCTTTCTCCTAGGCTGGAGTGCAGTGGTGCAGTTATAGCTCACTGTGGCCTCAAATTCCTGGGCTCAAGTGATCCTCCTGCCTCAGCCTCTTCAGAAGCTAGGACTACAGGTGTGTGCCACCATGCTGGCTAATTTCCTTTTTTGTAGAGATGGGATCTCGCTTATGTTGTCCAGGCTGGTCTCAGACTGCTAGCCTTGGGTGATCCTCCCACCTCAGCCTCCCAAAGCGCCAGGATTACCTGTGTGAGCCACTGTGCTTGGCCTAGATGCTACTTTAAAACTTGTAGTGCAGGCTTCCAATAGGATGAACCCTCCGCCTACCCAGCCTGCCCAAGTCAGTCACCACACATACGCTGGGCTCTGCCTTTGTGTGCTATGGGCCTTAGACAAGTCATTCAGCCTTGGTTTACTCTTCTGCAAAATGTGACCAGTTTATTTCTCTGAAAGACTAGTTTGAGATGTTAATGATAATGCTTTGAACAGCTGTGAAGCTAATTAGACCTGCCAAGTCTTCCTTCTGAAGCTAATGAGAGTGGTCTGGGGATAAGAAGTGCTGAAGGTCGCTTGTCTTTCCCACTTCCTGAGGCTCTGGGTCTGGGAAGTGTTCTGTGGGGCTTGCTCTTTCCTCCTGGGCCTCTGCCTTGCTGTCTTGAGCAACTCGCACTATCCTGTTTGGAGTTTATTCAGCTTTCACCCCTGCTTCTGCCTTGGAATCTGGGCTTCTATAGTTGACCACCCCACGGATGCCCAGAGTTCAGGGGCCTACACCCTGTCTTCCCTGCCTCAGTGATCTGGCAGCTCAGCCCTGGAGGCTCTTGCCTGCACTCTCAGTCACAGACGTGTGTAGCTGCAGCTCCGGTTTCTTCTGGTTTCACTTGTCTTTCTGTTTTGGGACCAGATCTTGTGCTGAGCCTCAGCTGTGAAATGGACCTGTTTTCTGGGACTGTGGGGTCTAGTTGGTGTTTGTCTTTGGGGCCTCTTGCTGGAGCTTTCTGCCCGCCCTAGCCCCAGTCAGTGCCCTTTTTGGGATCAGGAGCCCGGGAGCATTTTCACATTGTGCTCCTAGGCCTGGGACCTGCGGGTCCTCTCTCCCACACCCTGCCATTCTCCTTCCCTGCACCCCCTTCTTATTCTTCACCAGCCTGGGCTCAGGAGGGTGGCGGTCTCATCTGTGCTACTCATGGCTGTCACTGGGGCATGGGTGACCAGTATTTGTTGAATTGGAGGAAAGTTCTCTGCCATCCTTTCTGCCCACAGGCCATGTGAAGTGACCAGAGCCATCCCTTGCATAAGGAAACAGCCTTGTGCCTGTTTTTTTCTCCCCATTTTTATTGAGGGGGAGACAAATATAATTGACAAAGAAAAATTGTATATATTCAAGGGACACAGTGTGGTGGTTTAACATTTATATACATTCTATATGTAATATGATATGGAAATGATTATCACAGTCAATTATTAATACTCCATCCTTTACCACACATAGTCACCATCTGTGAGTGTGCGCCTGAGACACTTAAGTCCTGTTCTCAGCAAATTTCAAGTAAAAAATACAGGTTTTTTGTTTTGGCTTTTTTTGTTGTTGTTTGTTTTGTTTTTGAGATGGAGTTTCGCTCTTGTTGCCCAGGCTGGAGTGCAATGGTGTGATCTCGGCTCACCCCAACCTCTGCTTCCCGGGTTCAAGCAATTCTCCTGCCTCAGCCTCCCGCGTAGCTGGGATTACAGGCATGCGCCACCACACCCAGCTAATTTTGTATTTTTAGTAGAGATGGGGTTTCTCCATGTTAGTCAGGCGGGTCTCGACCTCCCAACCTCAGGTGATCCACCCGCCATGGCCTCCTAAAGTGCTGGGATTACAGGCATGAGCCACTGTGCATGGCCGAAAAATACAGTATTATTAATTATAGTCACCATGCTGTACATTAGATCCCCATAACTTATTCATATTTTTTTAAATTACTATTTTTTTGAGACGGAGTCTCGCTCTGTTGCCCAGGCTAGAGTGCAATGGTGCAATCTTAGCTCACTGCAACCTCCGTCTCCCGGGTTCAGGTGATTCTCTTGCCTCAGCTTCCTGAGTAGCTGGGATTACAGGCACCTGCCACCACACCAGGCTAATTTTTTTTTTTGAGATGGAGTTTCGCTCTTGTTGCCCAGGCTTGAGTGTAGTGGCGCAATCTCAGCTCACTGCAATCTCCACCTCCTGACTTCAAGGGATTACCCTGCCTCAGCCTCCCGAGTAGCTGGGATGACAGGCACACACCACCATGCCTAGCTAATATTTCCTGACCTTGTGATCCGCCTGTCTCGGCCTCCCAAAGTGCTGGGATTACAGGTGTGAGCCACCGCGCCCGGGCAGTAGATGTATTATTTATGAGGTACATGAGATATTTTGGTACAGGCATGTAGTGTGTAATAATCACATCAGGGTAAATGAGGTATCCATCCCCTCCAGCATTTGTCCTTGTCTTACAAACAATCCAATTATATATACTCTTTTAGCTTTTTTTTTTTCAATGTACAATTATTATTGACTATAGTCACCCTGTTGTGGTGTCAAATACTAGATAATTCCTTCTACTTTTTGGTACCCATTAACCATCCCCACTTCTCCCCACCCACCCCTACTGCCCTTCCCAGACTCTGGGAACCATCCTTCTATGCTCCATCTTCACGAGTTCAGTTTTTAAAATTTTTTAGCTCCCACAAATAAGTTACAACTTGCAAAATGTGTCATCTTACAACTGAAAGTTTGTACCCTTTGACCAACATTGCCACATATGCACTCCCCCAACCCCACTGCTGGCAGCTATCACCTCTGCTTTTATTAGTTCAACTTTTTTAGACTAGTTTAACTTTTTTAGATTCCACATATGAGTGAGATCATACAGTGTTTGTCTTTCTGTGTCTGGCTTTTTTCACTTCACATAGTGTCCTCCAGGTTCATCCATAATTTTGCAAATGGCTGGATTTTCTTATTTTTTAAATGGCTGAATAATAGTCCATTGTGTATATGTACCATATCTTTATCCATTCATCTACTGATGGACACTTAGGTTGGTTCCATATCTTGGCTCTTAGGAATAGTGCTGCAGTGAACAAGGGAGTGCGGACATCTCTTCAAGACAATGATTTCATTTCCTTCAGATCTCTACCCAGCAGTGGGACTGCTGGATCCTAGGGTAGTTCTATTTTTAATTTTTCGAGGAACCTCCATACTGTTTTCCATAATGGCTATACCAATTTACATTCCCACCAGTGGCGTGCAGGGTTCCCTTTCCCCACACCCTCACCAACACTGATCTTTGAACTTTTTATAATAACCATGCTAACAAGTATGAGATGATATCTCATTGTGGCTTTGAATTGTGTTTGATTAGATGTTTTGCATCTTTTTCATGTATCTGTTGACGATTTGTGTGTCTTTTGTGGAAAGACTCTTCACATCCTTTGTTCATTTTTACATCAGGTTTAATCAGTTTTTTTTCTTGAGTTGTATGAATTCCTTATTTGCATATATTTGATATTTGGATATAAGGATCCCATTATCAGATATTTTGTTTACAAATACAGTTGTCTCTCAGTATCCAAGGAGGCCTTCCCTCGGATACCTAAATCCAAGGATGCTCATATAAATGGCGTAGTATTTGCATATGACCTATGCACATCCTCCCGTATAATTAAATCATCTTTACAGCCTCTATAGATTACATATAATACGTAGTACATATTGTGTAAATAATGGTTCAACTCTATTGTTTAGGGAACAATGACAAGAAAAGTCTGTATGTTTGTGTTTAGTACAGGTGCAGGGTTTTTCCTGAATTTTTTGTTTGTTTGTTTGTTTTTTGTTTTTTGAGTCGGAGTCTTGCTCTGTCACCCAGGCTGGAGTGCAGTGGCGCAATCTCGGCTCACTGCAGGCTCCGCCTCCCGGGTTCACACCATTCTCCTACCTCAGCCTCCCAAATAGCTGGGACTACAGGCGCGTGCCACCACGCCTGGCAAATTTTTTTGTATTTTTAGTAGAGACGGGGTTTCACCGTGTTAGCCAGGATGGTCTCGATCTGCTGACCTCGTGATCTACCCGCCTCAGCCTCCCAAAGTGCTGGGAATACAGGCTTGAATCACCGTGCCTGACCCTTTCCTGAATATTTTTGATCCACGGTTGGTTGAGTCCGCAGATGCTGGAGCCACGGATGCGGAGGCTGACGGTGTTCCCTTCCGTGGGCCGCCTTTTTGTTGATTGTTTCCTTTGCTGTGCCTTGTTAGAATATCCATCCGCCCCTGACCCTCATGCTGGTGCGAGGCCTGTGGGTTGGGGAGGACAGTTATTCTCCCTGCTAACACCCTATGAAATATGCCGTCCCTAGAGCTGGGGGGTTGGTGCCCTCCCCTGATCCCTGCTTGAGCCAAAGCGGCGGGAGGGGAGCCCTCCCTGGGAAGGACCTTCCGTGCATCTGTGCCGCACAGGGGAGGTGGCTCTGGGAGGGATATGTGCAGGTGGATTCGAAGGTGGCTCTAGAATGCCGTGAGAGGAATCAGGATGCTGCGGCTCCTTAGTCCCTCTGAGCTGGCAGGGCCCTGAGGGCAGGGCAGGGGCGAGGTTCCCATGGGTGCTGTGCCTGTGGGCTCTGGACCAGTCACTCTGGGAGTCTACCCCAGGGCTCTTGGTATTTCCCATCCCATGTAGACCTTGAGTTCCCGGATGCAGGAGTGTGCTCAGAACAGTTTCTTCTGCATGGTGGCCCTTGGCTGGGTGGGCTGGTTTCTTCACCCATTCAGGGTAGCCAGTGTCCTGACCCCCAGCTCATCCATCATAGCAAAGTGTCCAGGATCTGCAGGCACCAAGACCCAAGAATGGAGGTGCTGTGTTCCCAGGCTTCGCGGCAGCGGCCCTGCATTGGTCGAGCAGTGCGGGGGGAGGGCACGGGAAAGGAACATTCAGGGCTCTGTTCCAGGCGTTATTCTCTCCCTGTGTTGGGCTGGCCCAGGGCCCACAGCTGTGTGTTGGTTCCTGGGCCTCACAACTGTGACAGATTTACTCCCTGTGAAGAATGGGCTGTATCCACATCCCAGAAATCACCCAGGTTCAGCGAGCTAGACCTGGGGTCTGCAACAATTCAGTCAGGCTGAGCAAGGACCCCATGCCAGGAGCCCAGGCCAGTGCCAAGCAGTGGATCGGGCCCGTCCCTTTGCACACAGAGGCTTGGGTAACTGCCCACACCCTCAACCTTTTGGGATCCTGGCTGTGGGATGAGTGTGGGGGCTGCACACCCCTGCAGCCAGAGCCTCTCCAGAGTGCCTGTACCCCCATGCAGTGGGCAGTGCTGCCCTGGCTCTCCAGACACAGTGGCTGCGTCTGGATGCCACTGGGAATCTTTTTTTTTTTTTTGAGACGGAGTCTCGCTCTGTCGCCCAGGCTGGAGTGCAGTGGCGAAATCTCGGCTCACTGCAAGCTCCGCCTCCCAGCTTCATGCCATTCTCCTGCCTCAGCGTCCCGAGTAGCTGGGACTACAGGCGCCCGCCCCCACGCCTGGCTAAGTTTTTGTATTTTTAGTAGAGACGGGGTTTCACTGTGTTAGCCAGGATGGTCTCGATCTGCTGACCTCGTGATCCGCTCGCCTCAGCCTCCCAAAGTGCTGGGATTACAGGCGTGAGCCACCGCACCTGGCCGCCACTGAGAATCCTTATCCATGTTGGCCAGACACTGAAGAACTCAGCAGATGGGCCACAAGGGGCTTAGAGGACCCCCTTCCCCGAGAAACATAGCTTGTAGGACTTACGCCCTGTTTATGATGGTCCAGAGCCACTTCCGGGGCATCTTCAGTCCCCCATGCCTCCTTGCTTAGGGCTTAGGGGTGGCACACTAGGGCCAGAAAAACATGTTTAGCTGCTGCTTTTGTCTCTCAAGCCTGCTGGTTTGTTGTTGTTGTTTTTAGGAGACAGGGTCAGGCCAGGCGAGGTGGCTCACACTTGTAATCACAGCACTTTGGGAGGCTGAGGTGGGCCAATCATTTGTGCTCAGGAGTTCAAGACCAGCTTGGGAAACATGATGAAATCCCATCTCCATTAAAAATACAAAAATTAGCCGGGTGTGGTGATGCTTATCTGTAGTCCCAGCCACTTGGGAGGCTGAGGCATGAGAAATGCTTGAACCCGGGAGGTGGAGGTTGCAGTGAACCGAGATCACACCATTGCACTCCAGTCTGGGTGACAGAGGGAAACCCTGTCTCAAAAAAAAAACAACAAAAAAAAGGGTCTCACTCTGATGCCCAGGCTGGAGAGTAGTGACGTAATCATAGCTCACTGCAACCTTGAACTCCTGGGCTCAAGTGTGATACTCCCACTTCAGCCTCCCCAGTAGCTGGGGCTATAGGCATGTGCCACCATGCCTGGCTAATTTTAATTTTTTGTAGAGACAAGGTCTTGGGCAACTTGAAAGTGTTGCCCAGGCTGTTGTTGAACTCCTGGCCTCAAGGGATCCTCCTGCCTTGGCCTCCCAAAGTGCTGGAATTACAGGTGTGAGCCACCACGTCCAGCCACTGGTTTTTACTTAAGGTGTACATTACTGATTTTGAAAAGGCCATGTCTTCTAAAGTTGCTTTTATTCACACATTGCATGAAAAGGAGAAAAGACAAGTGTCACAAGCACAGAGTTATATCTGTAAAATTTGTATTTGGGGTACCTTTGGGGAAGGGGCAGCTGGAGACAGGACAAAGGCCAGGCCCTCCCACCCGGGCTGTGGCCACCACCTTGCTGAGCCCGTTTTTCCTCCCACTGTGACCCTGGTGACCTTGTTCCTGGGCCGGCTTTTGTAAGATGATATTTGTACTCTGCTAAGGGCTTTCACACTGTTTGTTTCAGGTAATCCTTTCAGCTGCCCTGGGAAGTCCTTGAACCTGTTGTTGACTGCATTTCTCCCAGTGGCTGATTGGGTTTATCAGGGAAATGTGCAGGATTCCCACGTTTCCAGGTCCCTGTAATTCTCTATGTCAAGCTCTGCTTTCGCCTTTGCAGCAGCCATGGTGTCCTTCTGTCACCTCCCCAGTGATGTCACAAGGGTCTTGGACTTCTCTCTGTGATCTCTCTTCTGTGCTACACACATTGCTCAGGCAGTGGCCTCAATTTGCTCTTCAGTCAGTCTTTTTAATCCCTGATGCTTTTTTTTTTTTAATGTGAAAATCAGCCCAGATTTTTCATTCTGCAAAGAATGGGTTGCAAGAAAATGACCCTGAGGATTCCCTGCTGATCCATGTCTTCCGATGGGGAGGGTGTCCTCAGTGTCCCTGGCTAGTCATTTAGACCATTGCGGTAGAGCTGCGCCTGGGGCAGGATGCAGAGGAGTCTGGGACCCTGTGTGCCTGACATTTGGCATGTTCTGCTGCTGACCCCTGCCTCCCTCCCACACATCTGGCCCGGAGCTGCCTTTTAGACTTCCCTGTGTGGTGGCAGTCAGGCAGCGGAGCAGCAGCTGTTCGGGATGCTTGGGCAGCCAGAAAAGCTCTTCCAGCCCTTCTGGAAAGTGGGAGGCAGAGGAGGAGCATAGTGGTTAAGAAGAGTGACCTTGGAATCCGTCTTCCTGTACTTATATTCATTCCCAGCACTTACATTAATCAGTTATGTGGCTGGGCACAGTGGTTCACCCCTGTAACCCCAACACTTTGGGAGGCCAAGGCGGAGGATCGCCTGAGCCCAGAAGGTCGGGGATGCAGTGAACCATGATCACACCACTGCACTTCAGCCTGAGTGACAGAGTGAGACCCTGTCTCTACAAAATAGTAACAATAAGTAATAAATAAAATTATGTTGGTCAGGCGCAATGGCTCACGCCTGTAATCCTAGCACTTTGGGAGGCTGCGGTGGGTGGATCACATGAGTTGGAGACCAGCCTGGCCAACACGTTGAAATCCTGTCTCTACTAAATACAAAAATTAGCCGGGTGTGGTGGTGCACGTCTGTAATCCCAGCTACTCGGGAGGCTGAGGCACGAGAATTGCTTGAACCCAGGAGGTAGAGGTTGCAGTGAGCTGAGATGGCACTACTGTACTCCATCTTGGGCAAGAGAGCAAGCCTCTGTCTCAAAAAAATAAAATTATGTGACCTTGAGGAAGTTTCTACCCTTTAAGAGCCTTGATTTCCTCATCTGTCAAATGGGATTAATACTAGTTCTTCCTCATGGGGTGGCTGTGAAGGTTAAATGAGACCAGGCATGTCAAAGGCCTGGCACCAAGTCAGATACTTGGTAAGCCTCAAAATAGGGCTGTTTATTAATATCCTGCGGGAACCTTGCCTGGCCTCTGGAATCCAGGGTTTAAGAGTTTCTAAGTAACCACCTGTTGCTTTCTCTCTGCCCAGGGTATCAAAAAGCCATTCACAGAGGTCATCCGAGCCAACATCGGGGACGCCCAGGCTATGGGGCAGCAGCCAATCACCTTCCTCCGGCAGGTGAGCCGCCCCCAGGAGCAGAGGCTGCAGGAGGGCAGGGCCCTGGGCTGGGCGGGCCGTCATAGGGGCCGTCCTCTGCCCCCTCGATGTCCAGGCCCTCCCAGCCTGATACCCTCTGGCTGTCTCCCTTAGCCTCCTTCCTGCCTTTCTGAGGTTGTTGAAAATTCCCAGACCTGTTTTGGGGTTGCTCTGGTGTAGGAGCCTCCCAGGGAGACTCTTCCACAAGGCGGGGTCCTGGGAGCTGAGTTAGGAACTTGGTGGGCAAAGGCAGTGGTGGGGTAGGCGGCAGCCCAGAGGACAGGGAAAGGCTGGCTGGGCTGGGAGGAGGCGTCGGGGGGCAGCAGGAGGTGTCATGGTGGGGGCAGGATGTGGCTTCCCACTTGAGACCCTCCTGGGTGTGAGTGTGGGCTCTGCTGCGTACCAGTTGGGTGGCTTTGGGCAGGTGGAAGTTGGCAGAGCGCCGCCTCGGGAGATTGCCGGGCCTTGGTGAGGCGATGAGTGCAGAGGCCTCCTGGGGCCCAGCACAGGAGCTCCAGATTGGGGACGGCCACTGTGAGCCGCTGCACCCCTGGCTGCCTCTGCAGTGACCCAGCTCCCTCCTCAGGCTCCAGGAGAAGGCGGCTTCCATGTTTCAGTCTGAGCACTAACCTCGAGAGTGCTGCCTGGGCCGGGATTGTGGGATTATGGGATTGGTGGGCTGGAGGCGGTGGGGTGGGAGATGCCCCAGGGCAGGACAGAGGCGGGAGACCCAGTGTGTGACAGCTTTTTCTAGAAGGACTGAGGCCTGTTTTGTTTTATTTAGGTTTTGTTTTTGTTTTTGTTTTGTCGCCCAGGTTTGTTTTTGTTTTGTTGCCCAGGTTGCAGTACAGTGGTATGCTCTCGGCTCACAGCAACCTCCACCTCCTGGGTTCAAGCAACTTTCCTGCCTCAGCCTCCTGAGTAGCTGGGATTACAGGCATGCACCACCACGCCTGGCTGATTTTTGTATTTTTGGTAGAGATGGGGTTTCTCCATGTTGGCCAGGCTGGTTTCAAACTCCTAACTTCAAATGATCCGCCTGCCTCGGCCTCCCAAAGTGCTGCGATTACAGGCGTGAGCCACCATACCTGGCCTGTTTTATTTATATTTATATACATATATATATATATATACGTATATATATACACATATATATACACACACATATATATGTGTATATATATACACACACATATATGTGTATATATATACACACACACATATATATATATATATAACACACATATATATATATATATATATATATATATATATATATATTTTTTTTTTTTTAGAGACAGAGTCTTGCTCTGTTGCCCAGGCTGGAGTGCGATTGTCATGATCACTGCTCTCTGTAACCTCAAACTCCTGGGCTGAAGCAATCCTCCTGCCTCAGCCTCCTGAGTATCTGGGACTACAGGTGTATGCCACCACACCCAGCTAATTTTTAAAATTTTTGGTAGAGACAGGGTCTTGCTGTGTTGCCCAGGCTGGTCTCGAATTCCTGGACCCAAGTAATCCTTTCCTGCCTCAACCTCCTGAGCCACACTGGGATTGAGGCCCATTTTGGATCAAAATGCAGTGCTGTGTGTGGTTAAGGTTCATGGGCTAGGGCCATCAGGGAGGTTGAGCCCCAAGAACACCAGTTCCCTGTTCCCTGCCTTGTTCTCTGGGGCAGAGGGCTGGGGAGGGGCTGGGAGGGCTCAGCCCACAGCCCCTGAGGGAGTTGTCACAGGGCAGTGAGGGAGAGGAGCTGAGGCTGGCCCTGGTCTGAGGGGCGCTCACTGGGCCTCCCTCCCACAGCCACTGCTGCTGACCCTTGGAGCAGGCCAGCAGCCCTGGATGTTAGAGTCCCCATGCTGGGCCCAGGAAGGGGAAATGAATCAGACCACACAGAGTGGCTCTGCCAGGGAAATGAGGTGGGAGGAGGCCAGAGGGCCCTGACTTCCCTGGAGCGTGAGCTTTGAAGGGGAGGGCCAAGTGAGAGTGGCCTCTCAGGAGAGGTCCCCTCATGGGCCTGGGTTTAAGTTGTGGCAGGCTTCAGAACAGGCCTTACTCAGCCTTATTTGCTGGAGACGTGTTCCCAGGTCCAGCCCTGCCACTGTGCATGGCAGGCCCAGCCTCTCCAGCCTGGTGCCAGCTGCCTCTAGCCTTCACACATCTCCTCTGACCTGCGCAGGTGCACCTGGGAGGCGGGCAGGCCAGCTCAGTGCCCATTGTGCAGATGAAGAGAAGCTGGGCTCCATGAAGCCAGGCGCTCGCTGAAGTCACCCCACTGGTGTCAGAGCCACAAGTCCTGACCCCCTCAGTGCACCTGGCTTGGCTCCTCAGTGCCAGCCTCAACTTGCCGGGCGAGCTGGGGTTACCAGCACTTTTGTACACATTTGCTTGCTTAATCCTCTTAATTTGTGGGGTTGGGGTGATGTTCTCTGTTACAGAGAAGAGAAAGCTGGTCCAGTTTTCATCTAGGGAGGAAAGGGGGTGATGAGGAATGCAGGGGGAGGGGGCCTAGGGCGTTGAGGGAGCTCAGGCTGGGAGTAGGGGGTTCTGCAGCCATGCTCCACCCAGCTGGGCATCGCCTGCCCCCTGCTCTGCAAACCCCTGATTGTGCCTTGGGTGTGTGAGCCCACTGTCCCTAGCGGAAGAGCTTGGGCCAGGGGCGAAGTAGCAGCCTCATTCTGATCATTGGCTTCTCTTCCAGCAGCCCAGGTCATAGTGCATCCCAACTCTCAACTTCTCCCCTTCTGCTGCAGAGAGCCCAGCGTCTTCCCCTCCCACTCCCAAGCTCCCACAGGCTGAGTCCTCGCAGAGAGGCTTGCGTCAGCCCCATCCCTGGGAGCTGTCATCCTCCCAGTGGCCTCTGTGCTCCTCCTGGAGCTCTAGGAGTGGGGGTGCTGGGAGCTCAGCCTGTGTCTTGTTCCCCCAGGTGATGGCACTATGCACCTACCCAAACCTGCTGGACAGCCCCAGCTTCCCAGAAGATGCTAAGAAACGTGCCCGGCGGATCCTGCAGGCTTGTGGCGGGAACAGCCTGGGTGAGGCCCCAACTTGCCAGGCCCCTAGGCGTGAAATGAATGAGTGTTCCCAGGCGGCCCCAGCCTCAAGCGGAGGGTCCTGCATGCGAATGGGTGTGTGAACGTGTGTGGGTGGCTGACAGCACACAGAGTAAACAAAAAATAGCGTCCTCTTCCCACTCACACCTTGCTGGCCTCGTTTATTAAGCAGGCGGTGCCGGTGCCACCTTTAGGTGCAAGTGCCTGCATCATGCCGGGTGTGGGTGCTCCTCCTGGGAGCCAGCCTCATTGGACAGCAGCTGAGCCTGCCTTCGTCACAGCAGGTTTCACCCAGCAGCTGGAGGCCAGGTAGAAACGCAGTGCTCAGTTTTGTTCAGCATCCTTGCCTCTCTGTGGCCTCCAGCTCTGAACATGTCTCTGCACTGTCTTGGAGATGGCAGCCAATTGCTAGGGAAGGGAAGCACCTTGGGACCCCTCCAGCCCCTTTCTCTGGCTTTCTTCAGTCTGATGGTGCCAGTACCCCCTGGTACTTCATGGTGTTCCCCTCAAGCCGGCCCTCACTCATCCTTTCAGGGACCCATGCCCCAATGTCTGCATCCTGACGTGGCACCAGGCTCCACAGAGTGGACCTGGAACTTGGCCCCTGTAGATGTGAAGATGATTCTCTCCCTCCCCTGCGGTGATGGAGTTCCAGCCTCTGGGCCTCCAGGTTTTTGTTCTGTCATTTTCTTTCCTCTGTTTATTTCTGCTGGTTCCTTCATGCAGCACCCACGCTGGGAATCCAGCTTCCTTCGCCCTGAGGAAAACTGCTGTTGTTCTTAGAGTCTTCCTAGGATATGAGCCCTGATGTTCCCGAAAGTGGAGCTGAGGGTGGGGACAGATTCCCGTGGCTTGCTCAGCAGGGGAGTGGCCCCCCTTGTTGTCTCCATCTCCCGCCACCCCCGCCAACTTTTTCTGCTCCGTCCCTTATTGACGGCCCTGTGCTTACCCTCCTGGCTGTGGCCCCCCTGCCCTCCCTTTGAGTCTGGACACTGTCTCTCTCAGGAGGGGGCCAGCTGCCCCTTGCTTTCCCACCTGCCAGCCTGGATGGGGTGTGGGCTGGGGCCTTGTGTGCCAAGACCTAAACCACAGGCTGGCAGAAAGCAGCCCTGCAGCCCAGAGGCCCGGCTTCCGGGCTCCTTTCCCCCCTGCACCCTCTGCCTGGCCCCAAGGGCAAAGGTGTTTCCCAAAGACCCCGTGGCCATGGGCCTAAAACTCCTGGAAGCCCCCAACTGAGAGGCAGGGGGAGGGGAATGTGCCTTTTGTGTGTCTGATGCGAGTGTCTGGGGACCAGGTACGGATTTTTGTTCCACGTGCTAAGCCTCATCAACAGGTTTTTGCAACTTCGTGTGAGCCAGAGCTGGGGTAGTGGGGCTGAGAGACTGTGTCCCTGTGAGTTCCCTCGTGGGGTATTACAGCAAAAGACCAGTTGGCCCTCATGGTTTTTGGGACCCACCCTAAGCCCTGTTCCAGGACCTCATAAACAGGTGAGGTAGGAGTCCTTGGAGTCTCTCTCATCCTTCAGCCAGGAAGTACTTTGTACCCACCTCCTCGGCTTGCAAGGAAGGTTCATGTGTGCTAAAGCCCCTTGTTAGCTGTAGACAAGCCCTGCCCATTCCAGGGGGCAGGACAGTGTGGTCCTTCGCGTGACAGGGACATAGTGGTGTCGCTCTCTGTCACCTACGCTCTGGGCAGCCTGAGCACTTTTCTGCCCACAGGAGTAAAAAGAAATGGAGCATGTCACTATGCTCCATGGCCACCCTGACCCACAGGGAGATTATTAAATATGTATACAAAGTCTTGAAGCTCATCCAGAGATTTTATTTATTTTTTTGAAACAGAGTGTCACTCTGTTGCCCAGGCTGGAAGTGCGGTGGCACGATCTTGGTTCACTGCAACCTCTGCCTCCCGGGTTCAAGCGATTCTTCTGCCTCAGCCTCCTGAGTAGCTGGTACTACAGGCACGCGCCACCACGCCTGGGTAATTTTTGTATTTTTAGTAGAGATGAGATTTCACCATATTGGCCAGGCTGGTCTTGAACTCCTAACCTCCTGATCTGCCCACCTTAGCCTCCCAAAGTGCTGGGATTATAGGCGTGAGCCACCGCGCCTGGCCACTCAGGATGTGTTTTTATCATACCCTTTAAAATTATTTCTTGGGCCGGGCGTGGTGGCTCACACCTGTAATCCCAGTACTTTGGGAGGCCAAGGCAGGTTGATCACCTGAGGTCAGGAGTTAGAGATCAGCCTGGCCAACTTGGCGAAACCCTGTCTCTACTAAAAATACAAAAATTAGCCAGGCATTATGGCGGGTGCCTGTAATCCCAGCTACTTGGGAGACTGAGACAGGAGAATTGCTTGAACCCAGGAGGTGGAGGTTGCAGTGAGCTGAGATCATGCCATTGCACTCCAGCCTGGGTGATGAGAGTGAAACTCTGTCCCCTCCAAAAGAAAAAAATATATATTATTTCTTAGCAGGGCTTCATGTTTTTGTTTTTTTTTTCTTTTTTCCTTTTTAAGAGATAGGGTCTTTCCCCGTCACCCAGGCTGGAGTGCAGTGGTGCAATCATAGCTCACTGTAACCTTGACCTCCTGGGCTCAAGCAGTCTTCCTGTATCGGCCTCCCAAGTAGCTGGGACTACAGGCACACACCACCACACTCAGCCAACTTTTATATTTTTTGTAGACATAGGGTCTCACTGTTGTCCAGGCTACTCTTGAACTCCTGGGCTCAAGCAATCATCCTGCCTCAGCCTCCAGAGTAGTTGGGATTACAGGCATAAGCCACCACACCCAGCAACTTCATTTATGTTCTGTTTGACGAGCAATTTGGTTCTCAGGTTTGTCCTGGATCTCAATGGGGTTGAGGTAAAACCTAGCACCTGCCTGGGGTGGGGCAGGAGCTGTGTGCCCTTGTCAAGCCCCTCCCTGAGTACATACCAGGCTGTGTTCTAGACACCAAAGACACTGGTGAGCAAGGTGGGTGGAGCTTCTGTGCTCACAAAGCTATCAGATTTGGGAGAAACAAACATGAAAAAGAATATATACGAATGTGTAATCACTAGTTCTCATGAGATCTCGGAGAGAGCTGCAGGATTATAACGAGGGGCTCTAATGGAGAGGAAGAGCTTAAGGGGAAACGTGGCATTCACGCTCATGGGGAGGATGAGTAAGAACCTGCAAATGCATGCCGGACCAGCGAACAGTGTGTGCAAAGGCCCTAAAGTTGGGACCTCCATGTGACTGAATGAAGGGGCCCTAGGGCAGTGGTGTTCGATGAGGTGGGAGTTTGGCAGTGGGTCCTCAGCAGGGTGTAGTGGAGCACAGCCCGCAGTGGGCAAGGTGCTCCGAGAGAAATGCACAGAAGAAACGGGTAACAGCCCCTGCCCTGGAGGAACCAAGAGTCAAGAGTCAGCGTGGGGAGGGCAGGGCTGCTTCTGTACAAAATAACTGGAGGGGCCAGCACAGTGGCTTACACCTGTAATCCTAGCACTTTGGGAGGCTGAGGTGGGAGAATTGCTCGAGCCCAGGAGTTCAAGGCTGCAGTGAGCTATGATCGTGCCGCTGCACACCAGCCTGAGCAACAAAGTGAGACCTTGTCTCTTAAATAAACTAATACATAATAAAGTAACTGGAGAAATTATAGGCTGAGAGATTGGCTGGAGGTGGAGCAGAATCTTTAGGGCAGGCCTCCGGGAGACAGACTAGAAATGAGCCTAGAAGGATCAGTGTGGTTTGGAGCATAACGTGAGATCTGAAGAAAAAGAAACCCAGGAGCCTCCTTGGAAGGGTAGAAAGTCTGTGACCCGCAGAAGTAACATTCAGAGAAGCAGAGGGCTTGCTAATGGGTGAAGGCCTGGGTGTTCAGGGAAGTGGATGCTCTTAGAGGCAGGAAGAATGGGAGGCCTTGAGGAGGAGAAGGTGGGGCATTGAAAAGGGGTGAAGGGAAGCAAGGAGTCCTAGAAGGTCTCTCTTACAGAAGCTCAGAAATAGCAACTAAATCACCTATTGGGGGAGGGCTCTAACACCAGCATCTGCACCTACCCTTTTTTAAACTTACAAAATACTCCAAATGTATTAGAATACTCAAAATAACATGACAGAAGCCCATGCCCACCACCCAGAGTGACACAAGTTAACGTTTGCCAGTTGGCACCTTAGAGTGTTGGTTTGGCTGTTCCTTTTACAGCTGTGCAGAGCCCAATGCTGCGCAGAGAGGCTGAGGCAGAGCTAGGGGATTCCAGTTCAGGGCTTTTTTTTTTTTTTTTAAAGACCGTCTCAATCTGTCGCCCAGGCTGGAGTACAGTGGCGCAATCTTGGCTCACTGCAACCTCCACCTCCCGGGTTCAAGTGATTCTCCTTTCTCAGTCTCCTGAGTAGCTGGGATTACAGGCACCTGCCACCATACCTGGCTGATTTTTTTTAGAGATGGGGTTTCACCATGTTGGCCAGGCTGGTCTCGAACTCCTGACCTCAGGTGATCTGCCTGCCTCAACCTCCCAAAGTGCTGGGAGTAGAGGCGTGAACCACTGCGCCCGACCCCAGTTCAGAGCATTTGACTGTGTTCCTCCTCGATGCCAGGCCTGGACTGATGCATGCTGAGGCCCCAGAGGAGAATCTGCTACTTCCAGTCGCCATCCTGCCTCCTGGGGGTGGTTTTTGCAGTAACCACAGAAGGAATAGTCTGGTTTTCTTTAAATGCAGTGTAAAATTCAAAAGATCTAAAAGAATATACAATGAAACATCTGCCTTCCACATCTGACCCCCAGCCCCCATGCACTTCCACAGGGAATTCACCTCACCAGTTTGAGTCTTCTTCCAGAGAGATCTTGCACCTGTACAAATACATCTTTCCATTTTATTTTCAAAAACCTAAATAGCGGCCTGACATTTAAAAAAATCTTTTTTATGGAGGTAAAAATGTTAACGTACAGCTGGAATACCTTTCACACATGCACACATCGATGTCTCCCCACCAGGCTCTGGATACGGAGCTGCCAACCCCCTGTACACTCTCTCATGGGTCTTTCTAGTCAATACCCCCACCCCAGAGCAGTTAACCACTGCTCAGCTTCCAGGACCATTCGTTAGTTTTACCTGTTTTTGAACTTAGTATAAATGGCTTTCAACCCTAAATGGCAGCGGGAGGGTATGTTCACATGGGACTGGAGGCTGGAGGATGCCTTGCAGTCCCAGGGTTCTGTGGTTGATGCTGGTCAGAGCCCTGGGTGCCTGGGGCTGGCCAGTGGTGCTAATGTGGGGTTTTTGTTTTTATTTTTATTTATTTTTTTGAGACAGGGTTTCACTCCAGGCTGGAGTGCAGTGGTGTCATCATAGCTCACCGCAGCCTCTACCTCCTGAGCTCAAGCAATCCTCCCAGCTCAGCCTCCAAGTAGCTGGGACTATAGGCGCATGCCACCACACCTGGCTGATTTTGTATTTTTTGTAGAGCTGAGGTTTCACCACATTGACCAGGCTTGTCTCAAACTCCTGGGCTCAAGTCATCCTCCTGCCTGGCCTCCCAAAATGCTGGGATTACTGCGCCCAGCCCAGGGGGTGCTATTTTGGAGCCTAAGTGTTGGCCCACTCTCTCAAGTCCTATGGAACCATGTGTAGGCAACCATGGTAAAGGCATGGGAATCCCAGCTCTAGTGACTGACATTGTCACAGATCACATATAAATCCGAGGAGGGTGGGTGGAACAGTTGTGGACACCATTTGACTGAGTAGAAGCCAGGGCCTAGAATAATGTGTAACGCATAGTAGGTACTCAGTCAGTACTGGGTGAGTGAGTGGATGAGTGGATGGATGTGTGGGTGGATGAGTAGATGGGTGGATGGATAGAGGGGTGGGTGGATGAAGCCAAGACAGGTGGTTAAGCAGTTTCCCACAGTTCCAAAGCAATGGGAGTTGGGCCCCACCCCGAGACCCTCACCCCAAACAGGCATCCCTCTAATTATATGGATGTTAATTATATTGACCCTGTGGAGCCAGACATCCTGCCTCTGTTACTGTCTTGCCTGCTGTCTTACAGGGTCCTACAGTGCTAGCCAGGGTGTCAACTGCATCCGTGAAGATGTGGCTGCCTACATCACCAGGAGGGATGGCGGTGTGCCTGCGGACCCCGACAACATCTACCTGACCACGGGAGCTAGTGACGGCATTTCTGTACGTGTGAGGGTGGCTCGTTGTTATCCGGTGTTTACCCACATGAAGAGCAGCCTTGCCTGTTAGGGCCCAGCATTGGAATTGGCTAGCAGGGAGGGTGGCAGCACGGGTGGCCACCCTCTGGTCCCCCAGCCCTGGCAGCCTGCAGTCTTTGCCTCTTTTAGTCTTCATGAGCCTAGACACTACTGCAGCCTCGATTTCTGTCCGGAGTGCACACCAGCAGGTCCAGCTGCAGAGAAGCCGGGGGACACCCGAGGGTAGCCACTGGCCTTTCTGTGGTTCTGCACGTACTGGTGTTCCTCCTGTGCCAGGTGCTGGGGAGACAATGGGAAACCAAACACATCATTTGGCCTCTGCCTACACAGGCAGAGCAGACCAGCTGATATCACAAAAATAAATGCACATCACAAGCTTTTAGTTTCTCTTCTGCAGTAGAGAAGGACAGGGTGTTATGGGAAGGAGCAGTGGGAACTCCGACCTGGTGGAGCGGGGGCAGGAAGTCTCCAAGGAAGGCCGAGTAGACACCGACCTGAGGGACACACAGGAGTGAACTGGGAGAGGGGGTGTGCTCTGAGCTGAAGGTCACTGTGTGCAGAGGCCTAGAGCTGGCAGGAGTCTGAGTGCTGGGAACTGGAGATGCTGGGGGATGAGTGCACAGCAAGGGTCGGAGTTACCAGGCGTGGGCTGGCAAGGCAGCTGGCACCAGTACAGGGCCTTAGAGGCCATGCTGAGGATTTGGGTCATTGTGCTAAGAACAACAGGGAGCCACTGAAGGGTTTGAAGGAGAAGGAGGTGGAGCAGTTAGATTTCTGTTCCTAAGTTTTAATTTTGGCTGGGAGGGGCACAGGAGGCAAAAGGAGGTATCTCGGGCTGGGGTCAGCTACCGATGGGGTCGGGGAGGGCTGGGGCCAGTGGTTACTTGCAGTCTGGAGTGCAGTGGAGTTACTTGCAGTGGAGTCTACAGTCCTGGGCTTGGGGGACTGGTGGAGCCTGCAGTCCTGGGCTTGGGGGACTGGTAGAGCCTGCAGTCCTGGGTTTGGGGGACCGGTGGAGGTTTCAGTCCTGGGCTTGGGGGACTGGTAGAGCCTGCAGTCCTGGGTTTGGGGGACTGGTAGAGGTTTCAGTCCTGGGTTTGGGAGACCGGTGGAGCCTGCAGTCCTGGGCTTGGGAGACCGGTGGAGCCTGCAGTCCTGTGTTTGGGGGACTGGTGGAGCCTGCAGTCCTGGGCTTGGGGAAGTGGTGGACTACAGTCCTTGCGGGGGACTGGTGGAGCCTGCAGTCCCGGTGGGGGACTGGTGGAGCCTGCAGTCCTGTGTTTGGGGGACTGGTGGGGCCTGCAGTCCTGAGCTTGGGAGACTGATGGAGCCTGCAGTCCTGGGCTTGGGGGACTGGTGGAGTCTGCAGTCCTGGGGTGGGGGGACTGGTTGCCTGCCTATCCCTTTCTGCACACGCCTCCCAGGGCCTGGAATGGTGCTGGGTGCTGTCAACTCATCTGTTCTCAGGGAGCCATGTGCTGTCTGAACGCTTCCTTTAATGGGGCTTTGTTTCCTGACCTGTAAGGCTCTTGTTTGTTGAGTGCTTTTTTCCTTTCCCAAAGCCTTTCTTACACGTTAAGCTCTTATTGGAGCCCATGGGAAATGGAGGCCCAGAGACATTAAGTGGTCTACCTGCCTAGAGTCAGTTCTTGTGACATTTGGGACTCTAACATTGGAGCTCCAGCTACCAATCACATCATCTTCCATTGCCTTCTGCTGTCAAGGCCTCTCTTGAATCCCAGAAATGCCCAGTGTGGGAAGAGGTCCTGGAGGAGGGAAGGGGGCGTGTCCACAAGATTCAGTGGAAAGAATCAAGTCATTGTACTTTAAAATCTCGTGGCATTTTTGTAGCAAGGAACTGAGTCTGAAAAAGGACCTATGCCCGTGTTTAAGGTGGAGACTCTCCCTGCAGAGGGTTTTGTCTAATTAATTCAATGAATTACTGGCACATCCACCAATACCCCAAAGGAATCCCATGGCCTGGTTTCTCAGAAATCTTCAACAAGCATCCTGCTCAGCTTGGAAAACAGGTCAAAGCGCCACCTGGTGGCAGTAGATGGGTATTTTATCCCATTTTAAGAGTCCCCTGTTGGGGTGGGTGTGGGGTGGGGTCTTTCCAACCTTGGGCACTAATACTGATAACACACATTCCTGGGCCCCACCCCTGACATAGGGAATCAGGATTACAGGAGCAGGGTCAGAATAATTCTGAGACAGGGCTAGTGTGGGAACTATTTTAGAAGTATTAAAAATACAAGTATTGAGTCTGTTTAAAAATATATATTTTTAAAAGAAAAATAATATTTTTAAATTTTTAAGTAGGGAGGTGGAGGTCTCACTGTGTTGCCCAGGCTGGTCTCGAACTCTTGGCCTCAAGCGATTTGGCTGCCTCAGTCTCCCAAAGTGCTAGGATTTTAGACGTGAGCCACCGTGCCCAGCCTAAGTACTGAGTCATTAACTACACGTTCTGCACTGTGCTGAGAACTTTAGAATGTTGTATTTTGCTTACTCCTCGCAGCTGCCCTCATTTTACAGATGAGGAAACTGAGACTCGGGGAAGTAAAGCGACTTGCACAGAGTTGGACTGGAGGCATGCAGTGGGGCCACGGGTGAAAGGCTAGGTCAGGGATGGGAAGTAGTGCTGGCTTTCTAGATGTGAATTCTCTGTTGCAGACGATCCTGAAGATCCTCGTCTCCGGGGGCGGCAAGTCACGGACAGGTGTGATGATCCCCATCCCACAATATCCCCTCTATTCAGCTGTCATCTCTGAGCTCGACGCCATCCAGGTGAATTACTACCTGGACGAGGAGAACTGCTGGGCGCTGAATGTGAATGAGCTCCGGCGGGCGGTGCAGGAGGCCAAAGACCACTGTGATCCTAAGGTGCTCTGCATAATCAACCCTGGGAACCCCACAGGTCTGCACTTTACTTCCTCACCAGTTTCGTAGAGGGTGGGGGTGGCTGATACACTGGCTGTCTAGAAACCAGAGTTAAATAATTGGAGGGTCTCTCTGCCCCTAGTTTCCCTTCCAGATTTGCTAACCTAAAGCCATGAAATTTGCCACAGGCCACCTCAAGAGGTGAGTAGGCCAGGTGCGGTGGCCCATGCCTGTAATCCCAGCACTTTGGGAGGCCGAGGCAGATGGATCACATGAGGTCAGAAATTGGAGACCAGCCTGGCCAACATGGCGAAACCCTGTCTCTACTAAAAACACAAAAATTAGCAGGGCATGGTGGTGTGCGCCTGTAGTCCCAGCTGCTCAGGAGGCTGAAGCATGAGATTTGCTTGAACTCCAGAGGCAGAGGTTGCAGTGAGCTGAGATCACGCCACTGCACTCAAGCCTGGGTGACAGAGCGAGACTCTGTCTCAAAAAAAAAAAAAAAAAAAAAAAAAAAACTTAGCCAGGTGTGGTGGTACATGCGGTCCCAGCTACTAGGGAAGCTGAGGTGGAAGGATCGCTTGAACCCAGGAGGCAGAGGTTGCAGTGAGCCAAGATTATGCCACTGCACTCCAGCCTGGGCAATAGAATGAGACCTTGTCTAAAAAGTGAGTAAATGCAGACATTTTCTGGGGCAGTTTGAATAATAATTATTATTTTATAGAGATTGGGTCTTACTCTGTGGCTCCAGGCCTGGCTGAAGTGCAAGTGGTATGATCATAACTCACTGCAGCCTTGAACTCCTGGAGATCTTCCTGTCTCAGCCTCCTGAGTAGCTCAGACTACAGGCAGCACCACCACGCCCAGCTAATATTTTAATTTTTTATTTTTGTAGAGACAGGGTCTTGCTGTGTGTCCCAGGCTGGTCTTAACTCCTGGCCTCAAGTGATCCTCCCAAAGCACTGGGATTATAGGCATGAGCCACTGCACCCAGCCAGGGTTGTATTGTTATTTTTAAGACTGGTTTTTTGGGTGTTTTTTTCCCCTGTTCTTCATTTGCAAAGACTTGCCTCCTTGAGATTATTTACTCACAAACTTACCGTTAATCATAGGCCTCATTTTACCGTCACTCTTCCTTATTTTTCTGAACTGGATTTGAGAATGCTGGTGTGTGTGTTGGTTTTTCTTTGATACAGCACTGCTGTGTACCTTTAAGGCCTGAGAGGAAAATGTCATATTCAAAACAAAAGCAACTAAACCAAAAAAACCACTAATTTCCAGAAGTTGAAAAGCACCCCCAATTTTGCATATTTTTCTTTAAAAAAAAGTCTGCAGTCCTGCCTGTTTTGATCTTTCTGGGCCGCTGCCTTCATATGCCCCCAGTGCTATTTGGACACAGGGAACAAGGGCTCCTCTCTCCTCCTTTGTTGAGATAAATTGGGTCAGGGCCAAAATGCATTGGAGTTGGTTGTGGAATCTGTTTCTCGGGAACATCAAATGATGCTTCAGTCAGCTGAAAACACCCCTTGAATTCCCGAGTGCAGAAAATGGGTGCAGCTGGCGATACCACTGGCTTGTTTACCCCAGCTCCTGGGAGTGTGGGGGATAAAGATTCAGTAGGAAAATAACATAGAGCTGGCTTCTCAATCCTGGTTGTACGTTAGAATCACAAAGGGAACTTTGAAAAATGTCAAAATTGAGGCCACACCCTAGGATCTCTGAGATATCGGTAGCCTGTGCTGCCGAGGCTGAGACCCACTGCCTCAGAAGCATGGTGCCCAAGCTGCGGGGCCCCACTTCAGACACTTGGATGTAATTGGGCCGGGGTATGGTTTGAGAGTTTGCATCTCTAACAAATTCCCAGGTGATACTGATGCCGGGCCCAGGACCACACTTGGGGTAGCAAGTTCTGCAACATCTTGGGAAAGACACTGTACCTAGTCCACATCACAGAGTCAACACATTCTTGGCCAGGTGTTTACATAAATCTTTTCACCTGACTGAGAAGAAGTCATTGTACCAGAGAAGTCTCCTGCTCTGAGTAAAGAGGTCATTTTCTATTAATCTGATATATTGACATAAGTAATTTTTATAAAGAATAACTTTATGAGTGGGCAGGACCTGGCCTTGCTCCCGGGGTCTTCACTGTGTGAGAGTCAGTCAGCTGTGAGAAGAGGGTCTCTGGAAAATAGAAACCCACCTGTGATGACCATATGTCTTGTCTGGACCACACACTGTGACCAGGGTGGCTTAAAGGTGTCAGAGTGGACTGGGTTCTTAAACCAGGACCCTTTTGGTTTCAAGACAGAAACCCAACTTGAGACTGAAGGGATTGGAGGGTGGAACTGTGGAGTGCAGGGTTGAAGCAGTGCGCCTGAGTCAGAGTCCGTGTCACAGGAGCCTCGGTACCCTCCTCAGCTGTACCTTCCTCTGGGTTGCAGTCCTCAGGAAGAATCCATCCTTGGAGTGGCTTCAGCACTTTCAGCCATTGCCATCAGCTGAGCTGCCTTACAGCCGAGCCTCTTCCAGAGTTTCACCATTCCCAAGTTGGGTCACCTGCCCATTCCTGAACCAGTCAAATCCCTGGGACTCTGATTGGCAGCTCTGTGTCCCAGGCCTCCCGCTGGAGTTCCCCATAGGACAGTGGTATTAGGCCATTCTTGCATTGCTATAAAGAAATACCTGAGACTGGGTAATTTTTAAGAAAAGAGGCTTGATTGGTTCACAGTTCTGCAGACTGTACAGGAAGCATGGTGGTATCAGCTTCTGGGGATGCCTCAGGAAGCTTCCAGTCAAAGCGGAAGGTGAAGGGGGAGCACGCACATCGCATGGCAAGAGCAGGAACAAGAGAGAGAATCAGGGCGGGGCAGGGGATGCCGCAGACTTTCAGGGTCTGCTCCCTTGACCCAAACACCTCCCACTAGACCCACCTCCAACATGGGGATTACATTTCAATGTGAGATTTGGGTGGGGACAAACATCCAAACTACGTGAACAGTCGTGATCTGTCACTCAAAGGAGGATGCTCAGTCACCAGCTACAGATGTTCCCATCAGCTTTTGGGGAATTAATTTGGCCCAGCCTCGAAAGGTACTTGGGAGACCCCTCTCCAGCCTTTGGGGCCTGTATCAAAGCCATGTCTCATGTCTCCCCCAGCTGTGCCCTGGCTTCTCTAATGCCATTTATGACATTCCCTTCTCCTGCGCCACTGTTCATGCACTTATCTGTTCACTGGCTCAGCGGGCATGCTCTGAGGCGCTGGAGAGAACTAAGTTCTGCCCTTATCCTCACGCTGTGTGTAACAGCAGTATTATTTGCACACACTGGGTCTCATTTCCTTTACTGGGCTGAAGTCTTTTTAAGGCTCTGGTTCTTGCTTAGTCACTTGTGTTTCCTTTAGCATTTAGTGAACACAGCTTTTCTGGTGCTCAAATCCTGGTTTGCATTCCAACAGGATAAAGTTTGTGGCATCACAAGCATGGAAGGGCAAGACCAGGAGGAATTACAGGCAGGTTCTGCTGTCCTCAGAAACCAGCCCTTCTCTGTCTGTGAGAATAGTGGCTGGTTTCTTATAGAAGCTGGGGCCTGCCACCCTCCTGGCATCCCAGAACCCTGAGCTTTTTAAATAGGAAGCCTAGTTGGTGCTTTCTTGGCAGAAGAAAAGTTGGTCCGTTAGTAAAGGAATTGGTTCATTGCTTAGCTAGTTCAAGATAGAAATTCTAATGGAATCATGCCACAGTCTTACAAGGTACGTGTGTATGTTTTTTCCAGGCATATTTTTTATATTTTTCCATAGACCAGAATATAGGTATTATTAACAAAAAGGTAAGATACTCTATATACTGTTTTGCATATATATATATGTATGTATATATATATGTACACACACACACAGTAATAGGCTGGGTACAGAGGCTCATGCCTGTAATCCCAGCACTTTGGGAAGCTGAGGTTGGTGGATGGCCTGAGCCCAGGAGTTTGAGGCTGCAGTGAGCTAGGATCATGTAACTGCACTCCAGCAAGAGTGACAGAGCAAGACACTGTAAAGAATATACATACATGCATGTATAGAAACATATGTACACACACTTAGATATATATGTAATATACACAGGCATATAGTAAACAAACATAGCCCTTGTTAAGAAGTTAGCAAGCCTGATTATAGTGGTGGTTTTCCAGAGGATATTGTGAGCACATCAGATATTCCCGGTGCCACACTCAAAGCAGGTCTCAGGAAATACCGAGGGAAGGTCCCATTTCTACCTCGTTGCGTTTACTCCTTCCCTCACCTGTACCCATGGCATTTCGTGTGAACGGATGGATCACTATCTTGCTGTTTGCACTCATTTCTCTAAAATGGGGGCTGGGTGCGGTGGCTCACGCCTGTAATCTCAGCACTTTGGGAGGCCGAGGCGGGTGGATCACTTGGGGTCAGGAGTTCAAGACCAGCCTGGGTACATGGTAAAACCTCTTCTCTACAAAAAATAAAAAAGTTAGCTGGGCATGGTGGCTTACGCCTGTAGTTTCAGCTATTCGGGAAGGCTGAGGCAAGAGAATCACTTGAACCCAGGAGGCAGAGGTTGCAGTGAGCTGAGATTGTGCCACTGCACTCCAGCCTGGGTGACAGAGTGAGACTCCATCTCAAAAATTAAAGAGAAATAATAAAATGTGTTGTAAGTGTTCTCTGTTAGCGTTGAGTCCTGCAGCGTGCTCATCTTTAGTGATGCATGGTAGCAGCTGACAGGAGACACCAAAGCTGGTGCCCAGGCCCATTCACTTAGCATTTATTCTGCAGTTATTTTTTGAGCATCTGTTGAGTGCTGTCTTCCAGGGCAGACGATGAGCGGGGAGAGGCCTTGTCCCTGCCTTGTGGAGCTCATGGGTGCCTCTCTGGGGAGAAAGAAGCTAACTCTTCACCCGGTGGCCACAGCCAATGCGAGTCTCTTCACCATCTGCTGCTGGTGTGCAGTAATGGGGGGGAGGGCACAAGCTGATAGATTTAACTCCTGCAGTTGTATTTTCCTGCTCTTTGTTTTATTTTTGAGACAGGGTCTTGCTCTGTCACCCAGGCTGGAGTGCAGTGGCACAGTCATAGCTCACTGCAGCCTCAAACTCCTGAGCTCAAGCAATCCTCCAGTCTCAGCCTCCCAAGTAGCTGGGACTACAGCCATAAGCCACCACACCTGGATAATTTTTATTGTAGAGTTGAGGTGTTGCTGTGTTGCCCATGCGGTCTGGAACTCCTGGGCTCAAGCGGTCCTCCCACCCTGGCCTCCCGAAGCCGCTGGGATTACAGGCGTGAGCCATTGTAGCAGGCCTTTTCTCCCTGCTCCTTATGATGCTTCCATGCCTTTCTGTTCTGCAGCACAGACATACCACACACACACCACATACACACACACCACAGAGACGTACACCACACATAGACACATACTACAAACACTGCACACAGACACCCACACATGCACATGTGTGTGCACACACACACACCACCACACCTACACAAATACCACATAGACACACACCCCACCACACCTACACACACACCAAATACAGACACACACACCCCACCACACCTGCACACACATTACACACCATACACAGACACCCCAACACACCTACACACACACCACACAGACACAAACACACTCTTACACCCCACCACACCTACACACGCAACATATACAGACACACACCCCACCACACCTACACACACACCAAATACAGACACACATACCCCACCACACCTGCACACATTACACACCACACACAGACACACCTCAACACACCTATACACACACCACACACAGATACACACACACTCATACCCCCACCACACCCACACACACACTACAGACTCACACACACACCACATACACACACCCCACACACAGGCTCATATACCCACCACACCTACACACACACCCCCATCACACCTACACACACACCTACACACATACACAGACACATACACCCCACACCACACTACAACTACACACACACCACACAGACACACACACACCCACCACACCTACACACACACACATCCCACCATGCCAACACACCACACACAGACACATGCACATGTGAGTGTATGCGTGCACACACCCCACCACACCTACAAATACCACACCACACCTACACACAAAGCCTTCATAAAAATAAGAGCCGGGCCGGGCGTGGTGGCTCACACCTGTAATTCCAGCACTTTGGGAGGCCGAGGCGGGCGGATCACCTGAGGTTGGCAGTTCAAGACCAGCCTGATCAACATGGAGAAACCCCGTCTCTACTAAAAATACAAAATTGGCCAGGCATGGTGGCGCATGCCTGTAATCCCAGCTACTCGGGAGGCTGAGGCAGGAGAATGGCATGAACTCGGGAGGCGGAGCTTGCAGTGAGCCGAGATTGTGCCACTGCACTCCAGCCTGGGTGACAGAGCGAGACTCCGTCTCAAAAAAATTAAAAAAAAAAAAATAAGAGAGCCAGGTGAGAACCCCTTCTCCCTCGCATAACTGGCTGAGGAGAGTCAGACACACAGGCTGCTCTTCTGGGCGTCCCTGGAGGCCGACTACACCATCATGCATGGCAGCTGGGGAGGGGGGCCTCTGCGGGGAGGGTGTTCTATGGGTCTCAAGGGAACACAGGGCACTGAGTGATTCTGGATGGGCTTCTGACCTGGGGACAATTTAAACAGCATTACAACCGACATTTTGGTTTTCTTGGGGATTTTATAGGCCAGGTACAAAGCAGAAAGTGCATAGAAGATGTGATCCACTTTGCCTGGGAAGAGAAGCTCTTTCTCCTGGCTGATGAGGTAAGAATGTCCCCACTCAGAGGGAGTGGGCACTAGCTTTCTCTTCTAGAGGGAGGGACCCAGCCCCCATTGTTCTGCAGCCAGAGAGAACTGTCTTGGTGTTGGAGGAATGATTCTGGCCTAGGGTGAGGATATTTAGTTTTACAACTTGTGGGACTGTGACTTAATTTACCCCTTTATTGGTTTGTACTCTTGGTTGTAAATTTCAGAAATTCAGCCCAAATCACTTAAGCTCCAAAAGAAAAAGGAAAAAGAAAAAATGCCAGTGGGGTCACAGGTACGCAGCTGGATCCAGGGGCTTGGACCTTATCTTTCAGGTCCTCTTTCCCTTTTCTACCCCTCTGTGTTGGCCTCATACACAGGCCTGTTATCTTTTCAGCCTAGAGATTCCCAGCCTAGAAAGAGGGCTTTTTGCCCTGGTGGTTGCAGCAAGTCTCAGAATTGAGCTTCATTGGTTCAGCCTGAGTCACACGCCCATTGCTGAACCAATCACTGTGATGTAGGGGTTCCAGTATGCAGATTGGCCAGGCCCAGAGCATAGGGTGGGCCCTCTGCTTTCTTCTCCCAAACCTCCAGATAGAGAACCAAGGAGGGTTATTCCTTGAGGGCCAATTGAGGGGGCTCCTACCCAACAAAGGAGGGTGGGTTCCCAGTGGCAGAAATGACTGACGCCCACTCCTCATAAAGCTGCAGTTCTGTGCCTCCCAGCGCTTCTGTATCTACTGTCTCATTTAATTCGCTTACATCTCAGGAAGGGATCTTAACCCGGTACCTGTTGCTTCTTGAACTCCAGTTCTGGAACCAGGGTCTGCTCATTCTTTTTCTGTTTTGTAAGAAAGAAACTGAGGTTCCAGCAAATCCTCTTTTTATTTCCTCTTCATTTCTGCATGGTTTCCGGCGAGCTGCAGCTTCTAGCCCGCTGCCTTCATTTCTTTGCTCCTTGTCACCCCCCCACACATGCCACACACATAAATGCAGACACACACACACGCATACACACACAGACATACACACATATACATATGTACATACAGACACACACAGACACACGTACATAGACACACACACATACATACACACACAGCTTACCCATCAAATTGTTGCCTTAATAGTAGATGGGCCTGATATCTTCATTTCTAAAGGAGAGAAAGGGCAGCAGAGAGACCCATGGGTTTCCTCACAACCTGGTATACAGAACTTCCTTCTGGGTCTGGGAAGAGGAGGACGAGGAGGACAGGGCCTGGCTTGGCAATGGAGCCAGCTTGACCCTCCGACTGATCCCCAGGGCCCCAGAAAGGCTCAGTTTCTCTGATCTCCAAAATAGATGGGGAATTAACCTCAAAGGCCAGGGTGGGTGTCTGCCAGCTGTGAGTGCTGGACTCGGGACTGGAAAGAACCAAACGGGTATAAATGCTGCTCTGGCAGGGAAAAGTGGGTGGAAGAACACAATGATTCCACTCGAGTGGGGGGTTAAGTGTTGCAAAGGAAACCCAACAGGGTTAGCTCTTCAAATAGGAGGTCAGAGGAAAGGGCCACTAATGCCGTCGTCACCAGTGTTGGTAAAGCAAGGAAGCACCGTGCTTTAGGAGGAGAGTCTGCTTGGGAGGATGGGGGTCTCAGCACCATCACTGGTCAGATGGGGTGGAAGGGAAGTCTGGGGATTGGGTGGGGACGAGTGTGAGAGAAATCAAGTGAGCTCCTGAGCTGTCTCAGCATCCAGCCTGAGGCCTTGCCTCCTTGCTTATTCCAGAAAGTTCCTTCAGGCACACTTGGCTCATCCCTGGAATGGCACAGGAGGCTGGGCCGGCTGGGCCTCATGGCCCACAGCACCTGTGCCCTCCCTTGCCTTGGCCACACTGGGCAGCAGCCTCTTTGAGGACCCTTTGGTGACCGTCCCTGCCGTGCCCCCGCAGGTGTACCAGGACAACGTGTACTCTCCAGATTGCAGATTCCACTCCTTCAAGAAGGTGCTGTACGAGATGGGGCCCGAGTACTCCAGCAACGTGGAGCTCGCCTCCTTCCACTCCACCTCCAAGGGCTACATGGGCGAGTACGTGGGCCTCCCTTCCCTCTGCCACTGCTGGGCCTGCCAGATCCTCACGCTGCCGGCTCCTCTGCCCTGCCCCGTGGTCCACCCACTTGGATGGAGAGAAGGCTGCCCTTATCTGTTGCTTCTGCTGCATCTCCCCAGTGGGAGAGCCGTGGTGTGAGAACAGCCCTGGTACAGGGGCTCAAATAAGGGCGTGCTCAGAGAAGCCTGACAACGGACAAATGGAGTGGAAACAGGACTACATGGCAGCTTGCGACACCTGGTGTTTTCTCTGTCACTTGTTCCGAGGTTGACTGATGTCTGAGAGGTCAGGGAGGGCAGATAGAGCAGACAAACAGATGCTGTTAGGCTGACTGGCTGTGCTCTGGGTGCAGGGCTGCCTTAGGCACTGTGTGACCTCAGAGGCTAAAGGGTCAGCTGTAATCCTGTGTCTGTTCATTCAGCTAATGTTTACTGAGCACTTACGATGAGTCCGGCACTGATCTCAGCACCGCGGATGCCGCAGCGAACACCCTCCTGCCGGCACAAAGCGTGGGTTCTAGTGAGGGGGGAGAGCTGTAGGCAAATGAGTAAATCGTGCGTCCCACGGAGAACAGTCATTAGGAGAGAGGTAGGGGTGGGGTCGAAGGCTGAAGTGGTGCAGCCTCACTGAGGAGTTGGCTTCTGAGTTAAACCCCGAAGGAGTGTGGTGGGGAACTGTGCAGATATCTGGGGGAAGAGCATTGCAGGCAGCGGGAGCAGCCTGGGCAAAGACCCTGTGGTAGCAGCACACCTGCTGTGCTGGCAGAACACACCTGCCATGTTGGCGGAACAGCCAGGAGCTGGAAAGGAGGGGGCACGGGGGCAGTGGCAGGAGTGGAGACCTGAGAATTATAGGAGGCCAGGTCACCTGGTCCACTTTGCTGATTGTATTTTTCACTTGTGTTCAGCATGAGATAGGAGCTGTTGGAGGGGGTGTGGCCTTGCTTAGCTGGTGTGTTGCTCCTTCTGGCTGCTGTGTGATGGGGGATGGGGACAGAGGCCAGGAGGCTGTTACAGTCTCCCAGGTGAGATATCGTGCACCAGACAGAGATGGGGAGAGGATCCTGGATGTATTTGAAGGTGGAGTTGATAGGAATTGTGAGTGGAAAAGACAGGTGTGGGAGAGAAGAGTCAAAGATGAATCCTGGCCAGGTGCAGTGGCTCACGCCTGTGATCCAAGAACTTTGGGAGGCCGAGGTGGGAGGATCACTCGAGGCCAGGAGTTTGAGATCAGCCTGGATAATATAGCAAGACCCCTTCTCTACAAAAAAATGTTTTAAAACTCAGCCAGGTTTGGTGGTGCGCGCTTCCAGCTACTCAGGAGGCTGAGATGGGAGGATCGCTTAAGCCCAGGAGTTCCAGGCTGCGGTGAGCTGATGACGCCACTGCATGATGAATCTTTAGTTGTTCAAACAACAGGAAGGATGGTGTTGCAGTCAACAGATGAGGAAGGCTGAGGGTGAAGCAGGTTTAAGGGGAAAGAGCAGGAGTTTGGTTTTGGACCTGTTAAACTGAAACATGCCAGCTTGGCGTCCAGGTGGAGAGAGATGTGTAAGTCTCCAGGCAGGCTGACCTCTGGTGGGTGGTTTAAGTTTGGGAGATGTCCGGGTGTGAATTGTAAGATTGTTGGAGCTCTAAGCCTGGACACATCTCATACGTACATGGAGTGAGGCCTGGGCCTGGGCCCCCACTGCTAGGAGGTTAGGGGAAAGAGGAGGAAGCCACAGAGACTGAGGAGAGACCAGTGGGTTTGCAGCAAAGGGCATGTGTTCCCAACGTGGTGGGGTCCTATTCTGTGCCAGGTGTCGGCATGGGGAGGGCTCTTGGTTGTTAGGCTGGAACAGTGTAAGCGTGAAGCTCAAAGGAATACTTCCGCCAGGTCAAGGGAGCAGTCCCCTTGGGATGGCTGCCAAACTGTTCTTGGGCTTCTTTGATCTGGGCGCAGGCTAACAGGCTGGTCTTTCTGGTCTACCCTGTAGCAGTTCTGGCTCCTTGCTTGACTTCCTTTTGCTCTGTAGCTCTTTTCCTAAACAAATCTGTTCTCGGTGAACTCAGTTTTCAAACTCAAGCATGTTTACCACACACTTATCCATTGCCCCATCTCAGTTATTGATTACACTACCAGTCAGTGCCCTGATGTTGGGATCCTGAGTCGTGCCCGGTGTTCTCAGATCTGGATGAATTAGGGTCTGACTGCTTTACTCATTTTGATTCTCTGCTCATCAGCAAAGGATTAAGCAGAAAGTTCTTTCTTTCCATTTTTGTTACCAGACACTTTTCTGAGATGTTAGAATTTATCTTCCCACCTTGAAACGTCCAGTCCAGGGATCAGATGGGAATCTTTGCCAGTTCCGTTCAGCAGTGTGATCCCAAAAGCATGGTTTTTTTGATTTTTGTTTTGTTGTTTTGAGATGTAATCTCGCTCTGGAGCCCAGGCTGGAGTGCAGAGGCGCGATCTTAGTTCACTGCAACCTCTGCCTCCCGGTCTTGGTTCAAGCAATTCTCCTGCCTCAGCCTCCCAAGTAGCTAGGATTACAGGCATGCACCACCATGCCAAGCTAATTTTTGTGTTTTTAGTAGAGACGGGTTTCACCATGTTGGCCAGGCTAGTCTTGAACTCCTGACCTCAAGTGATCCGTCCACCTCGGCCTCCCAAAGTGCTGTGATTACAGGACTGAGCCACTTCACCCGGCTCCCCCAAAAGCATGTTACTAAGCATCTCATTGTGTCAGGTGCTCTGAGGCTGGGGGTGGGGGATGCATGGAGGAAGGTGACCAGGTTCCTGCCTCCAGGCACCTGCGTTCCTGTGGTCGTTAGTGTGAACGTTTGCAGCCACACACCAGAGAAGGAGATGTATGTTGCTGATTTGGTCTGGAAAGATTTTTTTTTAAAACTCATCATGTGTCCTCAGCTTATTTTCATATGATTTGATTTATAATTTGGCTATAAATTACAGAACTTGGCACGGTGACTCACGCCTGTAATCCCAGCACTTTGGGAAGCTGAGGTGGGAGGATCGCTTGAGGCCAGGAGTTCAAGACCAGACTGGGCAACATAGCAAAACCCTATCTCTACATACATAAAAAGTGAAAAAAATTAGCCAGGCGTGGTGGCACACACCTAAAGGTCCACCTACACACAGGTGTGGCACACACCTACAGTCCCAGCTATTTGTGAGGCTGAAGTGGGACTATTGCTTGAGCCTAGGTGGTTGAGGCTGCAGTGAGCTATGATCATGCCACTGCACTCCAGCCTGGGTGACAGAAAAAGATCCTGTCTCTTAGAAAAAAATAGGAGTTTGTACACAATCATCACTGTTGTTCACCTTCCATTGGCAAGAACTCAGCCACACCTGGCCATTTGGTGTTGGGTGTGGGAATGCTTTCGATTCTGGCTGTCCAAATGGCACTTTGTTGAGGTCTTTCTATAACTGGTGGTCCTCTCCCTCTCTTTGGCCCTCCAGGTGTGGTTACAGAGGAGGCTACATGGAGGTGATCAACCTGCACCCTGAGATCAAGGGCCAGCTGGTGAAGCTGCTGTCGGTGCGCCTGTGCCCCCCAGTGTCTGGGCAGGCCGCCATGGACATTGTCGTGAACCCCCCGGTGGCAGGAGAGGAGTCCTTTGAGCAATTCAGCCGAGTGAGTCCACTGTGATGCGTCTGCACCCCTGTGGCCGGGGTCACGAGAGTTCCTGCTGGGCCAGTGGCCAGCCTGTCTCCAGGTGGCCAGACAGCAGCCTCCTGAGGGTGTGGCCTGCAGGTGCACTCATGGCTCTTCAGAGCCTGAACCACCCCTATGAGTTGAAGTCTGGAAGCGCAGCTGGGCATTGTTTGGAAGTAGGAGGACTGTGAGTGTGTGTGGGCAGGTGAACCCTTCCTCTTCCTCATGGCGAGTGTCGAAGAGGGAAGGGAGCTGTGTCCTGATAACACACTGGGGGGACTCATGAAACTGAAAAGAAGACGAGGAGGTAGAGGGGCGCAGCATCGATCCCAGGCCCCCACCCGCCTCTGCCAACCTGTGTCCTCACAGCTTGACAGGGTCCTCCAGCTCTGACAGCTTTGACCAGTTCAAACAAAGGAATTTATGGGTCAAGTAATCTAGAAGTCAGCTCCCAACTGGTCCAGGCTCACTTCTTTTTTAAAAAATTGTGGTAAAATACACATAAAGTCGACCTTTTTAACCTTTATAAAGTGCTCGGTTTTCTGGCATTCAGGACATTCACAATGTTGTGCGGCCATCACTGCCATCCATCTCCAGAGCCGTTCCATGATCCCACACTGAGCTCTACCTGTTACCCACTAACACCCTACCCTGCCCTCCCCTTAGCCCCAGCAGCCACCCTTCTACCCCCTTCTCTCTGCACTCACCTCCTCGAGATTCCTCATATAAATGGAGTCATGTTGGCCGGGCGTAGCGGCTCATGCCTGTAATCCAAGCACTTTGGGAGGTTGTGGCAGGCGGATCACCTGAGGTCAGGAGTTTGAGACCAGCCCGGCCAACATGGTCAAACCTCATCTCTACTAAAAATACAAAAATCAGCCGGGATGGTACATGCCTGTTATCCCAACTACTCGGGAGGCTGAGGCAGGAGAATCACTTGAACCCAGGAGGCGGAGGTTGCAGTGGGCTGAGATTGCGCCATGGCACTCCAGCCTGGATGACAGAGCAAGACTCCGTTTAAAAACAAAAAAAGTAGAGTCATGTCTTATTTGTCTTTTTGTGACTGGCTTATTTTCCTTATCATGATGTCCTCCAGGTCCATCTGTGTTGTGGCCCGTGTCGTGATTCCAGGCTGAACCATGCTCCCCACGTGGACAGGCCACATAGTGCTTATGCCTCCATCTGCAGCCCACACCTTCCACGCCACTTGGCCGGCGGCACCTGTGGAAGCCCTGGACGGTGACTGTGCTCCAGCCGTGGACATACGCCCAGCTCAGGCCCAGTCACTGACCTTGACTTGCTCTGCCTGGGTCCTGTGCTGCATGCACACCACACAGACAGAGGGTGGGGCGCGCTGGTCCCCCCCAGATGCATTGGTGGGGCCCATCTGCAGAAGAATGGGCATGTGTCCTAGAAGCATGTTCTGAGGAATTCCGTCCAGAGCCAAGTCCATACAGACTGACAGGCAACAACTGGTTTTTCTCATTTTCTGGAAAGACATCCTGGTACGAGAATAGAACCCATGACACAGGCTGCTGGGCTCTACCCTTTGGCCTAGAACTCCCTGGTGTCTGTGTGCCCCACACCCCAGGGCACGTGGCAGCCTCCCAGGGTGAGCGCTGTGGAAGAATTTGTGCCGGGAGATGTGTTCCACCCACCTCCCTGTTTTGCTGTGCTCAGGCTCACACAAGCTCTTCTTTGGTCAGTCTGTCTGATACCCCAGTGTCGAAGGAACAGACCACCCCACCCACTCCGTCTGTGTGGTGTGCATGGGGCATGTGACCCAGGCAGAGCAAATCTGAGTCAACGCATGGGTCAGAGGGGACATGTGTTCAAAGCTGGAGCAAAGTCATCATCTGGGATTTCCGCAAGTGCTGCAGGAAAGATCAGTGGCTGGAGTGAATCTTTATCCAGAGATACTGACTGCTGTGCTGTTTCCATCTCTCATCAGGAGAAGGAGTCGGTCCTGGGTAATCTGGCCAAAAAAGCAAAGCTGACGGAAGACCTGTTTAACCAAGTCCCAGGAATTCACTGCAACCCCTTGCAGGGGGCCATGTACGCCTTCCCTCGGATCTTCATTCCTGCCAAAGCTGTGGAGGCTGCTCAGGTCTGGGGCATGGGCTGGGCTGGCTCTCTCTTACCAGGTTCACCTGAGATGCTGGGTTGGGGGCCCCTGCTTATCTTGGGGAGCAGAAGTGCTGGCCCTGGAGGCTCGGAACTGTATGCACCTCTCGGCCAGAGGGTGTTGACCGTGTAAAGATGACAGGTTCTTGGAGGCCCAGCTGTGTGCTGTGTTGATGGGCAAACATGAGGTGGGCCCCAGGGGAAAGGAGCTGATCTGGACTCTGTGAATGCTGCTGCTCCCAAGGGCGGTGCCCAGGTGAGATGCCTGCGGGGGAAGCAGCAGGAGCTACCACCTCCACCCAGCCACTGCATTCTGGAGCAGCGCTTCCCAAACTTCAGTGTGTGCACCGATCACCTAGGGCCTTTTTTTTTTTCCTTTTTGTGGAGAACGGGTCTCGCTAGATTGCCCAGGCAGGTCTCAAACTCCTGGGCTCAAGCCATCCTCCTGCCTCTGCCTCCCTAAGAGTTGGGATTACCGGCTTGAGCCACTGTGCCTGGCTTGTTTGTTTTGTTTTAATTACATTTTTATAGAGAGAGATGGGGTCTTACTTTGTTGCCCGGGCTGGTTGCAAACTCCTGGGCCTCAAGGGAACCTCCCATTTCAGCCTCCCAAAGTGCTGGAATTGCAGGCGTGAGCCACTGCCTGGCTTGTTTTTTTGTTTTTTGTTTTTTTTTTCTGAGACGGAGTCTTGCTCTGTCGCCCAGGCTGGAGTGCAGTGGTGCGATCGTGGCTCACTGCAAGCTCGGCCTCCCGGGTTCGCTCCATTCTCCTGCCTCAGCCTCCCAAGTAGCTGGGACTATAGGCACCTGCCATAACACCCGGATAATTTTTTGTATTTTTAGTAGAGACGGGGTTTCACCGTGTTAGCCAGGATGGTGTCGATCTCCTGACCTTGTGATCTGCCCACCTCGGCCTCCTGAGTACCTTGTTAAACACCCAAGTCTAGGCCCCATCCTAGACCTACAGAATCAGAATTCCTAGTGTTAGGCTGGGTGCAGTGGCTCACACCTGTGGTCTCAGCACTTTGGGAGGCTGAAGTGGGAGGATCATTTGAGCCCAGGAGTTCGAGACCAGCCTGGGCAACATAGTGAAACCCTCTCTACAAAAAATTTAAAACTTAGCTGGGTGGTGCATGCCTGTGGTCCCAGCTCCTTGGGATGCTGAGGTGGGAGGATCGCCTGAGCCTGGGAGGTTGCGGCTACAGTGAGCTGTGATCATGCTACTGCACTCCAGCCTGGGCGAGAGCAAGATCTCTTCTCTTAAATAAATTTAAAAAAAAAGAATCCCTGGGCCAGGTGTGGTGGCTCATGCCTGTAATCACTTTTGGGAGCCCAAGGTAGGTGGATCACCTGAGATCAGGAGTTCAAGACCAGCTTGGCCAACACGGTGAAACCCCCATCTCTAAAAATATAAAAAAAATTAGCTGGACATGGTGGCCTGCAGTGTAATCCCAGCTACTCTGGAGGCTGAGGCAGGGAGAATCGCTTAAACCCGGGAGCTGGAGGTTGTAGTGAGCCGAGATCACGCCATTGCACTCCATCCTGGGCGACAGAGTGAGACTCTGTCTCAAAAAAAAAAAAAAAAAAAAAGGAATCCGTGGTGTAGTCCGAGCGCGGTGGCTCACGCCTGTAATCCCAGCATTTTGGGAAGCTGAGGCAGGCAGATCCCTTGAGGTCAGGAGTTCGAGACCAGCCTGGCCAACATGGCGAAACCCCATCTCTACTAAAAATACAAAAATTAGCCAGGTGTGGTGGCACATGCCTGTAATTCCAGTTACTCAGGAGGCTGAGGCAGGAGAATTGCTTGAACCCAGGAGGCGGAAGTAGTGGTGAGCTGAGATCATACCACTGCACTCCAGCCTGGGTGACAGAGGGAGACTCTGTTGCAAAAAAAAAAAAAGAATCCCTGATGATAGAACCTGAGAATCTGTAGTTAAGAGGCTCCCCGGGTGGTCATGCAAACCAGTGTGTGGGAAGCAGTGTTGAGAGTGCCTCAGAGAAGCTCGTTCCATGAAAATTGTGTGCAGACCCCAGGGCCCCATTTTCAGAGGATTATGCAGCTTGACCTGCAGGAAGCCACTGCTGATGCCTGTTGAGTGGCTGCCTGGGGATGGGCACTGCCCGATGACGGGCAGGAGGACCACTACCTACACCTGGCTGTCCTGCAGTAGTTTTCAGGTGTCTGTGCCTGGCACCAGCCACCAGCAGTATCCCAGCGTCTGGCCCTGGTCCTCTAGGAGCGGAAGGGGAGAAGGGCACTGCCGTGGGAGAGAGACCTGCCATTTAGATTACATTTGGCTTTGAGGGTTGAATGGTGTGTTTGCAAAGCCAGGAATGATCATGAGCTCTGTCTGCTCCCATAGGCCCATCAAATGGCTCCAGACATGTTCTACTGCATGAAGCTCCTGGAGGAGACTGGCATCTGTGTCGTGCCCGGCAGTGGCTTTGGGCAGAGGGAAGGCACTTACCACTTCAGGTATGACTTCCTCTCCGCACTAGGGGCTGGTCCGGGTCTTGTCCAGGGAAATGTGGACTTCTTGACATGGAGCAGAGGACTACTTCAAAGAGAGAGGTGCGGAGACCCTGTCCTCTCTCGAGTCACCCCTACTCTGTCCTGCTGCAGACCCAAGCTCAGACCCTGCCCAGGGATTAAGAAAATCTGGGTGGTTGTCTGCTCAGGGTTATATTCCCTGAAAGGTCTTCCTTGACTATTCTGTCTCTCCCCTCTGCCATCGGTCCCATCGCTGTCTGAAATGTTCCTAGTAGGGTGTTTTCTTATTTTGCTGTCCGTTTTCAACTCTGCGATGGCAGCACACAGCTGCCAGTGCCTGGAGTGGTGCTGGCATGTGCTTAGTAGCTCCTGGCAGCACCCTGGGCCATGGCACTGCCTGTGATCCCAGAGCCTGCCGAGGAACTGCAGGGGAATTTGCTCCACTCATGCCCAGGGCATACCCCGTTCTGGCCCTGCATGGATGGGAATGCCGGTGCCCAGAGCTGAGCTGGCTGGAGCAGAGGTTTTCCACTGAGGCCAGTTCTCTTCAGAACAACATCTTCCCCATACATGTTGCTCTCAGAGGTCTCCTGCGGCAGATGCTAAAAAAAAGAAATGGCATGAGCTGTTAGCACCCGGAGCCAAGTCTTGACTTAGGCAAGGTTGTGGGTTGTGTCCCCTGATGGACAAACCTTGTCCGGTTGGCCTTCCCACCCCTGGTCAGGCTCATCTCGGTGGTTGATGGCTTGATGAGAAAGTGATTTAAGCAAGAGGGCTGCCAGGAAGGCCAGGGAGCATTTTGGTGCACCAGAGGGAGGTGTTAGTTACTGTGGCAACTTGGAAATTCCTTTGGAGCAGAGTTGTGACTGGAGGGTGTCTCACTGTCAGACTGACTAGAGATAAAAAAGGCCCCTCAGGTAGGAGTGAAATCTCTCTCTCAAACTCTAGGAAAGCCCGAGTCATACTCTAGAGAAAGTTCTGATCAGTGGTCAAAATGTTCCAGAGGGCTGAGTGCAGTGGCTCACACGCTTTGGGAGGCCAAATTCAGGATGGCTTGAGTCCAGGAGTTCAAGACCAGCCTGGGCAACATAGCAAGACCCTGTCTCTACAAAAAATTGTTTAAAAACTAGCCAGGGATGTTGGCGCATGCCCGTAATCCTAGCTACTCGGGAGGCTGAGATGGGAGGATCACCTGAGCCCAAGAGTTTGAGGCTGCAGTGAGCTATGATCACTCTACTGCATTCAAGCTGGGGCAGCAGAGTGAGACCCTATCTCCAAAAAAAAAAATATGGCCAGGTGCAGTGGCTCATGCCTGTAATCCCAGCACTTTGGGAGGCCAAGGTGAGCAGATCATGAGGTCAGGAGTTCGAGACCAGCCTGGTCAACATGGTGAAACCCCGTCTCTTCTAAAAATACAAAAATTAGCTGGGCGTGGTGGCAGGCATCTGTAATCCCAGCTACTCGGGAGGCTGAGGCAGGACAATTGTTTGAACCTGGGAGGTGGAGGTTGCAGTGATCGCGCAATTGCACTCCAGCCTGGGCAACAAGAGCAAAATTCCATCTCAAAAAAAAAAAAAAAAGTGATGCAGGCCTTCTGCAGTAATGGGTGGATATGTCTTAGCCTAAATGCTGCTCCAGTTTATTGCTTTTGTTCACGTGTATTACTTGGGTGAAAAAACCAACATGTGAATGAAGGGGAAAGTGGTCCAAGTGCTGGGTGCTGTCCGGGCTGGAGCTGTCGAAGCAGACCAGGCAGACCTCCCTCTTCCATTCCTAGAGGCAGTTTAGCTGCTGGATTCGTTCCTCTCCCATCTTGCAGAGCAGCCAGGCTGACACTGTTGTCTCTCCTGCCAGGATGACTATCCTCCCTCCAGTGGAGAAGCTGAAAACGGTGCTGCAGAAGGTGAAAGACTTCCACATCAACTTCCTGGAGAAGTACGCGTGAGGACGCCTGAGCCCCAGCGGGAGACCTGTCCTTGGCTCTTCCTCCCAATGCCCGTCAGGCTGAACTCGCCTCCCCCGTGACTCTGCCTCGGGCCTCGCAGAGGCCGCTGGTCACTTCGTCATCATTTTGCCCCTGGAGACGTCTTTCTTTGTGCCTTGATGTTGAGAGCGCCTCTCTTTTGAGCAAACAAGCATTCTATATGCAACCAGAGTAGAGGGGACCTGCTCAGCAGGTGTGACCAGGGTTCTCTGAATCTGTTATTGTTTTTGCTTCTGGAAAGTTCATTTGGGGTTTACAACAACTAGGATGTGTTGGGTGAGATGTTTCAGATCTGGAGAAATGAGCAGGTGTCGGGAAATGTGTGACTTAACCGTGGTGAGGGCTGGAAATCCAAACTCACCACCATGATCTGTGAAATAAAGCCCTTAGCGGTGTGAAGCATCCGGTCCTTTGAACAGAAGGGCCTGGAAGGCCCCTGGGGCTGAGAAAGGGTCCGCCCGGTGGCCTGGAGGCAGGCGCCGGGAGCGCAGTAGCACGTGGACTGGGCAGGATGTTGCACTAGCTTGGGGTAGATGCTGGGGGCTGCGGCCACGGTCAGAGGGCCCCACTGTGAGGCGTGGGTGTGAGCCAGGCTGCAGGAGGAACTGGGCCTCCGCTTCCCAGCAACGCAGCCAGGCCTGAGAATTCTGTGCGCCCGGCGGGCTTTGGGAATGAGGGGTTCCCTTGAACATGCGTAGGCTGGAACCCCGTCTGAGAGGTCTCCCTGAATTTCAGTGACACATAGTGCAGCCCGGCAGTGTCCCACTTCCGTGGAGAGAGCCGCTGGAATGGTGTGGACCCATCCCGCGGGTGACCGGTGCCTGTTCTCCCCTGACCGAGCCTGTGAGCACATCGCCCCCTGCTGGCGACAGCGGGGAAATGAGGGCTGAAAATATCCTCCCCACAAGGGCAATCCCCGGGACCTGCCGAGCAGCCAAGGCCCTGTCCTTTCTTGAATGGTGGCGAGCTGAATCTGGTCGGTTTCCTAGCTTTTAGGTGGTAAAAGTGCCTGGCAGCTTGGCTGCCGTGGAGGAGTCAGTCGTGGTTGGAGGTTCATTGCCGTGCTTTCATGCAGAGTGTTTTGCCTTCATGTTAGCTTCCGGCTCCCCTCCCAGGCTGCAGACTCTGACCTGTGGCATCAGGCTTCTCCCAGTACAGGAGGGTGCCATCCCCCAGCATGCGGCTTCTCTGCCATTAGCAGCCCTGGGCGGGCCGACCACACTCGAGGCTGCGGTGCTACGGGCTTAGCCCTCGCCTCCCTCACTGGGAGCTTCCCCATCCTCCCTGCCTTCCCCAGTGGGAAGTTAGGGAAGCTCAGGAGCCTGGGACCCCGCATGTCCCAAAATGGGATTGGAGAAGCTGGAGAGAAAGCAGAAGAGGCCGAGGAGTGAGGCAGCAGCCTCTATGCTGTGATTTCCACACCGGGTCCGTGCAGAGGAAACAGAAACTCCCAACTGTCCTTACCCACCGACATCACAGCCCCTATGAAGAAAGTAGCCACAATCTCAAATAACAAAAGGGAATGTTCTAAAACTTTTTCTTCCTTAAAAAATGGAGAAAATTGCACTTGTGCTTGCTGTGTGGTATATAAACCAGGATTAGTCCCAGGGTCGTGAGGTTTCTGGTGAAAAGGTTAAATCGTAGAAGCTAGTATATTTTTTATATTTTTGTAACAATTGCTTTTTTCATGGGGGAGGCGGGGTTAGTATTTATAGTCCTAACAAGTCCAGTAATTTTTTATAAATCTTCAGATTATAAACAGCCCCTAAAAACTTTACAACGTTTACACAGTTTTTTAAAAAGAGACTGTATACACTTGATTTGCTTTCAAAATAAATAAGGTCAGCTAGTCTAGGAGGTTAACGTCGGGTAGGAATGCTGATCATGATAGGTTTGGTTTTCTACAGATTCTGTTCCGGTGCCTTTCCTATCCAGGCACCACCTGAGAAAGTTGTCATTTGAGGTCGCACTTGGAAGTTACATCTGTGAAGTTTCTGTCATTCGTCCAGATCTGTGTGTGTAGCATGTGCTGAGGAAGCACGTGCTGGGCTGTGCCTCAGACAGTGCATCACCGGGCACCCAGAGGCTTGCCTGGCTATTCCTGTTCTGGTGTGTGTGGAGTGTTGGGGAGGAACAGATGCAGATCAACCTGTGGCTGTTTTCCCGTCTAGGTTCTCACAGGTATCTCCTGACAGAGGTACTTAACAATGGCTCTGCTGGAAATTTCTATAAATAAAATGTCCAAAATGGTGACTGCGTTTAACTTTCATTGTAGTTTGAATGTAAACATTGAGGACATTACTAACTTTACACCTTCACTCTTTGTAATTTATGTTCCCAGCACAATAATGGACATTTCCCCCAAACATGACAGAACTCCACTCCAGGCACAGCTTCTCAGCTTCCATGTTCTTTTTTTTTTTTTTTTTTTGGAGACCGAGTCTTACCCTGTCACCCAGGGCTCAGGCTGGAGTGCAGTGGCGCGATCCCGGCTCACTGCAACCTCTGCCTCCCAGGTTCAGGCGATTCTCCTGCCTCAGCCTCCCAAGTAGCTGGGATTACAGGCGCGTGCCACCACACCCAGCTAATTTTATATATTTAGTAGAGACATGGTTTCACCATGTTAGCCAGGCTGATCTCGAACTCTCAACCTCCGGTGATCCGCCTGCTTCAGCCTCCCAAAGTGCTGGGATTACAGGCGTGAGCCACGTTGCCCGGCCTCCATGTCATCTTAGGGCTTGATCCTAAGACCCCTGTGCTGCTTTTTTGTTCACTTATGGTGGAGAAACTTCATGGATTCTTTGAAATACAATGTGCTTAAAATGAACACAGACCGTGGCTCCCTGGTGGAAGAGAAATAAGAACAAACAGCCTCTTCCCTGGGGCTGGGGAGGGTGGGCGAGGGAGCACTGGAGGCCCGTGGGCAAAGGGGGAATTGTCTATAAGAGGGAGTTCGTTCATTTCCCATATCGACGTTTGATTTTGATGTGTGATTTTGGAATTCAGGACTTTTTCTCAAAACTCAAATTTCTGTGTCTTCACTAAAGAAAATTTGGTGGCCAGGCGCAGTGGCTCATGCCTATAATCCCAGCACTTTAGGAGGCCAAAGTGGGAGGATTGCTGGAGCCCAGGAGTTCGAGACCAGCCTGGGCAACCAAAAAAGATGCTATCTCTATAAAAATTCAAAAAACTAGCTGAGCATGGTGGTGTGCACCTGTGGCCCTGTCTGCATAGGAGGCTGAGGCAGAAGGATCACGGGCCCAGTAGTTCGAGACCAGCCTGGGCAACATAGACCCTGTCTCTACAAAAAAAAATTGAAAAAATGAGCCAGGTGTTGGGGCACACACCTATAGTCCCAGCTACTTGAGAGGCTGAGGTGGGAGGATCACTTGAGCCCAGGAGGTTGAGGCTATAGTGAGCCTTGATCATGCCACTGCATGCTAGCCTGAGTGACACAGCAAGACCCAGTCTCTTCTTTATTTTTTTTGAGATGGAGTCTTGTTGCCCAGGCTGGAGTGCAGTGGTGTGTTATCAGCTCACCGCAACCTCTGCCTCCTGGGTTCAAGTGATTCTCCTGCCTCAGCCTCCCAAGTAGCTGGGATTACAGGCATGCTCCACCATGCCCAGCTAGTTTTGTATTTTTAGTAGAGACAGGGTTTCTCCATGTTGGTCAGGCTGGTCTCGAACTCCTGACCTCAGGCGATCTGCCCACCTCGGCCTCCCATAGTGTTGGGATTACAGGCGTGAGCCACCGTGCCCGGCCGACTCAGTCTCTTAAAATTTGGAAAATATAGAAAGAAAAAATTACTTCAGTTGGAAGTGATAGAAATCCACTCAGAGTAGCGTCAGCAGAAAGAGGAAGTATGGCCTCGCGCACCTGGGAGGGAAGCCTGCTTCGGTTTTTAAGTTCACTCTGTTAAATGCAGTCTGTCTCGTCCAACTCCACTTGAAAAAATCCCAAGGGAGGATCCTGATTGGCTGCCTGGGCCCATGTGCCTTTCTCTGAGCTCGCCTCTGATCCATGAGAATAAGGAGCTTGGGTGGCCCTGTTCACACAGCAGGAGGAGGTGGAGCCCACTGGGGCCATAACATTGAAGAGGAGACGCTGCTCCCCATAGGAAAGGGAGTTGGATGTGGTGCTGCCCCAGCAAAACCCATTTACCACAGGGCCTTTTCAGAGAGGGATAGAGGAGGGAGGGGTGAGTTCAGGGTGGGTTGAGGGGCTGAGCGTGCTGGCTCACACCTGTAATCCCAGCACTTTGGGAGGCAGAGGCAGGAGGTTTGTTTGAGGCTGGGAGTTCAAAACCATCCTGGGCAACAGTGAGAACCCACCTCTACAAAAACTATTTTTAAAAATTACCCAGGCATGGTTACACATGTCCATGGTCCCAGCTACTCAGGAGGCCAAGGCCAGAGGATCGCTTGATGCCCAGGAGTTCAAGGCTGCAGGGAATCGTGACAGCACCACTGCACGTCAACCTGAGCCACAGAGCAGGACCCAGTCTCTTAAAAAAAAAGTGGGGTGTTGGCGGAGGTGAAAGTGAGCCAAGATTATGTCACTGCACTCCAACCTGGGTGACTGAGCCAAACCTTGTCTCAAAAAAAAAAAAAAAAAAGTGGGTGATGCGTAGAAGGGAGGGGATGATGCTGTTTTCCACTGGTGGGCACCTGACCACTTCTCAGTGCTGTCTGCTGATATCCTGTCACTCTGCCCCCCAAGTGGGGAGAACTCCAAGAAGAAGGAAGATGAACCTTACTGCCAGCCATCCATCAGCTCTCTTCCTTAGGAAGCACAGGTCGGCTGGAGAGTCAGAGAGAGATTTTATTTTCCACTTTAAAAAAAGACATACTGACCTTTTGGCTCTCTCCAATTTCATCTGCCTTTGCTCTGAATGCAAATATTGGGGGCATCCCTCAAAGTCCTTTTGAAGATACTAAATTTTAAAACTTTTTTTTTTTTTGGAGACGGAGTCTCACTCTGTCTCCCAGGCTGGAGTGCAGTGGCGCGATCTCAGCTCACTGCAAGCTCCGCCTCCCAGGCTCACGCTATTCTTCTGCCTCAGCCTCCCCAGTAGCTGGGACTACAGGCGCCCGCCACCACGCCGGCTAATTATTTGGTATTTTTAGTAGAGACAGGGTTTCACCGTGTTAGCCAGGATGGTCTCGATCTCCTGACCTTGTGAACCACCCGCCTCGGACTCCCAAAGTGCTGGGATTACAGGCATGAGCCACCACGCCCAGCCAAAACTTTAAAAATGGATTCATACGCAGCTTAACAAAAACATCAACTATCTCTCTTTAAAAAACTCAGGAGTTTGAGACCAGCCTGGCTAACATAGTGAAAACCCGGCTCTACTAAAAATACAAAAAATCAGCTGGGCGTGGTGGCAGGCACCTGTAATCCCAGCTACTCGGGAGGCTGAGGCAGGAGAATCGCTTGAACCTGGGAGGCAGAGGTTGTAGTGAGCCGAGATTGCACCATTGCACTACAGCCTGGGCGACAAGAACAAAATTTCGTCTCAACAACAACAAAAATAAAACCCAATCCATTTATGCCTGTAATCCCAGAACTTCAGGATGCTGAGGCAGGTGGATTGCTTGAGCCCAGAGTTCAAGACCAGTCTGGGCAATATGGAAAAACCCTGTCTCTACAAAAACACAAAAATTAGGTGTGGTGGCACATGTCTGTAGTCCCAGCTACTCTGAGACTCAGGTGGGAGTATCACTTGAGCCCGGGAGGTTGAGGCTGCAGTGAGTCGAGATCATGCTACTGCTTTTAAGAGAGACCCTATCTCTTAAAAGCAAAAACAAAAAGCAACCCAGAATCCCAGTAATGTTTAGAACAAAGACAGACCATAAAAGTGTATATTACATAAAAGTGTGAAATTCTCAAAAAATATTTTATCAAAGTAAACATGCTTATATGGAAAAACCAGAAAATAAAGAAAATGTGAAACCCACTGTGATCCTCTAACCAGAGTTAATCAAGTCTAACATTCTGGGAATATTTCTTTACTGTTCTTTTCCTGAGAATATTTTTATGTGGTTGACGGGGGTGCATAGTTCTGGGTCCTGTTTCCCCTTGAATGTTACAACATGTTAATAAAAATGCCTGATGAAAAACAAAAATTAGCTGGGTGTGGTGGCAGCCGCCTGTAATCCCAGCTAGTTGGGAGGCTGAGGAAGAAGAATTGCTTTAACCGGGAGGCAGAGGCTGCAATGAGCCGAGATCACGCCATTGCACTCCAGCCTGGGTGACAGAACAAAACTCCATCAAAAAAAAAAAAAAAAAAAAAAAGCCTGGTGGGCAGTTTCTATGGCTGCCTCAGCCATTCCATGGATGGATGACTGTCATTCATGGCACCTCCAGCATTTAGGTTGCGTACAGTTCTTGGTTTCTAAAATAATACCGGCCGGGTGCGGTGGCTCATGTGTGTAATCCCAGCACTTTGGAAGGCTGAGGTGGGCGGATCACGAGGTCAGGAGATCGAGACCATCCTGACTAACACAGTGAAACCCCATCTCTACTATTAACACAAAAAATCAGCCGGCTGTGGTGGCACGCGCCTGTAGTCCCAGCTACTCGGGACGCTGAGGCAGGAGAATTGCTTGAACCCAGGAGGCAGAGGTTGCAGTGAGCCGAGATTGCACCATTGCACTCCAGCCTGGGTAACAGAGTGAGACTCCGTCTCAAAAAATAATAATAAAATAAAATAATGCCGTATAAGGAACGTACTTACATAAAGAGGGTACTTCTCTCTCCCACCCTTGTATTTAGGATCATTGCAGGCCATTCTTAGCAGTTCCATTGTTAGTGGTGGAAGGTGCCAGCACGCCCAGCTAATTTTTGTATTTTTAGTAGAGATGGGGTTTTACTATGTTGGCCAGGATGGTCTCGATCTTTTGACCTCGTGATCCGTCTGCCTTGGCCTCCCAAAGTGCTGGGATTACAGACGTGAGCCACTGTGCCCCGCCCGCCATTTAATGCGGTGCATCTTAATGCACGTGCCCGGGAAGTTGCCTCTCCCTGGTGCCTGCATTCAATTAACACTTTAGGGCAACAGGTGTGGATCATCAGGAAATGGACTCTCCCTGGCATGGGCTCCCAGTTTATCCCTTTTAGAGAGGCAATGTTATCACTCGACATTCCTAACGGGTGGGAGAGAGCACTCTGCTGCGCCACTCAGCCCTAACTACCTGTAACACCATGAACTCTTCCAGGCCAGTGTTCCCTACCAGGGCATGACACCTCTTCTTCACTATGGTCTGGGAGGCAGAACACCAAAGGGACTGTCCCGAGAGCAGCGTCCAGGGTAGGTGGACCATGGCATGCACCTTGGCTCTACCCCTTACCAGCTGTAGGATTACTCAGTGTTAACACTGTAAAACGGGGCTAATACCCACTCATTGGGTAATAGAATAAGTGTGAGTGGCTGGGCACGTGGCTCATGCCTGTACTCCCAGCACTTTAGGAAGCTAAGGCGGGAAGACTGTTTGAGTCCAGGAGTTTGAGACCAACCTGGGCAACATAGTGAGACCCTGTCTCTCCAAAAAATACAAAAATTATCCAGGCATGGTGGCACATGCCTATAGTCCCAGCTACTTGGGAGGCTGAGGTGGGAGGATCCTTTAAGCCGGGGAAGCAGAGGTTGCAGTGAGACAAGATGGCGCCACTGCATGCACTCCAGTCTGGGGGACAGAGCAAGACTCTGTCTCAACATAAAGAAACACAAATAGAATAAATATGAGAATTAAATGGGAGAAAAAAATGCATGTGTGTGTGTGTATGTAACTTAGCATAGTTCCTAGCAAGCAAATATGTTTGTTGAGCACTTTAGCTGATTATCTTTGGTTTAGAGCAGTGCTGATATAAGTGTTCAATATATGTTCCAATTGAAGGAAAAAATATGCCCTTAGTATGCCAAATACATTGTGAAAATGCCATTTCCCAACATTTCCAACACATGAACGTATTCTGCTAGCCAGAGTGTCAGAGGCATTTGAAGCAGAGTGACTCTATCTTGAATAGGGACTGGGTAGAAGAAGGCTGAGACCTACTGGGCTGAGTTCCCAGGAGGTGAGGCATTCTAAGTCACAGGATGAGATAGGAGGTCAGCACAAGGTACAGGACACAAAGACCCCGCTGATAAAACAGGATGCAATAAAGAAGTGGCTAAGGGCCGAGTGCGGTGACTTACACCTGTAATCCTAGCAGTTTGGGAGGCCAAGGCGGGCAGATCACTTGAGATCAGGAGTTCAAAACCAGCCTGGGCAACATGGTGAAACCCCATCTCTACTAAAAATACAAAAAAAAAAAAATTAGCCGGGTGTGGTGGCGGGCACCTGTAATCCCAGCTACTCAGGAGGCTGAGGCAGGAAAATCGCTTGAACCCAGGAGGCGGAGGATGCAATGAGCAGAGATCACGCCACTTCACTCTAGTCTGGGTGATGGAGCAAGACTCTGTCTGAAAAAAAAAGAAAAAAAAGGCTAAAACCCACCAAAACCAACATGGCCATGAAAGTGACTTCTGGTGGTCCTTGCTGCTCATTATATGCTAATTATGATGTATTAACATGCTAACACTCCCACCAGTGCCATGACAGTTACAAATGCCATGGCAACATCAAGAAGTGACCCTATACAGTCTAAAATGGGGAACAACCCTCAGTTCTGGGAATTGTCATCCTTTTCCCAGAAAACTCTTGAATAATCCACCCCTTGTCTAGCATGTAATCAAGAAATATTCATAAAAATAGCCAACCAGCAGCCCTGGGGCTGCTCTGACTATGGAGTAGCCATTCTCTTATTTTTTACTTTCCTAATAAACTTGCTTTCACATTACTCTGTGGATTCACCTTTAATTCTTTCTTGCAGGAGATTCAAGAACCCTCTCTTGAGGCCTGGATCGGGAGGGACCCCTTTCCGGTAAGACAAGTACACAGGTTAGTTATTTTTTTTATTTAGTTATTTAGTTATTTTTTATTTTTTTTGGAGACAGGATCTTGCTGTGTCCCCCAGGCTGCAATCATAGCTCACTGCAGCCTTGACTTCCTGGGCTTAAGTAACTAACCCACCTCAGCCTTCCGAGTATCTGGATCTACAGGCTCATGTCACCACGCTTGGCTAATTTTTAAATTTTCTGTAGAGACAGAGTGTCACCATGTTGCCCAGGCTAGTCTTGAACTCCTGGGCTCAAGCAATCCTCCCGCCTGTGTCTTCCAAAGTGCTAGGATTCAAGCATGAGCCATCTTGCCCGGTCTGCCTTTTTTTTTTTTGGACACAGTTCCTGAAATGAAAAGTGCATTGGATCCAGTTACACTATAATAGCAAAAATCGTGTTCTTAAATTGAACCTACTGGCCATACGCAGTGGCTCATGCCTGTAATCTCAATGCTTTGGGTGACTGAGGTGGGAGGATCACTCGAGGCCAGGAGTTTGAGACAAGACTGGGCAACATAGTGAGACCAAGTCTCTACAAAAATAAAATAATTAGCCGGGCATGGTGGTGCATACTTGTAGTCCTAGCTACCCGAGACTACTTCCTGAGGCAGGAAGATGGTTTGAGCCCAAGAGTTGAAGTCTGCAGTAAGCTATGATCACACCACTGTACTCTAGCCTGGGTAACAGAGCAAGACCACATCTTTAAACCAAATGAAAAAAGAAACCCAAAAATAAATTAATTGGGCCTACCTAATGAAGACTGGTGCCATGGACATTTGTTTTTGGTGCAGATCTATATTGACATGTTGGCTCCAGTTAGGAACTAGGACCATTTGGACTCCTTGGCATTTACACAAGGTAAAGTCCTCCCCCAAAAGACCTTTGTGGGGCTTTGTCCTTTTATGGTTAAGTTAAGCTGCTGTTTGCCATTTCTAAACTAAAGCTTTAAAGCAAAATGCCCCCAGTCTTTCGGGCCAGCATCATGAAATACATTGGGTGTCAAAACCCCACTCATTCAAGGAAATATGGTATATAAGTGTGAGCGGCTGGGCACGTGAACCACTGCACCTGGCTGCCTGGAGTTTAATTTAATGGCCTTATCTTTGTTACCTACCAGGGCATCTGAATGAGTGTTGGCATATTTATAGATATGCTAAAGCCTCATGTTATTCATTCATCAAACACTGGCTTAGCAGCTGTGCACCAGGCACAGGGTTAAGTGATGGGGACACAGCAGTGACTAAGACCTGATCCCATGATTTATAAGGTTGATAATACCCCATGCTGGTAAGAGAGGGGAAGCCAACACTGATACACTGTTAGCAGTGGTGTGACTTTATACAACTTTTTTTTTTTTTTTTTGAGACAGTTTCACTCTTGTTGGCCAGGCTGGAGTGTGATGGCTCAGTCTTGGCTCACTGCAACCTCCACCTCCCAGGTACTGCAGCCTCCACCTCCCAGGTTCAAGCGGTTCTCCTGCCTCATCCTCCCAAGTAGCTGGGATTACAGGTGCCCACCACCACACCTGGCTAATTTACGGGGTTTCATCATGTTGGCAAGGCTGGTCACGAACTCCTGACCTCAGGTGATCCACACACCTTGGCCTCCCAAAGTGCTGGGATTACAGATGTGAGCCACCATGCCCGGCCAAATTTATACAACTTTTTGAGAGAGCATTTTGGTATCATCAGCATTCAATATACATATGCCTGTTCTAGGCCAGGTGCGGTGGCTCATTGCTGTAATTCCAGCACTTTGGGAGGCCAAGGTGAGTTGATCACCTGAGGTCAGAAGTTTGAGACCAGTCTGGACAACATGGCAAAAGTCTGTCTCTACTAAAAGTACGAAAATTAGCCAGGCGTGGTGGTGGGTGCTTGTAATCTCAGCTACTTGGGAGGCTGAGGCGCGAGAATCACTTGAACCTAGGGGCGGAGGTTGCAGTGAGCTGAGATCATGCCACTGCACTCCAGCCTGGGTGACACAGCAAGACTGTGTCTCAAAAACAAAAACAAACAAACAAACAAAAAAACATATGCCTGTTCTAAAACTATAGTAATCATCAGCCAGGCTTGGTGGGTCATGCCTGTAACCCCAGCACTTTGGAACGCCAAGGCTGGTGAATCCTTTGAGCCCAGGAGTTTGAGACCAGCCTGGGCAACATAGCGAAACCCCCGTCTCTACAAAAGACAGAAAAATTAGCCAGGTGTGGTAGCATGCGCCTGTAGCCCCAGCTACTTGGGAGACTGAGGTGAGAGGATCACTTTAGTCTGGGAGGCAGAGGCTGCAATGAGCTGAGATTGTGCTACAGCACTCCAGCCTGGGCGACAGAGTGAGACCCTGTCTCAAAAATAAAATAAATAAAACCATAGTAATCAAGACAGTCTGGTACTGCTGAAAGGGCAGACAAATAATGGAACAGAATAGAGTCCAGAAATAGACTCCCATGCATTTATCACTTTGGCATAAAATAGACCACATACATGTGTTGCATGCAATCACACACACGCATATATCTTTCACACACTTATGTTGACGAGTATGCCAAAGTAAACACAATGGAGAAGGAAAGTCTCTTCAATAAATGGCGCTAAAACACTTGGATGCTAAAGCATCCATATGGGGAAAAAATAAGCCTCAATGCCTACCTCTATATATGCTATATTTTAGATGGATTGCAGACCTAAAATTTAAGAGCTAAAATTGTAAAGCTTCTAGAGGAAAACCTAAGAGAATATCTTTGCAACTTTGAGATCCACAAATATTTCTTTCTTTTTTTTTTTTTTGAGACAGAATCACTCTGTCGCCCAGGCTGGAATGCAGTGGCACCATCTCAGCTCACTGCAACTTCTGCTGCCTGGGTTCAAGTGATTCTTCTGTTTCAGCCTCCCAAGTAGCTGGGATTACAGGTGTGAGCCACCATGTCTGGTTAATTTTTATATTTTTAGTAGAGATGGGGTTTCACCATGTTGGCCAGGCTGGTCTTGAACTCCTGACCTCGAGAGACCCACCTGCCTTGGCCTCCCAAAGTGCTGGGATTATAGGCGTGAGCCACCATGCCCAGCCAGAGACATGGAAATATTTTTTAGGATAAAAAGGCACAAATTGGCTGGGCTCGGTGGCTCACGCCTGTCATACTAGCACTTTGGGAGGCCAAGGCGGGTGGATCGCGAGGTCAGGAGTTTGAGACCAGCCTGGCCGATATGATGAAACCCTGTTTCTACTAAAAATGCAAAAATTAGCCAGGCGTGGTAGCGCGCACCTGTAATCTCAGCTACTTGGAAGGCTGAGGAAGGAGAATTGCTTGAACCTGGGAGGTGGAGGTTGCAGTGTGCTGAGATTCTGCCACTGCACTCCAGCCTGGGTGACAGAGTGAGACTCTGTCTCAAAAAAAAAAAAAAGGCACAAATCATAAATGAAAACATCAATAAATTGGACTTAACCAAAACGACAAACAGAGAGAGGCTCTCTGAAAGAAAAGATACTGGTCTGGGAATAGAGCATTGCCATAGGAATACACAGACCACAGTAAACTATGTACATATGCAGGAAGGTAAAGAAAGTCAAAAGCTTTTAAAGGAAAAAATGTGGAGGATTACTTGTTTTGAAATAATTATCCCTGGCTACAAATATCAATAACAAGGGTGATGCCAGTCTGAGGTTGGACAGGCAGCTGCTAGGTAGACATCCTTGCAGAAGTATTTTTTGTGTAAAACGTGATGGCTTTTGTGCAAGGTTGTGGTTTTTGCTGTCTTCTGTGATAGTTTTTGTTATCAGGCATACCAACATAAAACCCTCTCTTTGTGACTTTCCCTAGCTCCATTTGTCAGGGTTTTTCTTTTTTACTTAAAAATATTTTTTAATTTTTTTTTCAGAAACAAGGGTCTTGCTATCCTGCCCAGGCTGCTCTTGAATTACTAGCCTCAAATAATCCTCTACCTCAGCCTCCTGAGTAGCTGGGATAATAGGCAGGAGGCACCATGCCCTGTTTCTCAGGGATTTTTTTTTCCAAACATTAGTGACTCCATTTTGATTCTGACAGCATTCACAAGTTTATCAAAATTAAGAATTTCTGGCCAGGCACAGTGGCTCACGCCTGTAATCCCAGCACTTTGGGAGGTCAAGGAGGGCAGATCACTTGAGATCAGCAGTTCAAGAGACTAGCCTAGCCAATGTGGTGAAACCCCATCTCTACTAAAAATATAAAAATTAGCTGGGTGTGGTGGCAGATGCCTGTAATCCCAGCCACTCGGGAGGCTGAGGCAGGAGAATCACTTGAGCCTGGGAGGCAGAGGTTGCAGTGAGGCGAGATCAGGCCATCGCACTCCAGCCTGGGTGACGAGAGCGAAACTCCATCTTAAAAAAAAAAGGAATTTCTGATCTTTAAAAGACATCAAGAAAATGAAAAGACAAGCCACGGACTGGGAGAAAACATATTTAGAACATCAATTTGATAAAGAACTTGTATACAGAATACATAAAGAACTTCAACAACTCTGTAACAATAAGAAAAACAACTGTAGAGCCAGGCGCAGTGTTGCAAACCTGTAATCCCAGCACTTTCAGAGGTCAAGGCAGGAGGATTGCTTGAACCCAGGAGTTCAAGACCAGCCTGAGCAATATAGCAAGACCTCATCTCTAGAGAAAACTTTAAAGATTAACCAGGTGTGGTGGTGATGTTACCAAATGGGTTCCAATGCAGACCCCGAGAGAGGGTTCTTAGATCTCATGCAAGAAAGAATTCAGGGCAAGTCCACAAAGTGAAAGCAAGGTTATTAGAGAAGTAAGGAAACAAATGAATGGCTAATCCACAGGTAATGCAGCCCAGAGAGCTGCAGGTTGGCTATTTTTATGGTTATTTCTTGATTTTTTTTTTTTTTGAGTCGGTGTCTCGCTCCGTCTCCTAGGCGCTCGGGCAGTGGTGCAATATCAGCTCACTGGCAGCCTCCACCTCTCAGGTTAAAATGATTCTTGTGCCTCAGCCTCCTGAGTAGCTGGGATTACAGGTGCACACCACCATGCCAGGCTAATTTTTGTATTTTTAGTAGAGACGGGGTTCCACCATGTTGCCCAGTCTGGTCTTGAACTTCTGTCCTGAAGTGATCCACCTGCCTTGACCTCCCAAACTGCTGGGATTACAGGCATGAGCCACCGCGCCTGGCCTATTTCTTGATTACATGCTAGACAAGGGGTCGATTATTCATGAGTTTTCCAGGAAAGGAGTGGGGATTTCCCAGAGCTGGGGGTTCCTCCCCTTTTTATAGGGTAACTTCCTGTTGTTGCTATGGCTTTTGTAAACTGTCACAGCACTGGTGGAAGCGCCTCTTACATGCTAATGTATTATAATTAGGGTATAATGAGCAGTGAGGATGACCAGAGGCCACTTCTGTCACCATCTTGGTTTTGGTGGGTTTTGGCCAGCTTCTTCCCCGCATCCTGTCTTATCAGTAGAGCCCTTATGACCTATGTCTTGTGATACCAGTCTTGCCGACCTCCTGTCTCGTCCTGCAACTAAGAATGCCTAACCTCTTGGGAATGCAGCCAGCAAGTCTCAGCCTCCTGTTACCCAGCCCTCATTCAAGATGGAGTCACTCTAGTTTGAACTCCCCTGACAGTGTTGTGCACCTACAGTCCCAGCTACTCGGGAGGCTGAGGCGGGAGAATCACTTGAGTCCAAGAGTTCGAGGCTGCAGTGAGCTGTGATCGTGCCACTAAACTCCAGCCTCGGCAACAGAGTGAAACCTTATCACTTAAAAAAACAAAACAAAACAGTTTAAAAAAAATAGGGGAAAGGTTTGAACAGACACTTTATAAGAGAAGATGTACACAAGGCCAGTAAGACCGTGGAAATATCTGAGCTTCAAGTCAGGGACATGTAAAAAAATTAAATAGAAGCATGGAAAGATGCTCAACATCAGCAGTCCTGAAAAGGAATGCAAATTCAGAGCACTAGGGAACAGCCAAAATGACCAAAATGAGAAAGCTTGACAATGTTTTTTTGTCCACAAGAATGTGGAGCAATTGAAATACTGGTGGTGGGAATGAAAAAATGATAAATTGGCCAGGTGCAGTGGCCCACACCTGTAATCCCAGCACTTTAGGAGGCCGAGACAGGTGGATCTCTTGAGGTCAGGAGCTTGAGACAAGCCTGGCCAACATGGTGAAACCCCATCTCTACAAAAAAATACAAAAATTAGCTGGGCATGGTGGCACATGCCTGTAGTCCCAGCTACTTGGGAGGCTGAGGCAGGAGAATCACTTGAACCCAGGAGGCAGAGTTTGCAGTGAGCCAAGATTGTGCCACTGCACTCCAGCCTGGGCGACAGAGTGAAATCCTGTCTCAAAAAAAAAAAAAAAAGGAGGAGGAAGAGGAGGAGGAAGAAGAGGAAGAAGAAGAGGCAGAGGAGGAGGAGGAAGAAGAGGAGGAAGAGGAGGAGGAGTAAGAAGAAGGAGGAGGAGGAGAGAGAGAGAGAAGGAAGGAAGGAGGGAGGGAGCGAGGGAAGGAAGGAAGGAAGGTTGTTAAATAGCTGGGCACGGTGGCTCACACCTGTAATCCCAGCACTTTGGGAGGCCAAGGTGGGTGGATCACTTGAGGTCAGGAGTTCAAGACCAACTTGACCAACATGGTGAAACCCTGTCTCTACTAAAAAAATACAAAATTAGCCAGACATGGTGGTGCACACCTGTAATCCCAGCTACTTGGGAGGCTGAGGCAGGAGAATCGCTTGAACCCAGGAGGCAGAGGTTGCAGTGAGCTGAGATCATGCCATTGCACTCCAGCCTGGGCAACGAGAGCGAAACTCCATCTCAAATGGCTAAAAAGTTGCAAGCCTTTATTTGTGTTTAGATCATTGCTAGATTAATCAGATTTGGTATTTAATTGCTTAATGTAACCTGTGTTACCAAGTATGTACATCAGGCCAGGCACGGTGGCTCACCCCTGTAATCCCAGCACTTTGGAAGGCTGAGGTAGGCGGATCACTTGAGGTCAGGAGTTCATGACCAGCCTGGCCAACATGGTGAAACGCCATCTGTACTAAACACAGGAAAATTAGCCTGGTGTGGTGGCATGTGCCTGTACTCCCAGCTACTCGGGAGGCTGAGACAGGAGAATCGCTTGAAGTGGGGACGGGGAGGTTGCTGTGAGCCGAGGTTGTGCCACTGTACTCCAGCCTGGGCGACAGAGTGAGACCCTGTCTCAAAAAAAAAAAAAAAGAAAAGTACATCAAAGAATTTTAATGTCTTAATTGTTGCTTTTATTTTATTTATTTATATATTTATTTATTTGAGACAGGCTCTTGCTCTGTCACCCAGGTTGCAGTACAGTGGCACAATCTCAACTCACTGCAGCCTTGAACTCCCAGGCTCAAGGGATCTTCCCACCTCAGCCTCCTTAATAACTGTAACTACAGGTGCACACTACCAGGTCGGGCTAATTTTTGTATAGATGTTGTTTTTAAATAATATATGTTATGTTTATTGTAAAAAATTAGGAAATGCAGATAAGAAAAAGAAAGGAGAATCATGAAAATGTGAAATAATCCAAGTAGTGCGGAATACGAAGGGTTGTTTATTTTGTTGTATTATAATGACATCAGAAACACATAAGAAATGTCCTTCAAAAAGATGCATGTTGACGTTATGTAGGAATAAAAATCAGTGAGGTGTAGCATTTGTTTTAAAATACTTCCAAGCCAGGGGCCAGTGGCTCACTCCTGTAATCCCAGTGCTTTGGGAGGCCGACACAGGAGGATTGCTTGGACACAGGAGGATTGCTTGGACACAGGAGGATTGCTTGGACACAGGAGGATTGCTTGGACACAGGAGGATTGCTTGAACCCAGGAGTTTGAGACCATCCTGGGCAACATGGCGAAACCCCATCTCTACAAAAAAAATACAAAAATTAGCCAGTGTGGTGGCCCACACCTGTAATGTCAACTACGTGGGAGGCTGAGGTGGGAGAATCCCTTGAGCCCAGGAGTTTGAGGCTGCAGTGAGCCAAGATTGTGCCACTGTACTGTAGCCTGGGCGACAGGTGAGACCTTGTCTCTAAATAAATAACATACTTCAGGAGAGAGGGATCAGTTTGCAAATAATAATAATAATAATAATAAGTAAAACAAGTGTGGCAAAATAAAAAATAATTAATGAATCAGTTGGGGCAATGGCCATATAGAGGTTCATTATATTATTCTCTCTACTTTTGTGTATAATTTTTTTTTTTATGTTTGAGACTGAGTCTCACTCTGTAACCTGAGCTGGAGTACAGTGGCATGATCTCAGCTCACTGCAACCTCCACCTCCCGGTTCAAGCGATTCTCCTGCCTCAGCCTCTCGAGTAGCTGGGACCACAGGCACACTCCACCACACCCAGTTAATTTTTCTATTTTTAGTAGAGACAGGGTTTCACCATGTTGGCCAGGCTGGTCTCAAACTCCTGACTTCAAGTGATCTACCTGCCTTGGCCTCCCAGGATGCTGGGATTGCAGGCGTGAGCCACCGTGCCCAGGCTGTGTATAATTTTATAATAAATTTTTATAATAAAAATGTTTTTAAACACCCATAATCCTCAAACCCAGAGAAAATCATTACTTTCGACTTTGTGCGTATTCCATCAGAACAGTTGTGAACGCATTTTTTTTTTTTTTGAGACGGCGTCTCGCTCTGTCGCCCAGGCTGGAGTGCAGTGGTGCGATCTCTGCTCACTGCAAGCTCCGCCTCCTGGGTTCACGCCATTCTCCTGCCTCAGCCTCCAGAGTATCCGGGACTACAGGTGTGCACCACAACACCCAGCTAAGATTTTTTATTTTTTATAGAGACAGGATCTTGCCATGTTGCCCAGGCTGGTCTCAAACTCCTGGCCTCAAGTGATCCTCCTGCCTCAGCCTCACAAAGTGCTGGGATTACAGTCATGAGCCACCATTCTAGGCCACTGGTCTTTTCTTTCCACTAGAAAAGTTTGAATTAATAGGCTGGATGTGATGGCTCATGCCTGTAATTCCGGCACTTTAGGAGGCCAAGGCAGATGGATTATGAGGTCAGAAGTTCGAGACTAGCCTGGCCAACATGGCAAAACCCCATCTCTACTAAAAATACAAAAAGTACCTGGGCGTGGTGGCAGGCGCCTGTAATCCCAGCTACTCGGGAGTCTGAGGCAGGAGAATCACTTGAACCTGGGAGGTGGATGTTGCAGTGAGCCGAGATCGTGCCATTGCTCTCCAGCTTGGACGACAAGAGCAAGACTCTGTCTCAAAAAAAAAAAAAAGAAAAGTTTGAATTTTGAATTATTTTCTTTTAGCTGTCTTCAAATATATCTCCCGGGTTCAAGTGATTCTCCTGCCTCAGCCTCCTGAGTAGCTGGGATTACAGGCATGTGCCACCATGCCTGGCTAAATTTTTGTATCTTTAGTAGAGACAGGGTTTCACCGTGTTGGCCAGGCTGGTCTTGAACTCTTGACCTCAAGTGATCCCCCTGCCTCGGCCTCCCAAAGTGCTGGGATTACAGGCGTGAGCCACCGCGCCCGGCCCTCCTTGTGGTTTTGATTTGCATTTCCTTGATGACTAGTAATTAGCATTTTTTCATACACCTGTAGGCCATTTGTAGGTTTCTTTTGAGAAATGTCTATTCAGATCTTCCCCCTTCTTAAATAATTTTTTTTTTTTGCAGTTGAGTTATTTGTGTTCCTTATACACTCTGGTTATTAATTCTTTGTCAGATGGACAGTCTGCAATATTTTCTTCCATTCTGAGTTGTCTGTTCACTTACATCTTTATCCATTCAGGCACTCTATGCCTTTTTGTGTTTTTTTTTCACACAGGGTCTCAACCTTGCTTTTTAATAACTACACATTATGCATTGAATGGACATAACAAAATTTAACGGGAGATGTTCAGGTTATTTCCAACTTCTCACCATTATTGACAATGTTTCAATAACCATTCTTGTGTTCAATCTTGTTGCACAGCCATACTTCCCCATGATAAAAGTCTAAAAAGGAAACTTCTGGATGAAAAACTGTTTAAGCACCAGGGGGAGCTGGTCACCTATGTGATCCCCATCTGCAGTGCTGTGGGGTTTAAAAAAAATTTTTTTTGAGACAGGGTTCTCACTCTGCCCAGGCTGGAGTGCACTGGCATGATCTCTGCTCACTGCAACCTCTGCCTCCTGGGTTCAAGCGAACCTCCCGCCTCAGCCTCTCAAGTAGCTGAAACTATAGGTGTGTGCCACCACATCTGGCTAATATTTGTGTTTTTAATAGAGACAGAGTTTCACCATGTTGGCCAGGCTGATCTGGAACTCCTGGCCTCAAGTGATCTGCCTGCCTCGGCCTCCCAAAATGCTGAGATTATAGGCATGAGCCACTGCGCCCAGCTTGTTTTGTTTTTAAGCAAACCCTAGTCCTCCACCTTAGCAGTTTCCGCTTCCTAAGATGAAAGTGCAAAATGTCTGGGGCACACAGCTCGTAAACAGTACCTGGCATCTAGGAATGCTCAACAGAGGCTTTCGTCTTTGAAACCCTACCCCTCCTTGCTGTATTCTTTAATGTGGACAATAGATGTTTCTCCAATGCATAAATTGCTGTGTCCTTCAAGTCCCAAGCCCCTTTTACATGGAAAGGCTGGCACTGCCACTGTCAGATCATTTAGAAGAGAATAGGCCCACCTCAGCCTCATGGTTGGGCATGTGACCCAGGCCCTGCTGTTCAATGCACGATGTGCACCTTAACCACAGTGATTGGTGCAAGGATGGCACAAAACCCACACCAGACCAATAAGACCCTACCCAGGACCTTTGCTGAAGTGTAGAGAAAAGAGTTGCTACTTCTTCAGGGTTTGTTGACTTGGTTGTAAAGCATCGTGTTGAAGCACATGAGCTTTGGAGTTTGGACTTGAATTGGAATCCCCTCTTGATCACTTCCTGGCCATGTGACCTTTCTGAAATTCCTCAATATCTCAGATATTTGGTGTTTGTTTGTTTTGAGACAGAGTCTCACTCTGTCTTGCCCAGGCTGGAGTACAGTGGCACGATCTCAATGCAGCCTCTGCCTCCCTGGCTCAGCCTCCCAAGTAGCTGGGACTACAGACAGGCATGTGCCACCACACCCGGCTAATTTTCTATTTTTAGTAGAGATGGGGTTTCACCATGTTGGCCAGGCTGGTCTCAAACTCCTGACCTCAAGTGATCCACCCACCTCAGCCTCCCAAAGTGCTGGGATTACAGGCGTGAGCCACCGCCCGGCCAATATATCAGATATTTGGCTTCCTCATCTGTAAACTGGGGCAGTAATAATTTCTACCTTACAGAGTGGTCGTGGGTTTTGTGTGACATAACACGTGTAAAACACTAAGTGCTGAGCCTGCTACAGACAAATTATTCCATGATGCTGGTTGGCTGTTGCGACACAGTCCACACCCCGAGATGTGGAGGCAGCCAGTATCCATCTCTTGCTCTACCTGTTAGTCAATAGTGCTACTGCTCCCTCACCAGACACACACACTTGTCATTTTCCGCTGTCAGTACATAAATGAGGCACCACCGGATGGTGACCATAACCTGGCATTTTCTGGGAAACTCCCTATTTCAAATATTTGATTGCATTAGCAGAAAACAAGTTGCAGCTTCTGGGGAAAGGAACATAATTCCTGCCTATCTATGATGCCATTTCTCTGGGCGGGTGTTTTTTTAAGCCAGGCCAGTAGAAAGAGTGATTTCTGCTCAGCCAACCTTGTATCAGGTAGGACTCAACTGGTTGCCAAGTGACAGAAAACCCTACTCAAACAGAAGAGGAAATTTATTAGTGGATAAATTACAGGTTAGTTCTGATTCACAAGGATTGAGAGTCAGTAAGGTTGTGGTCCCTGAGAGCAGAAGTGTTACACCTTTCCTTATAAAGAGCCAGGTAGTAAATATTTTAGGCTTTGCAGAATATATGGTCTTTGTTGCAGCCGCTTGACCCTGCCATCGTAGTATGCAAGCATCATAGTAAATATGTAAAAGAATAAGCATGGCTGTATTCCAATACAATTTATTTACAGAAGCAGGGGGTAGGCTGCATTTGGCCCCTGGACTGTGGTTTGCTGACCCCTGACTTTAGAGGAAAATCAGAATGCAATTACCCAAAGAAAGGGAATTGAATACAGCTGGCAAAAATACAAAAATAACGCCCATGTTAAGCTCCAAATTCTCCTGGCATAGTCTTTTCTGTCCTCTTAAAGCAAACAAAGGGAAATGAGGTGACCAGCCTGGTCTGGGGATCCAGTTTATTTGGGTGGAACAAAGTTCTTTCTCTCTGTGGATCTATTTAGTATATCAGGGGTTTAAGCCCAGGACCTTAAAGATAAGTATGGTACATACTGGGGAGCTCATGTGCTGAGGTTTTACTTCTTCTGTGCCTACTCTAATTTCTTAGGCCAACCTCTGGATTTTTTTTTTTTTTTTTTTTTTGAGATGGAATCTCGCTCTTATCACCCAGGCTGGAGTATGATGGTTTGATCTCGGCTCACTGCAACCTCTGCCTCCCGAGTTCAAGTGATTTTCTTGCCTCAGCCTCCTGTGTTGGGCAAATGTAGTCAGTGGTCCTCTGTGAGTCAATATAAGGAAGATAAGGAAACTCTGTGGACAAAGTCTTTGAGATCTAAGCCACCCTAAAGGTGAGGAGTCAGAGGGTTTCATTTTATCCGGAGGCTGCAGTGAGCCCAGGAGGTCGAGCCTCTGCACTTGGCCTGGGCAACAGAGCAAGAGTGGTAGTTCAAGCCTGTAATCCCAACATTTTGGGAGGCCAAGGCGGGCAGATCCCCTGAGGTCAAGAGTTTGAGACCAGCCTGGCAACATGGTGAAACCTCGTCTCTACTAAAAATACAAAAATTAGCTGGGCATGGTGGCGGGTGCCTGTAATCCCAGCTACTTGGGAGGCTGAGGCTGGAGAATCACTTGAACACAGGAGGCAGAGGTTGCAGTGACCGGAGATCGCGCCATTGCACTCCAGCTTGGGTTACAAGAGCAGAACTCCATCTCAATCAATCAATCAATCATTAATAAAAATTTTTTAAAATGTTGAATCTCCTTTCTTTGATAGCCAGTAATGAAGCATTCAAAGCCTAAACTTCTGTAGTGAAGCCATTGTCATGAACATCTCTAAACTGTCAGGATACACATGGAAGATCCAACACTCTCTCTCTGTTATTCCTGGGAGGATGATTCTGGGTGTCCAGCTACTGACTGATGTCCAGGATCATGCTAGACCTCTCTAGCTCAGAGGTCTCTGGTCCTAAGGTCAGATCTTAGGACCTAGAAGCTAGCGACTTTCAGCCATAAGACATGTCCCTGAGCCAATGAGGTGAGAAAAGATTTGGATGGAGTTTCACCATGTTGTTCTGTCATGCCACTGCTACCCACATTAACAGGCTTGTTTGGAAAGCCTGGGAATCAGGAGGGCTTGGGGCTAGGGACAGGCTATACCTTCAGAGGGAACAGCTCAACTCTCCCAGTGAGCTCTCTGGAATCGAGCTTTAGATGCCTGGGCAAGGCCAGAACATTGTAAATGAGTCCAGCTGGAATCAGTTGCCAACAGGGGAACCCAGCTTCCCAATGACATCAGGATTAGCACATAAAGCTTGGTACTGGGCTGTCTTCGGGTGGATGTTTCCCTACAAGAATACCTGTATTTTTTCAGGAGGTGTCTATACAGGCATTCTCCTTCACTAAATCTTGCGTTCTCTAAAATTAAGTAGATCCCCTTTTAAACATAGATCCCCATTTTATAGGCTTGATTTTGCTGTGAGTCACATCATAGCTTTCAGGACTTAAAATTGTGCCTAAATAGGTAAAAACATTAGCCAGGCATGGCGGCACGTACCTGTGGTCCCAGTGACACAGGAGGCTGAGGCAGGGGGATCACTGGAGCCCAGGAGGTCGAGGCTACAGTAAGCTTTGTTTGTGTCACTGCACTCCAGTCCGGTGAGCATGAGACCCTGTCTCCATTAAAAGAAAAAAAAAAAAAGTAAAAATGTAAGTAATCATTACTTGTTTGCCAAGCAAAATATTCCTGCATGAGGTCCTTGTGGTGAAGAAGTTAAGAAATCAGTGCCCAACCGTGTTGCACTATATTCTTGTAAAATATATTTTGGTTCTGTCCCCTAATCCTCATGTGCTAACAGGGATGTATTGTTTTTTCTAGAGCTCCTTTGCAGGGATTTAGATCATTATTTCAGATCTTCCAGATCTTAGATTTGGTTTAAGAGGTCAAGAAGCACTTCCTTCATTCATAAATATTTATTTAGGTTCTACTATATGCCAGCGTTCTATGCACTAGAAGCTTAACTTTGTAATCTGGTTTGAAGCATTGTGTACAAATGCACAACGACATATGTATGAAGCTGTTACCCACAGCATTGTTTGTAATAACTGGAAACAATTCGAACATCTATCAATAGGTAGGAAATGGTTCATTCAAACAACAGAACTTTAAAATCATTAAAAATAGATCTTTATGTATTACTATGCAAATATGCCAAAGGAATAATAAGACCAAAAGTTGTAAAAATAAGTTATTTTATCCCATTTTTGCATACACACATGTGAGAAATTGGTAAAAATGATTGCATCTGGGAACAGGTTGGAAAATTTAGTTCTATATGTATTAAAAACAAAAAAAAAGACCAAGGCCGGGCGTGGTGGCTCACACCTGTAATCCAGCACTTTGGGAGGCCAAGGCGGGAAGATCACTTGAGGTCAGGAATTAAAGACCAGCCTGGCCAACATAGTGAAAACCCGTCTCTACAAAAACACAAAAATCTAGCCAGCCGTGGTGGCGCATGCCTGTAATCCCAGCGACTCAGGAGGCTGGGCAGGAGAATCGCTGGGACCCAGAAGGCAGAGGTTGCAGTGAGCCAAGACTGCACCACTGCACTCCAGCCTGGGTGACAGAGGGAGACTCCGTCTCAAGAAAAAAACAAAATGAAACAAAACAAAAACAAAAACAAAAAACCAACTTTGTGTTGATAGTCTCATGAGCACATGATTTGGATTGGGGGAGATTAATTTTTTAAAGTCGATAGTTCTATGTTTTTTTAACGATCATGTATTGCTTTCCTAACAGAAAAAAATAATTTGTATACTATTTGTAGATTATGAAAGGGGATACCTATTCACACATAGAATGGTAAGCTTCATCACTGAAGATTCTCAACCCACCACTGGTATAAGCTTTCTCAGGTTCTTTTCTTCCTATAGCTGGGAAGTCAGGTTTTCTTTCTTTTTTTGGGACAAAGTCTCGCTCTGTTGCCCAGGCTGGAGTTCAGGGGTGCAATCTTGGCTCACTGCACCCTCTGCCTCGTGGGTTCAAGCTTCTCCTGCCTCAGCCTCCCAAGTAGCTGGGACCACAGGTGTGTGCCACCATGCCCGGCTAATTTTTTTGTATTTTTAGTAGAGACGGGGTTTCACCGTGTTAGCCAGGATGGTCTCGATCTCCTGTCCTCATGATCCGCCTGCCTGGTCCTCCCAAAGTGCTGGGATTACAGGCGTGAGCCACTGCGCTCAGCAGAAGTCAGGTTTTCTAACGTGTTTAGCTTGACTCACAGTGGCACTGGCTAATGGTTCACTTTGACCAGAGATTTAACTGAACTTCTTTTGGAAATTAAAAATAACCAACCATACTTAAAATGTTCCCTAGAAGTCTGTGCCAGGTGATGTGGGCTTCCTAATTTTACGAAATCTTTTGCAACTGAAGATTATTTACAAGACTTTTGATGGCCGAGCACAGTGGCTCATACCTGTAATCCCAGCATTTTGAGAGGCCAAGGTGGGCAGATAACCTGAGGTCAGTAGATCGAGACCATGCTAGCTAACATGGTGAAACCCCGTCTCTACTAAAAAATACAAAAATTAGCCAGGCGTAGTGGCACGCGCCTGTAGTCCCAGCTACTTGGGAGGCTGAGGCAGGAGAATTGCTTGAACCCGGGAGGTGGAGGTTGCAGTGAGCTGAGATTGCGCCACTGCACTTCAGTCTGGGCAACAGAGCAAGACTCCGTCTCAAAAAAAAAAAAAAAAAATTATGAGATGGGATCTCTATGTTTCCCAGGCTGGTCTTGAACTCTTGGGCTCAAGCTGTCCTTCTGCCTGGGCCTCCCAAAGTACTAGGATTACAGGCACGAGCCACCATGCCCAGCCTCAATTATGATTTTAGAAAAAGGTTTTACAAATGTAGTGTATCCTAAGTGTACAGTGCTTACAATCTCTACAGTAATGGCCTAGGCCTTCACATCCACTCACTGACTCGCCCGAATCAGGACTTCCAGTCCTGCCAACTCTATTCATGGTAAGAGCCCTATCCAAGTGTACCATTTTTTCTTTTTTTTTTTCTTTTGAGACGGAGTCTCACTCTGTTGCCCAGGCTGGAGTGCAGTGGCGTGATCTCGGCTCACTGCAACCTCTGCCTCCAGGGTTCAAGTGATTCTCTGGCCTCAGCCTCCGAGTAGCTGGGATTACAGGCACATGCCACCACACCCGGCAAATTTTCGTGTTTTTAGTAGAGATAGGGCTTCGCCATGTTGGCCAGGCTGGTCTTGAACTCCTGACCTCAGGTGATCCACCCACCTCGGCTTCCCAAAGTGTTGGGATTATAGGCGTGAGCCACCATGCCAGGCCTTTTTCTCATATAAGGTACTTATACTGTACCAAATGGTAAACAGAAAACTGTTTACTTACCATTGTGTTACAACTGCCTATGCTAACAAGCTGTACAGGTTTGTAGTCTAGGAACAATACACTACACCATATAGGTGTATAGTCGGCTACACCACCTAGGTTTGTGGAAGTACACTCTGTTTGCATGATGAAACCGCCTAACCATGCACTTCTCAGAATAGGTCCCTGCTGTTACTGTGCTGATCCATGCTGCCGACAAGGATAAACCCTGAAAACATTAAGCTAAATGAATGCATCACTAAAGGCCACATATTTTGATCTCATTTATACAACATGTCCAAAATAGGCAAATATTTAGAAGCAGAATTAGCCATTAGTGATTACACCAGGAGTTGAGGAGAGAATGGAACAGAAAGTGACTTAATGGATAGAGGGTTTCTTCTTTGATGAAAATGTTCTGAAATTAGTGGAGATGGCTGAATATACTGAAATCAACTGAATTGTGGCAAATTTTTTAAAGTGGTAAATTTTATGGTATGTAAATCATATCTGGAATAAAGCTGTTACAAAAAATTATCTGTGCTGGTGACACTGTATGGTTGGTTCTCTCGACAGGTGCTCTACAAACTAGAGCAAGGAGACCAAGTGAAATAACACACCTTAACAGAAACTCTCTTCCAGTAGTTTTCTTGCCTACAGTCAAAACACCTGGGTAGAAATGAAAGACAGACTACACTGAACAACTGTTTTATAAACCTTTATTGGAAAGGCTACAAACTTTATATTGCCACCACATTTCTTATGTTTAAAGTGGTTGTGGGGAAGTAACCTTGGATACAAAACTACTATGCTGTTGAATCTTACCCAGGCTTGTTGTAAAATATTTTTTGTACAATGGAGGTAGAGTGGATAGGTCAATAATTTAAACCTCACAGGACTTGATTAGTGTCAGCACACCTTTTTTCATTCAGGTTTTCAGGTTCTAGCAGACCTAGAAATAAACTACAAATACTAGATTTAGGCTCAGGGATGGCATTTAATACATTTAAAATTTTTAGTTTTCAGTTTTCCCCATTTGTTCCTTTATAAATGTAAAATTGTGCATCTGATGTCTCTTTCCTCAAATAAGTGTGTTCTAAAAATACCTACTGAGTGAAATGGTAAAAACCAGATGATGGAAAGAGAAACACAACATCCGTTTCATCAATTTTACCTGATTTTTCTCAAACCAGCCTTTTTTTTTTGCTTATTTTTAGTTTGAAATATAAATAACTACAACAATGCATATTTCAGTTGCCTTCATTCTTAAATTCTGAATAAGCATCTTACTTTTCTATAAAACATTACAGAAACTCAAAATAATAATCAATGGCTTCTCCAATTCCAAATATTCAACTTAATGGAGACAGCATCTTTTACATTTAATGAAAACAGAGGATTTGAACACGTTCTATGCAGACATGGTTTTACTATAGATTTGCTGTTACCTTATTTTTTTAAGGGGGTGGTGGTAGGGAGATACAGAAGTCAGGCTAGCCCAGTGCTTGGGAGTTACAGCACTCAAGACACCCTGGCCTCTACAGAGCATCACTGAAGCCACTGAAGACTGTCTCTACCAGCCTTTTGTCTTCCAAGACTATAAGATGGGCATAGGCCTGAGATATAAGCTTCAGGCCAATGGGTTTTTATGGGCTGTTTAAGAACCAGTACTAAGGATACATTCTTTTATGTTTTTCCTTCTAAAAATGTGACACAAAAGAATAATTTACACCAACCGCTTTTTATTATCGAGTTTCAGAAACCTTTCACAAGATGGTAAAAAAAAAAAAAAAGAAAAAAGAAAAAAAAAACAAAACCAAAAACAAAAAAACTTTACAACCACAGCTAATGTAATTTTTTCCATTGTTCCCAGTCAGCTCCAAACCCATTGTGTGCAAAGCCCATTTTTTTCCATGCATCTAAATGATAGATACAGGCTATGAAATTCTTTATTCTATTTGTAGCAGCTTATGCAGGTGCAGCCAAACACAAAGCTTCAGGACAAATTGTACAAACTTTACAATGTGGGATTTAAATTTAAAATATGAAACATAAAAATCTACACAAAACTGATAAAAATCAAGCACAGATACCAGGATTGAAACTTATAATAATCCATGTGTGAAAGGGAGTCTTGTTTCCTTTCAAGTGCTTTATTCTGCTATGGAACAGTCAAAATGAAGATGTAAAGCTTTGTGGTTAGTTTAAATTATACACTCTGTAGATACTATACCAATTTTAAAAGTTATACATAGACCAACAGATGTCCCTCAGTTCATCTGGATTGATAAGACACTCCAGCTGGATTGCTGAGAACAAATCAGGCAAATGTGGAAAGAAAATCCACCTGTGCAATTTGTTTGCAGAGTTTACTGATGGGCACACTGCACTCCAGGTCCATGATGGCTGCTGCTTTCTTCATCAGAGCTATCATTATAGGCTTCACGCCTCTGACCACCTCCTGAGCCTCGAGTGCTATCAAATTCCTGAAGCTCTACCTCCTCTGTTTCTCCAATTATGTTAGGAACTTCCGGTCTAGATGGCAGAAGATCTTCTAGTTCCTTTATTAAAACAAACAAAAACCAGGTTGGTTGTAATATTTTCATCAACTTTCCTTTTGATACATAGAATCCAGTGTCTGTTTAAGAGTTTAAAAAGGGGCTGGGTGTGGTGGTTCATGCTTATAATCCCACCCAGCACTTTGGAAGGCTGAGGCGGGCGGATAATGAGGTCAGGAGATGAGACCAGCCTGGACAACATGGTGAAGCCTTGTCTCTACTAAAAATACAAAAAATTAGCCAGGCATGGTGGTGGGTACCTGTAATCCTAGCTAGTCAGAAGGCTGAGGCAGGAGAATCGCTTGAACCTGGGAGGTGGAAGTTGCAGTAAGCTGAGATTGTGCCACTGCACTCCAGCCTGGGTGACAGAGCAAGACTCCATCTCAAAAAAAAAAAAGTTAAAAAAAGGAATGTGGACTGGACTTTGAACTCTAAGTAAAAGATCACAAACTCATCACTCACAGGCCAAATTCTGCAGACATCTTTTGTGCAACCCATCTATTGCTTTAAGAACCAAAAAAAAGGTCATTATCTGCCAATACTTAAACATTAGAAAGTTTCTACAGGAGACACACCTTCCTGCATCCGGCATGGACACCAGCTTACGATAAAGGGGTAGTGGTCCTGCCCTCTGCAAATGAGGAACCTGTTCTCTCCAGGGAGTGCTACTCCTCATCACCACCCACACCGGGTCTACTTTACTCCTCTACAATTCCCTGCTTGGCCCCATCAACATTTACACCAGCAATACCCCATTTCCTAACAACTAGGAAAGCCTACCAATCACACAAATATACTTTAAAATTGAAAGTAACATGACTATTAAGAAACTTGAAGTCGGCTGGGTGCAGTGGCTCACGACTGCAATCCCAGAACTTCGGGAGGCAGGAGGATTGCTTGAGACCAGTCTGGACAACATAGCAACATCTCTATAAAAAGTTTTAAAAAGCATTAGCCAGGTGTGGTGGTACACACCCGTAGCAAGCCATGATCATGCCACTGCACGCCAGCCTGGGCAACAGAGCGAGACTCTCTTAAAAAGAAAGAAACTTGGCTGGGTGCAGTGGCTCACGCCTGTAATCCCAGCACTTTGGGAGGCCGAGGCAGGTGGATCATGAGGTCAGGAGATCGAGACCATCGATCTAACATGGCTAACATGGTGAAACCCTGTCTCTAACTAAAAATACAAAAACAAAATTAGCGGGGCGTGGTGGCGGGTGCCTGCAGTCCCAGCTACTTGGGAGGCTGAGGCAGGAGAATGGCATGAACCCAGGAGGTGGAGCTTGCAGTGAGCTGAGATCGTGCCACTGCACTCAAGCCTGGGTGACAGAGCAAGACTCCATCTCAAAAAAAAAAACAAAAACAAACAAACAAAAAAACCCCATAAACAAACAAACAACAACAACAACAAACTTACCAGGCATCGTGGCTCATGCCTGTAATCCCAGCTACTTGGGTGGCTAAGGCATGAGAATCACTTGAACCTGGGAGGCGGGGGGTACAGTGAGCCGAGACTACACCACTGCACTCCAGCTTGGGTGACACAGTGAGACTGTGTCTCAAAAAATTTTTTTTAAATTAGCCAGGCATGGCAACACACACCTGTAGTCCCAGCTCCTTGGGGGCTGAGGTGAGAGGATCGCTTCAGCCCAGGAGGTCGAGGCTGCAGTGAGCCACGATCACACCACTACACCCCAGCCTGGGTGACAGAGACCCTGTCTAAAAAACCAAAAACCGAACTCCAAACTTGGAAGTCAACTGTTGTTTAATTTAAAGAACACTTACAGAAAGCTTGTCTGGGTTGATCCAGTTGTTTTCAGGAAACTGCACATCAAACTTTATGTAAAGATCACCTTTTTCAAAGGGATTACGATACTGCGGCATCCCTTCACCTCGAACTACACGAACACACCCTATTATTTAAGAGGAAATGATTAATAATTTTACCCAAAAGAGGTGTTCAATTTTTTTTAGAGTTATGCAGTATAAAAAAATTACAAATTGTAATTTTTTTCAAAAATACTTGAAAACCAGAATCGGACAAAATCAAGATTTACCTGGTTCAATTACTTTGCCAGGGGGGTATTTCACCACAATCTGACGTCCATCAAGGTGCTTAAATGTGAACTGAAATCCACATAGAGCTTCAACAAGTCCTATTTTATATGTCATGTGCAAATCATTCCCATCTCTCTGAAATACCTATAAATAAAGCACAAAAGAAATACATTTTCTTAAAAATTATGGAGGTACACCCTGCAGCATTATGTTCCTTGACTTAATTTCAAAACCTTATTTCTACCACTCACTGCAAATCCAAAGTGCCACTGTCCCTAGTGCCCTAAACCGCATTAGGAAAGCTAGCTATTCCCAAGTAGTATGTGAGAAACTTCCATGAGGAAGGTGTACTGGAACTGGTAAACAATGGCATATATAAGAGCAACAGAACTGAGGCCCTCAAAACAGTGCCAGGTATATTCTGCAACTATTGCCCACTTTCAGACTCTGCCTCTGGTGAAAAAGGTACAGAATGCCCAGAGGGCTCCTACAGAACAGGCTCACCCTGGAGTGCTCCCCAGACATGATCGTAACAGGGAAGGGGGGAGGGTCCAAGATCAACATAAAACCCAACATCAACCAGTTAACACCCAGCCAGCAAAGTCAAGTGGCTCAATTCCGTGCTTCACACACATACCAACAAGTCTCACATCTCACTAAAATGCAAAACTGGCTCATTCAATATTACACTATAAGCCTATGGACTAGGTAATGCAAAAGGTATTGAGAATAAGCACAAAGAATGTTTCTGAGCCTTCAATGTGTAGGAAAAATACATCCAACTTCACACGCCCAACCTGCAATTTTTGCTTAGATTTTACAATGGTCACTCTTCTTGTAAAGAACAATCCTGGCCGGTTCACTTATAGAAAATCTGGTAGACAGGTTCTTTTCCTATGTTACTCTCCTAAATTTACTCATTAAACAAAGTTAAACCATTACCTTAACCAATGATTCTCTAAGTGTGGTTCTGGACCAGCAGCTTCAGGAAACTTGTTAGGAACACATATTCTTGGGCCCCACTTCCATTCCTGCCAGAAACAAGGCAGGCAAGATCCAGCATCTGTAGTCCTAACAAGCCCTCCAGGCAATTCTTGTGTGTGTGCTAAAGTTTGAGATCCAAGAAGGTATGTTATGTATGCACATATATTCAAGTGTTCCTCACAATGGGACCAATAGTTTTTTTAATGCAGGATTTTTCAACGCATTAAAAATGCTAAGTAGGCCAGGTGCAGTGGCTCACACCTGTAATCCCAGCACTTTGGGAGGCCAAGGCAGGCGGATCACAAGGTCAGGAGTTCAAGACCAGCCTGGCCAATATGGTGAAACCCCATCTCTACTAAAAATACAAAAATTAGCCAGGTGTGGTGGCACGCGCCTGTAGTCCCAGCTACTTAGGAGGCTGCGGCAGGAGAATCACTTGAACCTGGGAGGCGGAGGCTGCAGTGAACCAAGATCACACCACTGCACTCCAGCCTGGGCGACACAGCGAGACTCCATCTCAATAAGAAAAAAATAAAAAAATTTAAAAAAGCTAAATATAGGGTCAGAGCTTTGGGAGGCCAGTTCAAAACAGCAACATAGGGAGACAAAAAATTAAAACATAAACTAGGCTAGTTGAGGCAGGACGATCCCTTGAGCCCAGGATTTGGAGCCTGCAGGGGCAGTCCCTCCTCATTAATGATCCAGCCACTGCACTCCAGCCTGGGAGACAGAAGGACATCCTGTCTCTTAAACATAATAATAATAAATTTAAAATAAATGCTAAGTATACTGTAAAATGCCAGTGTTCTAAGAACCATCTTACCAAATATCCTTTGTTAAAGTCATACTATTTTAGGATGCATGCAGTGGCTCATGCCTATAATCCCAGCACTTTGGGAGGCTGAGGCAGGTGGATCACCTGAGGTCCTGGTCATCATGGCGAAATTCTGTCTCTACTAAAAATACAAAAACTAGCTGGGTGTGGTGGCATGAGCCTGTAGTCCCAGCTACTTGGGAGGCTGAGGCAGGAGAATCACTTGAACCCGGGAGGTGGAGGTTGCAGTGAACAGAGATCGCGCCACTGCACTCCAGCCTGGGTGACAGAGTGAGACCCCATTTCAAAAATAAAAACAAAAATAAAAAGTGGGGCAGGGCACGGTGGCTCACACCTATAATCCTAGCACTTTGGGAGGCCGAGGTAGGCAGATCACTTGAGGTCAGGAGTTTGAGACCAGCCTGGGCAACATGATGAAACCCCATCTCTACTAAAAATACAATTGCGCCACTACACTCCAGTCTGGGTGACAGGGCAAGACTGTCTCAAAAAAAAAAAAAAGAAAAGGGAACAGGAAGAGATACACATCACGTTCTTGTACAGGAGAGTTCAACTGAAAGTGATTTCAATAAAAAATGATTATGATTATCAGGATGGTTGTTGCAGCAGAGCGGGGAAGCTAAACAATTTGATGTTAAAAGTTTAAACAGAATAAACAAGCAAGGATGCCAGAGAGTTTCTGAAAAACAAGATTAATGAGGAGGGACCACCAAGCACTAGACCAGAAAACACTTAGAAGTCATATTTCTGAATAACAAAAGTACAGGTTATAGAGGCGTGACTAACATCACCAGGTTCTGTGGTTTGATGCTGTACAAGTGCACTATGGTAACCAGACCACCGAGACACACAAACAGGCACACTGACAAGTGACATGGCAGGATGATGACTATAGATGATACAGCACTCCCAAGAAGGAACGAGACAAACTTCCATTCTAACCTTTACCATCTTCTATTTTCTACTTTAGACAACTAGCTACATCTGCCTTCTGTTGAAAATTCCATGCCAATTCCACTGCTGCCAACAATTTTCAGAGATGAGTTACTTCCCAACACCTCCCCACAGGCCCCAAGAAAGAAGCTTATTCATAATCTCATTTGACTCTTTAATATCCAAAAAGTCCAGGGAAGCCAAAGCTAGTAAACGGGGCCCAGACCTTAAGTCCTTTGCCTCCAAATCCAATGATCTACTTTTAAAAACCCAATTTAATTATGCAGCAACATTAAAAACTAAACTTAGGGATAAAAAAGGTTTTACCATCAGTTTGACATGCCTCAAACCAAAAAAAAGTCATCCTTCCTCTGCAAATAAGCATTCCTTCTTCACTTCCTATCATGCTGCTGCACTGCCAGACATCATTTGACAACGAACCCCAAACGACTCCAAGGATTCTATCAATGAAAATGCCCAGGCACTGTCTGTACCATTTTACAACACAGTCTAACCTCCAAGCAGAATTTCCAATTATTTAGCTGTCTTGCTAGCTTTCTCCCTCATATTCCTGGTATGGTGGTGTGCACAGCAGCAAGACTGAAGGAACAAGGAAGTAGCTAAAATGTTAACAAATAGCAAATCTTGTAAATATTTCATTCTACAAGACCCAAAGGCAGAATTCTAAAAACTACTCTTACTTTTTGACAACCGAGGAGACGTTTGCTATCTGTAGGGTTGGCAATTTCCACAAAAAGCCAAAATACATAATTTGTAGCTTTGCTGAGTCATGAAAGCTGACTAGCATGCCCTGATTGTCCAGGAGATCAAGTCTGACCTTGTGAGGGATTACTACCAAATTCCTAAAACCTGCATCTCAATATGGCTTTGTTGTTCTCTATTGGATTCTTAAAGTGATTTTTAAAATTTACTCTATTTGAAGAAATGATCACCACAGAAGGACGATCTCCTTCTTTATCAAATATAACCTTTAAATTATAAATGATAATCAGCTTGCCCACCTTTTTAGAATTAAAAAGAATAACCTTTCACTGAACATAATACAAATTTACCATTTCTCCGTGTTCATTGGGCTTATGCATAGGAGAAAATTTTAGGGCAAACTAAAAAGGTGGTTAACCTGTGATGTAATGATTTTCAGAGGAACACATGAGTAAATGTGATCAAGTACAAAGCTAGAGTCCTATCAAGTGCTTCTAACATTCAAGAATTTAGGTGATTACTGGAGGGGTTTTTCATGAATAGTTCCAGATTTATTCTTTGAGTAGGGTCTACAGTATACAATATGGACATTAAAAATATACAAGTGCAATGTTAAAATCAAAATAACATACACTAGGCTGGGCACTGTGGCTCACACCTGTAATCCCAGCACTTTGGGAAGTTGAGACAGGAGGATCGCTTGAGCTCAGAAGTTCAAAACCAGCCTGGGCAATATGGCAAGACCCTGTCTCTACTAAAAATACAAAAAAAAAAAAAACCCCAAAAAACAAACAAACAAAAAAATAGATGGGCATGATGGTGCACCAGTTGTCCCAGCTACTTGGGAGGCTGAGATGGGAGGATTGCTTGGGCCCAGGGGCGAAGGTTGCAGTGATCCCAGATCACACCACTGTACTCCAGCCAGGGCGACAGAGCAAGACCATCTCAAAAACAAAAACCCCCCAAAACATACACTAGTGACCACATTCTTCAGAAGCTTCTAAAAAAATATTTTTTTTAAAAAAAATCCCAGAACCCTTTCAAGGATAGCTCACTTGGGTACCCAATAAGTAAAAACCAAATCGACAGAGCAGCAGAGTTTCACAGTGAAAATACAGGCTGCCTTAGATCAACTGGTCCAACACCCAGTGCCCTTATTTTCATAAACAAAGAAACTGAGACAGTAAGATTACCTATGGTTAAAGTGTTAGTCAATGACCAGGCCAGAGGAGAATCGCTTGAACCTGGGAGGTGGAGGCTGCAGTGAGCCAAGATCGTGCCACTGCATTCCAGCCTGGGTAACAAAGCAAGACTCCGTCACACACACACAAAAAAGACCAAGGCCAGGCGCGGTGGCTCCCGCTTTTAATCCCAGCACTTTGGGAGGCTGAGGCAGGCAGATCACCTGAGGTTGGGAGCTTGAGACCAGCCTGACCAACATGGAGAAAGCCTGTCTCTACTAAAAATAAAAATTAGCCAGGAGTGAAGAAGCATGCCTGTAGTCCCAACTACTCGGGAGGCTGAGGCAGGAGAATCACTTGAACCCGGGAGGCAGAGGTTGTAGTGAGCCGAGATCGCACCATTGCACTCCAGCCTGGGCAACAAGAGTGAAACTCCAACTGAGGGGCAGGGGGAAGAAACCAAGCCAGGACTAAAACTGACTCTTACAGTGCTTCTAACTGCACCTGCCTTGTTAGTCTTTCTTACACAAGCCCGTCTTAGGAACTCACCATGATGCCCTTAACTTCACCAGTGTTCAGTGTTGCTCCAGGGACTCCAAACAGATCTAACCTATTTCTCACAAGCAAGAAGTACTTCTGAATAAAACAAAATACAAAAAACTAAAAAAAGGAAAATCACCTCATGTTCTTTCTCCTGTAGCAAAAGAACAATGTCTCCGGGTTCCACTCCTGGGGCCTGGTCTGCTTCCCCAGTGAATGTAATTCTCTGTCCATGTTTCATGCCTTTGTCTACGTGGACTTCAAGAATCTTGACTTCTTTAATCACCTTCTTCCCTTCACATTTTTTACAGCGGTCTTTTTCATTAATTACCTCTCCTGGAAAGAGAAGTCATTGAAACTTTCAGCAAGAGTACTATACTGTACTCTTAATACCCTTATTCTTTAAATATGCTTTCTGGACTTCTTTTAATCACTACCTAAATTTTTATTCAAAGCAGCATTCTGAGGCCAAGCACAGTGGCTCAAGCCTGCAATCCCAGCATTTTGCGAGGTCAGGGTGGTAGGATCACTTGAGCTCAGGATCTGAGACCAGCCTAGCAACACAGTGAGACCTTGCCTCTACTACAAATAAAAAAAGTTAGCCGGCGTGGTAGTGCACACCTGTAATCCTGGCTACTGGGGAGGCTGAGGAGGGAGGACTGCTGGAGTTCGAGGCTGCAGTTAGTTATAATCATGCCACTGCACCCCAGTCTGGGTGACAGTGTGAGGCCATGTCTCAAAACAAAACAAAAAAAAGCACTATTCTGAATAACAAAAACTTACATCTTACTACTGCAGACTGCCTGAAGGACTCAGCTTCCCACTATTTCAGAATGTAATGTATCCATACCATGTTTAGGGCAACACAGCTTTTCTCTTATAATTATGGTATTAAAAAGCAAAACCGTGATTATACATATTATAGTGTGAAAAAACTGCGTCACTTTCTAATGGCTAATTACCAGCACATTTGAAGGCTTAGAAAGAAGTGTATAACTGATTATTTAGGGACTGTTTCTGTAACAGTACTTGTGCAAAGTATGTTCTGCAAAACACGTTCTTCAAAATGGTAATAGTGGCCGGGCATGGTGGCTCACACCTGTAATCCCAGCCCTTTGGGAGGCGAAGGCGGGAGGATCACCTGAGGTCAGGAGTTTGAGACCAGCCTGGCCAACACGGCAAAACCCCGTCTCCACTGAAAATACAAAAATCAGCCGGGCGTGGTGGCAGGCGCCTGTAATCCCAGCTACTCAGGAGGCCGAGGCAGCAGAATCACTTGAACCAGGGAGGCAGAGGCTTCGGTGAGCTGAGATCACGCAACTGCACTCTAGCCTGGGCAACAGAGCAAGACTCCGTCTCACAAAAAAAAAAAAAAAAGAAAAAAGAAAAATGTAATGGTACATGAGAAAGATTTCAGTTAACTTTGGTTTCTTGATAGTGGGAGTTAGCAATTATAATAAAATAAAAGCAGGCCAAGAGTGGTGGCTAACACCTGTAATCCCAGCCCTTTGGGAGGCTGGGGCAGGAGAATTACTTGAACCCAGGAGTTCGAGACCAGCCTGGGCAACGTGGCAAAACCCCATCTCTACAAGAAATACAAAAATTAGCTGGGCGTGGTGGCAAGCACCTATGGTCTCAGCTAATTGTGGGGCGAGGGGCTGAGGTGGAAGGATTGCTTCAGCGTGGGCGGTGGAGGCTGCGGTGAGCCGAGAGTGTGCCACTGCACTCCAGCCCAGGCGACAGCAAGACCCTATCTCCAAAAATAATAATAATTTAAAAAAATAAAGTAAAATGCCAAGACTCTCCAGGAAGGAAATATCATATGTAACTTCTCATAATTATCTCATCACTTCCAATAGCAATTTGGAAAAGGATGCTATTGAACTATACTGTCAAATATGGTAGCCACTATCAACCTGTAGCTACTTGTTTATGTTTAAATTAATTCAAATTTAAAATAGTTCTCCAGTCACACTAGCCACATGTGAAATATGCAGTAGTCACAGGTGATTAATGGCTACTGTACTGGACACTGCAGATACAGAACATTTCCATCATCACAGAAAAAAATTCTATTGGATAGCACTGCTCTAGAATGGCAGGGGTGGGAGGAGCTATGTGTTTTTATAATTAAAATTTTAATCAGAACACAGCCATATCCATGTGTCTGTGGCCATAAAAGCACTAAAAGGTCAGAGATGAGTAGTTGTGACAAAAACTATTTGGCCCACAAAGACTAAATTATTTACTTCTGTAAGGACAGCTTCAATCTCAAGATCAATTCTGAAAAGCTAACTAAAGGTTACAGTGAAATCTTCCACTTATCAGAATAACTAAACAACTACTTGTTTAGTTATTTATTATTTGATTATTTGTCCCTTTGTAGTTTAAAAGGTTCTATGTGATAAAGGAGATAGTCCTCCTATGGTGGTCATTCCTACAGAGAGAGTAAATAAAAGGTTATATTTGATAAAGAAGGAAATAGCAAAGGGACAAATAATCACCTTGCTCCTCTTTTCTGAATTAAAAAGAGTCACCTTTCACTAACACAATACAAATCTACTGTTTCTCTATGTTCACTGGGCTTAGGCATAATGGAGTAATTACTTTCACACTTTTATCTTTTATTTTTTGCAACAGGGTCTTGTTCTGTCACCCTGGCTGAAGTGCACTGGTATGATCACAGATCACTGCTCCCTCGAACTCCTGGGCTCAAGCAATCCTCCCGCCTCAGCCTCCCACGCAGCTGGGACCACAGACATGCCCTGAGCCCCTCATTACATATTTTTCCACACTTTTTTTTCCTATAGTAATGAGGTCTCCCTATATTGCCCAAGCTGGCCTCAAACTCCTGGGCTCGAGCAATCCACCTCTGTCTCCCAAAGTGCTGGAATTATAGGAATGAGCTAACGCACCCGGCCTCCTTTTTCTTTAATAAGATGTATACAAATACCCTTTGAAATAAAAAATTGTAAACCTCTCCAATATCTGCATTCCCAATCCATTCCAACATAAAAGCAGAGAAGTACTGGCACACATACCTTCTCCATTACAATCAGAGCACACAGACTGCATCTGTTGTACCATCCCTGGAGCCAGCTGTCTGATCATGATGCGCACACCTCGACCTCGACAAGCACTACACTTTTGGACAGCTCCAGACTTTCCGCCTTGGCTAAAGCAAGCACAAGTTATGCATTAGGTTTTTGTCCACAAACCACTCCAATAAGCTATGACACACAGAAATTGTGCTTTTACCTTCATCTTCAACCCCAATAACTTGTATTTAAATTGACTTCCAGAAGTATCAGAAAACATTCTGCTAAGATTTTTTTACTTATTTATTGAGATGGAGTCTCACTCTGTCACCCAGGCTGGAGTGCAGTGGCGCAATCTTGGTTCACTGCAACCTTCACCTCTCGGGTTCAAGCGATTCTCCTACCTCAGGTGATCCACCCGACTCGGCCTCCCAAAGTGCTGGGATTTCAGGTGTGAGCCACCGCACCCAGCCGTAAGTTTTAACTTATAACAATTTTTACGTGGTACAGACATTCAGTGTGATACTTAAAAGAACAGACAAAATGTACCCAATAAACCAGAAGACACACTTACCCACTGCATGCACTACAGAGCACATTCTTGCTAAGTTGTAGTTTGGTTGTCTTGCCATTATACAGATCTTCTAAAGATACTCTGGAAAGAAAAGAATCGGCTTCAATCAAATTTTGCCACATTTTGTCAAATACAAGATATAAGTAACAGCTGATACAGCAAATTCGTTATCAACTTTTAAAACAGAATTCAAAAACACCTCATAATCTCACATTAAATCAATTAAACTGAGGCTTATATTATGGCTCAAATTAACAGAAATATTTTATGACTACAGACAGTACATATATGATACCCAAAGCCAGAGCCTATAGCATCAGGCCAACAATTTGCTGTGGTGGAATTTCTGATAAAGCTGATGACTTCGCAAACTCAAATATCACAACCTTCTGTTCTGAGGCATAAGCCCTCCACCTAACTCCTAATAAAAACCCTTCAGAAGAGGTACAATTATTATTCCCATTTTATGTGATAAAACTGAGGCACAGAACAGTCAAGTAACTTGCCCAAGATCACATAGGTATCTGGCTCCAGAGTCCCTGTTTCCTCCATGGACAATTTAGAAAGGCTACAAAGTTATATTTCGGCTTAAGGGAGTCACTTAGATGGCATATGTCTTAAAAAAAATAAAAGTGGCCCTACCTATAGTATGACAGAAAGGAGGGATAGAATAGTTTTTCATGCCAGGTGCAGTGGCTCATGCCTATAATCCCAGCACTTCGGGAGACTGAGGAGGGAGGATTGCTTGAGCCCAGAGTTCAAGACCAGCCTGAGCAACTTAGAGAGACCTCATCTTTACCAAAAAATAAAAAATAATTAGCCAGGTGTAGTGGCATGTCTGAAGTCCCAGCTACCCAGGAGGCTGAGGCAGGGGAATTGCTTAAGCCCTGGAGATTGAGGCTGCAGTGAGCTGAGATCGTACCACTGCACTCCAGCCTGGGGGACAGAGTGAGACAAGTACTTATGTGTGGAGTTTTCTACTTGTGGCATCATGATGGTGCTCAAAAAGTTTCATATTTTGGAGCATTTCAGATTTCAGATTAGTAATGGTCATCCCGTAATGATCTGCTTTAAAATCCTGGGAGTTAGAGGAACAAAAAAATAGTTTAAAGTATTTTACAAAGCACCTATACTATTTTGTGATATTCAAACTTTCTTAAAATTGTTATTCTCAGAAACTTAAAACTGTTGTAGGCAGGATAAGAATACCACACGTATGGACAAAACATTACCAACAACACTGTCAAATAATGACCTATCAACAGCTGAGCTTTAGACCAAAACGCTTGTTGCATCTTGTATACTCTGCATAACAAATCATTTAAAGAAAATCGGCTTTCTTCCCCTACATATTAAATTACAATTGGTATGCACAACCAGTATCCTAAGCCAGAGAAAAATACACATCTCAACAAAGAAGGCCAAGGAAGGAAAAATGCAGGTAATGGTTTGGCAAGGCTGGCACTCTCCACTAGTGGGGCCTAAACTGGCACAATCCCTCTGCAAGGCAATTTAGTTGTATTTATCAGCCTCAAAACACTCATGCCTGCCTGGGAATCTCTGCCAAGGAGAAACAAAGCTCTACATAAAGATACTCATAGCAGCAGTATCTATTACAGAGAAAAAACCTGGGAATACCCTATATAAAAGGTAAATAAATCATAGAATGCAGTATTATAAACATAGTATTTGTAATAACAGGAAAATCTGAAATGTTAAAACAGCAGAAAACTTTCACTATATAGCATAACTTTTTTTTAAACATGAAGAACTATAAAGTACAGACAGCACTCTTTTGACCCTATTTTCTTTTTAGACCATTTCTATATTAAAGAAAAATATAAACGAATTAACCTGCACTGCACAAATATTACCATTGGAATGGTATCCAAATGTTAATTTCTGAGGGTAAATTCTTTTAAAAAACAAATTTAAGGATTCAATGAGACTCAAAGTTAACAGATAACATGACTTCCTCTAATTTACTCAAGTGTATAAACTAGGATATTATGAAATATTTTAAATAAGTACCTGAACTTCGGCCACTGACATTTGCTAATAAAATCATTTATTGGTCCATGAAAAAAAGAATGGGAAAAAAGACCTCCCAGATTTTGCAAAGTGAAACAGCTATTTTCATACTGGAGAGGGCTTGTGGATTCACAGTCTAAGACCAAGGTCAGGCACCATTCATGTGTTGGCAGGTTAAGGTCAGGCTGGAAGCCAGCAAGCTCCATGGAAACCAACTCAGAAGAGTTCACACTGAGGATCAAGTAATGAGTGACTCTAACATGTACACAAAGTAGGCAGACAGTCACTCATTTTTAGTTTTTAAATAAAAGGTAACTTGGAAGATTCATATACTTCAAAGAAAATAGGCTGGGCGCAGTGGCTTATGCCTGTAATCCCAGCACTTTGGGAGGATGAGGCAGGAAGATCACTTGAGTTCAAGACCAGCTTGGCCAACATGGCGAAACCCTGTCTCTACTAAAAAATACAAAAATTAGCCGGGCATGGTGCGGGTGCCTGTAATCCCAGCTACTTGGGGGGCTGAGGCAGGAGAACTTCTTGAACCTGAGAGGAGGGGGATGCAGTGAGCCTAGATGGTGCCACTGCACTCCAACCCGGGCGACAGGGACTCCATTTCAAAAAAAAAAAAAAAAAAAAAAAAAAGGTCGGGCACAGTGGCTCACGCCTGTAATCCCAGCACTTTGGGAGGCCGAGGCAGGCAGATCACCTGAGGTTGGGAGTTCGAGACCAGCATGACCAACATGGAGAAACCCCATCTCTTCTAAAAATACAAAATTAGCCGGGTGTGTTGGCATATGCCTGTAATCCCAGCTACTTGGGAGGCTGAGGCAGGAGAATCGCTTGAACCCAGGAGGCAGAGGTTGCAGTGAGCTGAGATTGTGCCACTGCACTCCATCCTGGACAAGAGCGAAACTCGGTCTCAAAAAAAAAAAAAGAGAGAGAGAGAAAATGATCTTCACAGTTGAAATTTTAAGTCCTATAATAACAAGCAGCCTCAGAACCATATAAAACCACCTTCCTCTCATTAAAAAATATCGACTGTCCTTTTAAGAGCTACAGCGAAATAGAAACATTCAGATAATCAAATTCAATTTAGTCACCAAAAGAAGACAAGGCAAATGGAAGTTTTTCTAATGAAGGACAGAACACTCTATGAGATTTTTCATCTACTGAGTCATTATCCCACTTGACAAAAAGTACTTAATTTTTTAAAACAACAAAACAAGATATTCACTTGAGTGGATGCATCATGTCCTCTCCTCTTCTTCTGCCATTTCGACTTCTACTCTGATTGCCCATGAAGCCGAACAATCCCCCACCAAAAATGTGAGAGAAAATATCATCCATGCCACCACCTCCGCCGCTGCCTTCCCGAAGACCTTGCTCTCCGTATCTGTCATATAACTCACGCTTCTCAGGATTTGATAGTACTTCATATGCAAAACTTATTTCTTTAAACTATAAAGAAAAGGTAAAAATAAAAATAATTGCATTTTCAAGTAGAAGAGTGGGGAGAAGCTACAGGAATCCAGAATCCATTTAATTCTAAAAAAAAAAAAAAAGGGACAAGTTACCTTTGACTTGATTCTGGTTCTATTTACCACCCACCGCTCCTCAGAATGGTAGTACTCTTATTCTAAAACTAAAATACTCTTGACATTATGAAAATGTGGCTGTGTGGGCATAGTTGGATTTTTTTCCTGCAACATTCCTCTTTTTCAAGGAGGGCAATTTAAGTTAAAGCTAAAACCCCCGGAATAAAAAAGGTGCAAATAACTTACTTTGTCTCCTGCATTTGGATTCTTATCAGGATGATATTCCTTGGCTAACTTTCTGTATGCCTTTGAAAATGGATAAAAACAAAAAAGGTTATAACTAAACACCAGTTAAAAGTTTTGTAATAACTTAATATCCACTTTTCTGAGAAGTAATGTTCTAGAGTTATAACCTTTCAAAAATATTTTCTATTCGTAGGGATTCTTCGGCACTTTCTCGCGATACTGTTTACTAATGTAATATAACCAAGTAGACAGCAGCTATACTTGAAAACAGGTTACAGTGACGTGAAAACCAGATAAAACAATGAAGCAATGCCACAGGGAAAAACAAAACGTTCAAACATTATCCATATTTTCCCTATTGTCAAGTGTCTTTGATGGCCAAGTAACCAGACCAAGACGACCCTAATAAATTCGAGATAAATGACTGTTAAGCTTTGCGGACTGCAAAACATTACTATAAATCAAGCTAAAGTCACAATTCCTGCTCCCGATGGCTCACGCCTTCCTTCTAACTGTAACATCATGAAAAAGTAAAGGTGGTCCTAGTTAGCGTCTTTTGGTGTTTTATTTGCACGTGGTGGTTAACTGGGGTCGTGGTGGCAACTTCGGTGGTAGAGAAGTTGCACACACTCTCAACGAGGTGTTTGGGTCCTAAAGCACTTAAATCTTCATTCACGGAGGCTCGTGAATTATATAATACAGACTAGCATTTCCGGTAAGGTAACAGGAAGTCCACTGTACTCTTCTCACTGCCTAAGGAGCATTCTCATTTTTCTCGGCTTACAAATCTGGATGCTCTTAGCCTGGTGAGGATGCTGTGGGGCTTAAATGCCTCGTGTGCTTTGAAATCCTGAGATGAAAGATATCGCAGCATTGCAAATAGCAATAATAAGGCCTTCTATTTATGTTTACTGTACACTCAGGCGTTTGGCTGGGACCACGGCTTATTCCTAAGCAGGTACAGGACATTAGCATTACCTGCCCAAAGAACAATGCATCCAAACACAGACCCAGCTACCTCCGGGTCAATGGGCGAGGGACGCAGAGAGGGAGGAGCTCCCGCAGCCGGCGGCCGCGGAACCCAGGAAACAACCCCATCCGCCCGAGGCGCTCTGTGGGGGCGGCCTCGACCTCCCCGCCGTTCCTCCCCGCGGAGCACCAGACCCGGGGCCGACGGCCGCGGGGCGGACAGCTTCTCTCTCGGGGCCGGGATGCGCTGAGCACCTCGGTCCAACCTGTTTTTCCGGGGTGGTGACCTCGACGCGAAGGACCGGGCGAGCTGCTGCCTCCCGGGGGATACCAGCCCCCGGCGCTCGTTCAAGGAGGGAGGAAGGAAGGGCTCCCATCGTGTTTGCGCAGGAGTGAGTTTTATTTGCTGCATCTGCGGGCGGGCGGGGCCGGCGGCCCCAAGGTCAGCCGAGGCCGGAGTGCGCGGCTCGCGGCGAGGCCGGTCCCGCCGCCGCCGCCGACTCCCAGCCCGGGCCAGTCACGGCCGGCGCCGGCTCGCGGGCAGCCCAGTAGCGCGGCCTGGCTGAAGAAGACATCCCTGGCCGCGCAGGCCCCGCGCCCCTCACACCCGCCCGGCCCGCTCCCAGATACCTTCTTCAGCTCGTTCTCGCTGGCGCCGGGCGGGACGCCCAGGATGTCGTACAGCTTCGTGTCAGCCACGTTAGCCATGGCGGCCGGCCGGGCAGTGCTCGGGGAGAAGGTGGCGAAGCAGACAGAGCGGAGTCGGGCCCACAAGCGGCGTCGGCGGCGGCACAGGCCGAGGGAGACAGCGAGGGGGAAGCGGGGGCGGGGCTGAACTTTGACCCAGCGCACGGTGCGCCGTGACGTCGCTGTGCAGAGCCCGCCCCCGAGCGCCCGAGGCGCGGCCACTGGGGTCGAAGTATTGAAGAGTGGGCCAGGTTCTCTGTTTTCCTCCAGGTCCAGGCGGCTGGGCAGGGCCAACGTAGGAAATGAAGAACTGTGCACGGCGCACCCCAGGAATTCAGCTTCCTCTCAAAAGCCATGGTTGCGAGGTCGCGTGTTTAACCTCGCACTGGCTGCTGAGGGAATTAACAGGCCTGCGCAGCAGCTTCGTTAGCTTCGAAAGAAAATGGGCCCCGGCTCCCGCAGGAGGCCCGCCTGGCGCGCAGATGTCGTTATTAGAATCCGGGACGTCGGTGGACCCTCTGGGTCTGGCTCCCTCGGGGCTTACGATGAAAAAAACTGGGGGGCGCGTGTGTGTGTATGTTGTGTTTTATATTATGAGAATTCTGAAACATTTAGCAGAAGCAGTATATTACTCCCCATAGTGCAGTTAGCTACCTTTTACCTGTTTCATTGGCTCCACCATACATTTCTAGTGTTTTAAGGGAAACCGTTTCATTCATAAATACCCTAAGTGTATATATTTAATATCTAAGAGACAACTTTTAAAGGCATAACGATGTAATCTCATCTAATGAAATTAACAATTCCTTAATCTAATTCCCAGTCCATATTTAGGTTTTTCAGATGATCTCATGTCCTTTTACAATTGGTTTGTGGCATCCGGGTCCAAACCAAGGTCCACATGTTGCATCTGGACCACGTGTTTAAGCCTCTTACTTGATAGCTTTAAAATTAGCTAACACCAGAGGTTTAGATGGTGTAAGGCAAGTCTGGCCACCAGGTGACTTGATTTACATTCGTTTTAGTTTCGCTCAGAAAGTATGCTGTGCATCTACCAAGTGCTATGATGTACAGAGGCCTGGTCCGGGGAGAGGAGTGTTACAAAAGTGCCTGCCTTCAACCCATTTACGGTTTATGGAGACAGAAAAGTAAGGTTTTCTGATCCCTTGGAACCTGAACTGATAGCAAAGACTTCAGCATAAGCATCTCACTCAGGATAATGTTTCTTCCTTGGCGTTCCCTTTGACCTAGTTGTGGAGGGCCTGAATTCCATGACAAGGACTCTGAAATTTAGCTTGAAAACCCTAAGAGTAATCAGTGATAAGTCATTAATAGTCCTTAAACCCTTTTCCTCAAATCCCATCTGAAATCCTGCTCCCTCTGTGAAGTCTTCCTTTACTGGGCACTGGTGAACACTGCTATCTCATTCGAGTTCCCACCACCCTTCGTTTGTACCTTTTGTGGTAGGATCTCGAACTCTTTTGTTTTTTTTTTTTTTTTTTTTTTTTTACTTGAAACAGCGTCTCGTTATGTCGCTCAGGCTGGAGTGCAGTGGCGCCATCTCAGCTCGCTGCAACCTCCACCTCCCGGCTTCAAGTGATTCTCCCACCTCAGCCTCTCGAGTAGCTGGGATTACAGGCGCCCACCACCATGCCCGGCTAATTTTTGTATTTTTAGTAGAGGTGGAGCTTCACCATGTTGACCAGGCTGGTCTCGAACTCCTGATCTCAAATCATCCACCCACCTTGGCCTCCCAAAGTGCTGGGATTGCAGGCCTGAGCCACTGCCTCTGCCAACCGCCATTGCCGTGTAAATGCTGACGTCATCCTCATGCACGGCTGTAAAATCCAATTCTCTACTTTTCACATTTTGAGATGTTCGTAAGAGACGGTGTAAAGTTATGGCGAGGTTAGACTGTGTAGGTTGGTAGTCTGACTCTGCCATTTAGGAACAATGTGACCTTCAGCAAGTTACTTAACTTTTCTGAGGTTTCCTCAGGTGTAAGATGGGGCTTGTTATTTTTTATATCATTGGTTTAAAAGAGTTATACATTTCTATTACTTAGGGCTGGGCGCAGTGGCCTGTAATCCCAGAACTTTGGGAGGCTGAGGCGGGATCACTCCTGCCTCAAGTCCTGATCACTTGAGGTCAGGAGTTCGAGACCAGCCTGGTCAACATGGCAAGACCCCGTCTCTATTAAAAACACAAAAATTAGCTGGGGGTGGTTGCGCACGCCTGTAGTCCCAGCTACTCGGGAGGCTGAGGTGGGAGAATCCCTTGAGCCCAGGAGGTGGGGGTTGCAGTGAGCCAAGATCACACCACTGCACTCCAGCCTGGGTGACAGAGTGAGACCCTGTCTCAAAATAATAATAAATAATTAAAATTTAAAAAATTACTAAGAAGCTAAAAGAAATTAAGTATAAACTATTGTTCTTGGCCCATATGCTTACGTTGTCTTTGCTCATTTAAATTTCTGGCTTTTCTACTGGGATTCCCTGACTTCTTCCATTACCTATGGGGAATGCCCCTCCGTCCCTTTTCATGACCTCATCTTCCCAAATCTCCTTGCTTGTCAGTTATCATTTTCTCTCGTCTCATTTCTCTGTTAGTTCCTGCTCCACGTAAGAATATGAACTGAAAATCTGTCTTTGTTGCAACCTTCATATTAATTTATCTTATTTGTTTCATATTGTTTTATCTTATTTTCCTTCTGCCCATGAACAGTTTAAAAGGGCTGGAGTTTCCTATTTGTTTCAGTTTTACTCAGTTTTTTTTTTTGCAAGAGGAAAAAATTCTCTCTTGATGCCATTTTAGCTTCTGATATTGTAATGAAGAGTAGCTGGGTAAATTCCCTCTTTTGTTCTTGTTATTTTATTTTAGTTTTTTACCTGACTAGACCAGTAACCACAGTAACTATTTTTGAATTTCATTTTCATTTCTTTGCAATATTTTCTCCATTTCTGGGTATTAATTGTAGTCAGCATAATTTGCTAATTTTATAGCTCGAGTTATTTCAGAAGAACTTTGTGTGCTTAAACTGACACAGGGTCTCCTCCCAAGGATCACAGACTGAGATAAACCTGTGTCAGTGTGAGCACTGTAATGTTCCAGCCACTAACTGTTTTGAGGTAGCATATTTATTTTGGCTTCATGTTTAGCCAATGCTGTGAAGGGAAAAGGACCTTTATCTCATTTCATGTCTCAGGCACTGTAAAATGCTGAGTCACAGTACACCTGAGCGCTGCAGTGATCTAAAGTTTGAGGCGGCAGTGATTTCAGATTTCTGCCAGGCTTATATTGGTGTTCAATTCCTTTGCTTTGATTTAGTATGCTTGTGTAACTGTGAAGGGTTGGGATGGAGAGGAGGTGGATATGGACTGGGACGGGGGGTATAGGAACTGTAGTATTTTTGAAGACCATTGATACTGTTCACAAGTAATTGGGAACTGTGTAATCCATTACTTAGACAACTCCAGATATATCATTGAGGCAGTCAGAAAATAGTTTTGCTTTCTGCTTTAACTAGGTTTGAATGTATAGAGTAAGTGATGCAGGTTAAAATATTTTGGGGGGATACAGAAGAAGGTACTGATGGTTCTTGTTATGAGGGTGTCAGGACCACATAATTTGATGATTGTTGGTACTCTGGAAAGAAAAAATTGTGGGACTTGGATCACTGAATAATCTCTGAATTTCTTTCAGTGCTTAAAGTAGATTATTCAGTGATGGGGCAGCACAGTTGTATGTGGTAGGTATTTCTAGCCCCACTGCTGGCCTTTCAAACCCAGTCGTGTCAAACCCTGCCTTATTAATTAGCATTTTCCAAAGGTTCAGTTTGCTTATATAATTGCAGTGGTATAGTAAGCAGAGAAATTGACCCAATAAATTTAGCCATCTAACAATTAGTGTGGGAAAAATAGTGGAGAAGATATGTCTATTGTGATAATATGAGATATGAATATGAATATATATGTTTTCCACATATATGTGTATATATATACACACACCTCATTACCACTGTAATATATATATAATATATACATAATATACATAAAGGCCAGGCGTGGTGGCTTATGCGCGTAATCCCAGCACTTTGGGAGGCCAAGGTGGGTGGATCACGAGGTCAGGAGATCGAGACCATCCTGGCTAACACGGTGAAACCCCGTCTCTACTAGAAATACAAAAAATTAGCCGGGCGTGGTGGTGGGCACCTGTAGTCCCAGCTACTTGGGAGGCTGGGGCAGGAGAATGGCGTGAACCCGGGAGGCCAAGCTTGCAGTGAGCGGAGATCGCACCACTGCACTCCAGCTTGGGCAACAGAGCGAGACTCCATCTCAAAAAAAAAATTCGATTAGCCTGGACAACATAGCAAGACCCGTCTCTACAAAAATTTTTTAAAATTAGCTGGGGCTGGGGAGTGGTGGCTCATACCTGTAATCCCAGCACTTCAAGAGGCCGAGGTGGTAGGATAATTTGAGACCAGCCTGGGCAACATAGCGAGTTGTTTTTTTTTTTTTTTTTTGAGACGGAATCTCACTCTGTCACCCAGGCTGGAGTGCAGTGGCACGATCTTGGCTCACTGCAATCTCTGCCTCCCAGGTTCAAGTGATTATCCTGCCTCAGCCTCCCGAGTAGCTGGAACTACAGGTGTTTGCCACCATGCTGGGCAAATTTTTTGTATTTCTAGTAGAGATGGGGTTTCACCATGTTGGCCAGGCTGGTCTCGAACTCCTGACCTCAAGTGATCTGCCTGCCTCGGCCTCCCAAAGTGCTAAGATTACAGGTGTGAGCCACTATGCCCGGCCCGCAAGATCTTATCTCTAAAAAAAAGAAGAAAGAAAAAATTAGCTGGGTGTTGTGCACCTGTCATCCTAGCTATTTGAGAGGCTCAGGTGGGAGAATCACTTGAGCCCGAGAGTTGAAAGTTACAGTGAACTATGATTGTGCCACTGCCCTCCATCCTGGGTGACAGAGTGAGACCCTATCTTTAAAAAAATATATTTTTAATTATGAGAAGAGAAGGAATTATCTGACCTATCTTGTCTGATTGTAGGTCATGAGACTTCCATTTCTGAAGGGGTCCTGTTCCATATCCTCAAGAAGGGAGTGCTGCACAGAGAGGCCATGAGGAATCTAAGCAGACAGGCCTTGCTGGGTTTCCCCACTCAGTCTGTTAATATTAGATCATACCTTTTTGTCCAGTCACATTTTTACATGGTTGTCAATTATGCCTGTCCAGTAAAGTCTCCATAAAAGGCCCAAGAAGACAGAGTTGGAGTTCCTGGATAGCTGAACATGTGGAGGTTCCTGGAGGGTGGGGCACCTGGGCATAAAAGCTCTGAGCCCCTTCCCTCATACCTTGCTCTGTGCATCCCTCCATCTGTATCCTTTGTAACATTCCTTATAATAAATTGGTAAATGTGTTTCCCAGAGTCCTGTGAGCCACTGTAGCAAAATTAATCAAACCCAAGGAAGGGTTCATGGGAACCCTAATTTCTATTCAGCTGGTCAGAGACACAGGTGAAACAACCTGGGGCTTGCTATTGGTATCAGAAGTGAGGCGACTGAGCCCTCAACCTGTGGGATCTGATGCTACCAAGTAGATAGTGTCAGAATTGAGTTGGAGGTCACCTACCTGGTGTCTACTGTATAATTGATTGCTTGCTTGTTGGTGGGGAGAAATCCCCACATATTTGGTCACAGAAGTCTTCTGTGTTAATTGAGTGCGAGAATCTGAATCTGAGTTTTTTTCACTTATCTATAGATTCATTCATTCAACAAATATGTGTTGTGGACCCTCCTATGTGGCAGGCACTGTTTGGTAGGATAGGGGACAGCCATAAACGAAACAAAATCGCTGCCTTTACAGAATGTACATCTAGTGGGGAAGGCAGGCAGTAAATAAGTAAATACATAGCATATCAGATGGTATTATGTGCTGTAGAGAAAACGAGAGTATTGGGGTTGGGAACAATTTTTATTTAAGGTGTTTGAGGAAGGTGACATTTGAACAGTGATCTAGAGGAAGCAGGGCCTTGAGGATATGTGAGAAAACAATTGCTGAGGCAGTGGGCCTGCAAAGGCCCTAAGGCAGAGCATGCCTGGTTTGTTAGAGGAAGGAGGCCAGTATGACTGGGTAGCAGCAAGGTAGGGAGATCTTGGAAAGAGCTCACATCAGAGAGGTTGTCGGGGACTCAATCAGGTCCACTATAAAGACTTTGATGTTTACTCTGAGTGAGCTGGGAAGCTGTTAAAGGGTTTTGGTTTTTTTGTTTTTTGTTTTTTTTTTTTTGAGATAGAGTCTTGCTCTGTCACCCAGACTGAAGTGCAATGGCGCCATCTCCACTCATTGCACCCTCCACTTCCTGGGCTCAAGTGATTCTCCAGCCTCAGCCTCTTGAGTAGCTGGGACTATAGGCATGTACCACCAATGCCTGGCTAATTTTTATATTTTTTGTAGAGACAGGGTTTTGCCGTGTTGCCCAGGCTGGTCTCGAAACTCCTAAGCTCAAAGTGATCCGCCTGCTTCAGCCCCACAAAATGCTGGGATTACATGTGTTAGCCACCACTCCTGGCTATGCTATTAAAGGATTTTGATTAGAGGAGAGACATAAGTGCATTTTAAACACATCATTCTGTTAGCTGTGTTGAGAACCTATTGTAATAAAACCTAGGTGAGAGGTGACTTGGGCCAAGATAGAAGATGTTGAGTTGGTGAGGAATCGGCTTCTGGATATATTTTCACCTTTGAACTGATAGAATTAGATGTTGGGCAGAAATGAGGGCAGGGTGAAAATAAAAGTTCATGTTAATTTATTAACATTCAAGGAAATATTTTTTAAATTAAATTTATTTTTGAGACAAGGTCTCACTGTATCACTCAGGCTGGAGTACAGTGGCAAGATCAAAGCTCACTGCAGCCTCAAACTCCTTAGCTCAAGCAGTCCTCCCACCTCAACCTCCTGAGTTGTGTGCCAACTCACACTTGGCTAATATTTTTATTTTTTGTAGAGACAGGGTCTTGCTCTGTTGCCCAGGCTGGTCTCAAACTCGTACGGTTTTTTGTTTTGTTTTTTTTTTTTTTATGAGACAGAGTTTCGCTCTTGTCGCCCATGCTGGAGTGGAATGGTGTGGTCTCGGCTCACTGCAACCTCCACCTCCCGGGCTCAAGCGATTCTCCTGCCTCAGCCTCCCAAGTAGTGGGGATTACAGGCACCTGCCACCATGCCTGGCTGATTTTTGTAATTTTTTAGTAGAGATGGGGTTTCACCATGTTGGCCAGGCTGGTCTTGAACTCCAGACCTCAGGTGATTTGCCCACTTCGGCCTCCCAAAGTGCTGGGATACAGGTGTGAGCCACTGTGCCCGGTCCAATGTTTTAATGTATGTATAATATACATTGTGGAATGATTATACCAAACTGACATATCCATCACCTTACATACTTATTTTTTTTGTAGTGAGAACATTTAAAATCTGTTCTTTTAGCAATTTTAAAATATACAATACATTATTGTTGACTACGGTTACCATGTTGTGCAACAGATCTTAAAACATTATCTTCCTGTCAAACTGAAAGTGTACACTTTGGTCAACATCTCCTCATTCCTCCTCTCCTCACAGCCTCTGATAACCACAACTATACTTCCATAAGATTTTTAGATCCCATATGTAAGCAAGATCATGTGGTATTTGTCTTTCTGTGCCTGGCTTATTTCACTTAGCATAATGTTCTCCAGGTTCAATTCTTTTGTTACAAATGACCAAATTTCCCTCTTTTTTGTCCGGGTGTGGTGGCTCACGCCTGTAATCCCAGCACTTTGGGAGGCCAAGGAGGCTGATCACCTGAGGTCAGGAGTTCAAGACCAGCCTGGCCAACACAGTGAAACCCCATCTCTACTAAAAATAAAAAAATTAGGCCGGGTGTAGTGGCTCAGGCTTCTAAACCCAGCACTTTGGGAGGCCGAGGCATGTGGATCACCTGAAGTCAGGAGTTTGTGTCCAGCCTGGCCAACACGGTGAAACCTTGTCTCTACTAAAAATACAAAAATTAGCTGGGCATGGTGGCACACTTCTGTAATCCCAGCTACTCGGGGGGCTGAGGCAGGAGAATCGCTTGAACCTGGCAGAGGTTGCAGTGAGCCGAGATTGCGCCACTGCACTCCAGTCTGGGTGACAGAGCAAGACTCCATCTCAGGAAAAACAAAACAAAACAAAAAAATTATCCGGTTGTGGTGGCATGTGCCTGTAAACCCAGCTACTTGGTAGGCTGAGGCAGGAGAATCGCTTGACCCTGGGAGACAGAGGTTGCAGTGAGCTGTGATTGCATCACTGCGCTCCAGCCTGGGCAACAGAGCAAGACTCCATCTCAAAAACAAGGCAGAATTTCCCTCTTATTAATAACTGAATAGTATTCCAGTGTGTGTGTGTGTGTGTGTGTGTGTGTGTGTGTGTGTGTATCACATTTTCTTTTCCATTCATCCATTGATGGACACTTAGGTTGGTTCCATGTCTTGGCTATTCTGAATAATGCTTCAGTGAACATAGGAGTGCAGACATCTCATTGACATACTGATTTCAGTTCTTTTGGATATACACCCAGAAGTGGGATTACTGGGTCTTATGGTAGTTCTGTTTTTAGTTTTTTGAGGAACATCCATGCTGTTCTCCATAGTGGCTGTACTAATTTACATTCCTACCAACAGTGTGCAAGGGTTTGCTTTTGTCCACATCCTTGCCAACTCGTTATTGGATAAATATTAAGCAGTTTGATTTTTTTTTTCCATTGCCCTGGCTGGAGTACAATGGTGCAATCATAGCTCACCGCAGCCTCAAACTCCTGGGCTCAAGCAGTCCTCCTACCTCGGCCTCCCAAAGTGTTGGGATTACAGCCACTGCACTCAGCCAAGCAGCTGGGCTTGTAAGAATAGAGTTGAAAGGGGCAGGTGTTCAAACTGGAGATGTAAATTTGGGAATCCCCTCAACATATTGCCAGTGTATAAAGAAGTAAGACCTAGGACAGTTCACTGACTGCTCATCAGAACCCCTAGGGGAACTTTTAAAAATGCTATTTTCTGGGTCTGTCCTCCCAGAAATCGTGACCGAATTGATCTGAGGTAAGGTGAGGGCATTGTATTTTTTTAAATAGTCTAAGGTTATCCTATATTTGAACATTTTTGAAAAAAAATTTTGCACATGAAGAACACATGATGTTGTTCTGACATACAGTCTTTAAAATATTTATTTTTTTTTTGAGACGGAGTTTCGCTCTTGCTCAGGCTGGAGTGCAATGGTACGATCTCGGCTCACTGCAACCTCTGCCTCCCAGGTTCAAGCAGTTCTCCTGCCTCAGTCTCCCGAGTAGCTGGGATTACAGGCATGTGCCACCACGCCCTACTAATTTTGTGTTTTTAGTAGAGATGGGGTTTCTCCATGTTGGTCATGCTGGTCTCAAACTCCTGACCTCAGGTGATCCACCCGCCTCGGCCTCCCAAAGTGCTGGGATTACAGGTGTGAGCCACCGTGCCCTGCCTAAAATATTTGTTTTAAAGTCAGAATAGGCTGGGCATGGTGACTCACGCCTGTAATCCCAGCACTTTGGGAGGCTGAGGCAGGCAGATCACTTGAGGCCAGGAGTTCAAGACCAATGTAGTCAACATGGAGAAACCCTGTCTCTACTAAAAATACAAAAATTAGCTGGGTGTGGTGGTGTGCACCTGTAATCCCAGCTACTCAGGAGACTGAGGTATAAGAATCACTTGAACCTGAGAGGTGAAGGTTACATTGAGCCGAGATCGTGCCACTGTACTCCAGCCTGGGTGACAGAGCGAGACCGTGTCTCAAAAAAAAAAAAAAAAAAAAAAAAAAGTCAGAATAAACTTGCTTAATAAAATTTCCATGCCTTAAGCATTAGAACAATCATCTAAATCTGCAGTGACATTTTAAGTGCCAAATCTTTCTCCTAGCTATAACACTAAGAGGTCTCAATATCGCTTAATCAGAAAAAAAGGAAAGATATCATAGCTAAGAAAGAGAAAAAAATGAATGGAATACAGGAAGCTCCTTCACTTCTGAATTAGTCGTGAAGGTAGTCACAATCTGGAGTTCAGTTTTTTTGTATCAGGCACTTTTTCCTTAGTGAATTTTATTGGGTTAAAACAAATCACAGTATCAAAGAGACACAAAATAAAATGTGGGTAAATCAACCATCAAGGAAACAATTAGGAAGCTCAATTGCAGGGGTCCAGATGAAGACAAGAGAGACAGATGAAGATAGACAGCTTAGACTAGGATAGCAAACGTGAAAATGAGGAGGAATAGATGGATTTGGACTATATTTTGGAAGTCTACTAAAGCCTGGAGATGAAATACCTGATCCTTATTGCTGTTTCCAGATATTTCACCCTCTCACATTCCTAAAAACCTATAGCTTTTACTCTCAGGTCACTAGAATATACCACCTACTATCTCTTGTTGCATTGTCAATTTATCAGCTCCCCCAAAGTCACTCCTGCTTTCTCAAAAATACTGGTTTCTGGCTCACTGTCTGTCCAACTCCATTCCTGTCTTAATTCTTGGCTTTTTCAGTGTATATGTAAATGGTCCTTCCAACACCCTCACCTCTCTGTTCCTTCAACTCATATCCAGTGATCGTGTCCTATACTCCTCAGCTATTCACTTCCATGATCATATAACTTTGCCATTGTGAAACCCTCCTTAATCTCATTCTTTGACCTCTACCTCTTATCTTTCCACTCCCTCTAATACTGTGACTCCAGCAATCCTTCAACTACATCAGGATTGGATTTAGTGAAGTGGAGGCCATTGGTGAGAATGAGAACAAGTACTTTTTTTTTTTTTTTTTTTTTTTTTTGAGACGGAGTCTCGCTCTGTCGCCCAGGCCGGATTGCGGACTGCAGTGGCGCAATCTCGGCTCACTGCAAGCTCCGCTTCCCGGGTTCACGCCATTCTCCTGCCTCAGCCTCCCGAGTAGCTGGGACTACAGGCGCCCGCCACCGCGCCCGGCTAATTTTTTGTATTTTTAGTAGAGACGGGGTTTCACCTTGTTAGCCAGGATGGTCTCGATCTCCTGACCTCATGATCCACCCGCCTCGGCCTCCCAAAGGAGAGCAAGTACTTTTGAGAGTGTGAAGGGAACAGATGATAATGTTTGACAGTGGGATTTTAGTGAGAATGTGGTACTATCAATAGATATGGGTCTTGATCCTATAGGACTTGCTGATGGATTTGATGTAGGTGTTGGAAAGGAGAAAAATCAAGATGACTTCCAGATTTTTCACTTGAGGCACCAAGCCAGTGGTAGAGTCATTTATAGAGTTGAAAAAGATTGGAGGAGGAGCAGATTTGGTGGTTGTGTGAATCAAGAATTCTATTTTGGGGCCAGGTGTGGTGGTTGGTGCCTGTAATACCAACACTTTGGGAGGCCGAGGTGGGAGGATCACTTGAGACCAGGAGTTTGAGACCAGCCTGGCCAACATAGGGAGACCCCATATCAACAAAAAATAAAAAATTAGTGGGTGTAGTGGTACACGCCTATAGTCCCAGCTACTGGGGAGGCTGAGGTGGGAGGATTGCTTGAGTCCAGGAGGTTGAGGCTGCAGTGAGCCATGATGGCACCACTGCACTCCAGCCTGGGTAATAGCAAGACCCTGTCTCAAAAAAAAAAAAAAATTCTATGTTGGCAGAGTTAAATTTGAAATTTAGATATCTAAGTAGAGATGTAGATTAAGGAATTGGACCTAATCACTTGGAGCTCAGGGAAGAGGTCAGGGCTGGAAGATAGGTTTTGCAGCACTTACTCTAGGGTGGCATTCAAGGTCTGGGGACTGGCTGAAATCACCCTAATTCTCTGAAGGGTGAATTAAGGTTACAATTTGAGAAGGCTGTAGGTTTCCACTTGAACAGAGAAATTAAGGCTATCAGGATTTTGATAGACAGTGAATTCCAGAGAGCATGGAGCAAGATTTTCAGGCTTGTGATAATTTTGGACGCAGTCTGTAAGGACTATAACTTGTGCTAGTACCAGCCAATGTTGCTTTGAAACAGTTTCAAATCTAGTGTGATCTGGCTGCACAAACCCCAAGGATGACTTATCATAAAACTTTAATTATATTAAAATATATCAGATATTTTTCCAGTTCTAATCTAGTCTTGTCCCAGTGTTTTCTCTCTAAATTTCTGGATCTGAAGGATTTATCAGTTAAATGGAAAAGGAAAGCAAACAAAATACCTTGATTTAATCTACATTAGAAAAATGCCATTAAATGACTTTCAAGATCAACTTATTTTTCATAGTTTTATCTCACCTTGAATATTTCCTAGATCTATGAGCATATGAATCGAGACATCTTGCTTTCAAAGGAAATTAAGATTTTTAAAATTATTTAATTCATTTATGTGATTCAAAAGTCTAAACTATATAAAAATTATACAAAGAGAAATCTTGATCCCACCTCTGTCTTCTCCACCCCTGTTGACCTCACCCTAACTCTTATAGTTCTTGCATAGTTCTTACTTATCCTTCCATTGTTTCTTTTTTGGGGGAATGGGGCGGGGATGGAGTCTCGCTCTGTTGCCTAGGCTGGAGTGCAGTGGCACGATCTCAGCTCACTGTAACCTTCGCCTCCCGGGTTCAAGTGATTTTCCTGCCTCGGACTCCTGAGTAGCTGGGATTACAGGTGCCTGCTACCACGACCAGCTAATTTTTGTATTTTTAGTAGAGACGGGGTTTCACCATGTTGGCCAGGCTAGTTTCGAACTCCCGACCTCAGGTGATCTGCCTGCCTCGGCCTCCCAAAGTGCTGGGATTACCAGTGTGAGCCACAGTGCTCAGCCTTAACATTTATATTCTTATCCCTAATACAAAAGTAGCGTATATACTGTTCTGTTCTGGATTCGTTCACTTAATGAATCTTGAAAATCTTTTCATATCAGTACATATAAATTTTCCTCATTCTTTTTTTTTTGTTGTTATTCACTTAAAAAAAATAGCAACATGCGTTGTGAAGATGTACCATGGTTTATTTAATCTGTTCTTTATTGCTAGGCACTTAGCTTGCTATCTGGTAATTAAGATATGTATCTATGCCAGAGATGAAAATCCCTTAGAAGTTAGTCTTTATCTCCCAGCTTTTAGAAACCAGGATCTAATGCATTGGGGCCTTCTACAAAG